>NC_000003.12:139463149-139766180 GCF_000001405.40 Homo sapiens
CGTATTCTGGAAAATAAATATTTGTTCAGAGATTTCTTCTTTTTTTTTCTTTCTTGAGATGGAGTCTCGCTCTGTTGCCCAGACTGGAGTGCAGTGGTGCAATCTTGGCCCACTATAAGCTCTGCCTCCCAGGTTCATGCCATTCTCTTGCCTCAGCCTCCCAAGTAGCTGGGACTACAGGTGCCCACCACCATGTCTGGTTAATTTTTTGTATTTTTAATAGAGATCGGTTTTCACCATTTTAGCCAGGATTGTTTTGATCTCCTGACCTTGTGATCTGCCCACCTCGGCCTCCCAAAATGCTGGGATTACAGGCATGAGCCACTGTGCCCGGCCTCTTCTGTTGTTTTTAAGGGATAGGTTAATAATTGTTTACATTTTTATTATGAAAATGTTGAAACAAACCGAAGGAGTGTTGAATGTCCTAAGCGTTGCATATTACAAGAAGAAGCAAACCCCTAGTTAAGCATAAAATGTGGCTCAACTAGAGCCATGCCAAAAAGTTGTTGGCCTGTGGAGTAGATCTAGAAAGAGAGGATAGTTCTGAAAATACTTGAATTTCTTTCCTTGCTATGAAATCATCACTCTTGGTCTTTAGTCAAATATCTGATTCCCATTATGCCTGTAAATTCTCCAAATATCTTTAGATGCCAATTTAAATCTTTAATATTTTTTTTAGAAAATCCACTGAGAAGGTTTTAAAAAACCTAGAATTGATTCTATTAAAACCCAAAGATAATATTGACCTCAAGAATAAGAACAGTTCAAATTTATCGAGTGCTATTTCTCTGAGAACTGCAGTACCATCTTTATGATATGTAAGTGATGAAATTTCATGTTGTGCAGTGTCCGGTACAGGACAAACACTATATTGTGGCCATGAAAGACAGAGCAGCAGGTAGCTCAGGAAGTTCCTGTCAGTTTGGAGATTGACGACTCTGCTGTCTTCCCATGGTGGCCAAGCATCACTTCCCTTACTCTCTCCCCATTTCCTTTCTGACCCATTTCCTTCAAAAATCCTTCTTTGGGTCTGGGCCTGGTGGCTCACGCCTGTAATCCCAGCACTTTGGGAGGCCTAGGTGGGTGGATCACCTGGGGTCAGGAGTTCAAGACCAGCCTGGCCAACATGGTGAAACCCTGTCTCTACAAAAATACAAAAATTATTCGGGCATGATGGAGGTGCCTGTAATCCTAGCTACTCGGGAGGCTGAGGCGGGAGAATCACTTGAACCCGGGAGGCGGAGGTTGCAGTAAGCCAAGATTGTGCCATTGCACTCCTCGCAATAGAGCGAGACTCCATCTCAAAAAAAAAAATCCTTCTTTGGTCACTATTACTCCCCTTTTCCCCAAAATCAAGGAGAGGCCGAGTTGAACCTCACTTTGGGTCAGCAATCTGAATCCACAACAGAATCACAGCTGCATGAGAAAGGGCCCTGGGTACCTTTAGACTCTAACTTGTATAAAGTCAGATTTGAGCCTGACAGAACAATTTTAAGTAATATTAGCTAGCCAGAAGGTAAAAAGATTACATACCTGTATCCTAAGTTGAAAAGAGAAGTAAGTTCAAGTTGGCATGAGCTGCTGCACAAATGCCAGTGCCTTGCTCACCTCTCATTCTCTACTATTTGTTGAGTACCTTCCATGTCTAGGAACCAGTGGGTCCCAAAGCTAGTTTCCTTTCTGGATCACCTGAAACAATGAAAAAAATGCAGATTTCTGGGTCCTATCCCAGACCTAGAATCTCTGGGTGGTAGAGCTCAGTGATTTCAGATTTTGAACTTTGTCCATAGGAGGCTGTTTGGAAAAAGACTTCTATGGTTTAAAAATTTTGAAAGCTACTTACTGTTAAAGTGCCTACTTTTCATGTCAGAGATGATGAAGTAAGACCTAGAGAGGTCAGTCTACTTGTCTAAATATACATGGCTGATACAGCAATTGTAGTGGCTTGGTAATTGGATAGATGTGTAGAGAGATTGAGTTGGAAGGAAGAAACAGTTGTTCTGAGCTTGGATGATCAAGATGAGAGCCAGGGAATAAAAGAGGGAACTAGTTTTATGGGGATACATAGTGAACTGAATTTTAGGTAAGGTGAATCTGCGAGCCATGCTGTGTGGACTCTTGGTAATATTTGGGGTGGCAATTAAGACACGCTTTGTGTCTAGGGATGGTGTCCCTTTGTGTCTAGGGATAGTGTCTAGGGATGGTGGCTCAGGGTGTAACCTCCCTTGGGAAACCTTCCTCATTTTATTCTTCAAATAAACCCACAAGATAAGTTTTATTTTATCCTCATTTTGCCACGGCGGAAAAACTGCCTCAGAGAAGTTGTGTCACTTTCCCTGGATTATGTGGTGAGGAGGCAGTCGAGATGGTACTTGAACTTAGGATGATCTGTCTCAAGGGCCAGTGCTGTGCTCCCCAAGCTCTGGGGTAGCCCAGTTAGACCATCCCCATGTGTGCAATTTCTGTGGCTGCCCAAGATACTAGTAACTTCTGATTCTGTTAAATTTCCCCTGGAGACACAGGGACTGTGGGATTCAGTTGGATGAGCCCTCCCTGTTTGAGGCAGTTTGTTTTCCAAAGCCCTTGCATACTGTCCCCCACCAAATGGCAATTGTTTTCTAGGCCCAGGGCTGTATAATAAGTGAGAGCTGAAGCAATCACACTCCAGCCGGCTACATTATCTGGCAGCTCATTTCGCTTCACCTCTGTGGCTTATGGAATTGTACGTGAGCACGTCCAAGTCACATAGCCTGTGAGGCATGGGGTGTGGGGAGAGACGAACGGTCTCTCGGCTGCCTTTGGTTCTGTGAATTCCTCTAGTCTTCTTGGCCAACATTCCTAGAGCCCCCACTTCCCCACTGTATTTGCCATGGGGTACAGCTCCATCGGATGTTTGGTGGTCAAAAAAATGGGCTCACGAGCAAGTAAGTTTGGGAGATGAGGAATTAAAACCAAGACAAGCTGGTTTCTGCCCTGTAGAATTTCATAGATTCTTTAATATGGGAAAGGTGCTTTGTAGCTCCAAGTTGGAGGGAAGGTAGAGGATGCACCTTTTCAAAGTCTGAGGTGGCCACGGAGCCCCTCTGTGGAGGAATATGCAGTCTGCCAGGTGTCCCGACACAACTTACTATGGAAAGGGCTTACCAAACCCTTTCTGACACATGTATCTCAGCCACCTTGGCCTTGCAATCATACCTATTTAATTTTTCTCTCTTCAAGGTAACTGCTGACCTGTTTAGGTAGGACCAAGTGGTCAAGTATTTCCGACTTAAAAAATGAACCCTTCCTTAAAATTGCTACAAGCCACTGAAGAGCATCTTCCTTGTTCTAGTGAGTACAAGCACATGCTTGTGTCGTGCAGAGGAACTGGCAAGAGGCTGGCATGTCACACTCCAGCTGATATTTCTCTCCTTCTGCCCCAAGTGTGTCCAGCTTCAGTCTCGTCGCTGGACATTTGGTTCCAGATCTAAAGCAGCAGAGGGCAGTGGCCGTATGTGGAGCTGTTATTAACTGCATCACCTTGTTGTGAGGATCAAATTTGATGGTGTTTGTGAAGAGCTTTGCCCAGTGGCTGGCAGCCTGTGATCATGGCTCTGTAAATGGAGGCTGCCATCATCATAATATCATTATGAAGCCCCTGATCTCACAGGCCAATTTCCTTAGTTCTTTGTGTTTTCCCACATATCCCTTGAACAGTTGCTCTCTGAATCCCTGTCACTCTTGTCCCAGCTTTCCAAATCTCATAAGGCCGAGCCCCAGATTTGCCTCCTCCTACTCTTTCTTGCCTCCTTCCTTACCTGCTATCCAGGCCAAACAGTTTTACTGCTCCCCTCTGCCTGCCAACAGTACTTAGCATTTCCCCCTGCATTTTTCATGGAGTTGGTTATTCTTTCCTGCAGTTTCACCTCTATGAGGACAAGGACAATGACATCTTCTTGCTCTGTGTTCTTCCCCACCACACCATCATAGAACCAGGTCTTGAGCTAGGCAAATAGTAGGTACTCAAGAAGTACTATGGATTAGCTAATGGAGGCAGCAAGGGCCAGGACAGTGATTATTAAAGTGAGGTTCCTGGGCTGGCAGCAGCATTAGCACCTGGGAACGTGTTAGAAATGCAGGTTCTGTGCCACGGCACTCCAGGCTGGGTGACAGAGCAAGACCCTGTTTCTAAATAAATAAATATAAATAAAAATAAAAGAAATGCAAAATCTGGGGCCCACCCTAGACCTATAAAGTAGGAGCTCTGTTGGCCAGGCTCTGCTTGTCCTTACAAGTCTTCCAAGTGATCATGTGCATGCTAAAGCTTAGAACTGTGGTATAAATGAGTAAGGGTAAGGGGCAGATGCAGGTACAATCCTGTCTCTTATTTCCTAGCTAGCTGTGTGACCTTGGAGAAATCACTCTTCCTTTGTAGGAAAATGAGGAAAAGAATGCTCACTTCAGAGGACTATTTACAGTGTGGATTCAGTAAAAATAATGGTAAAATGCTTTACATAGTACCAAGTAGCTTGTCCATATGCAGTGCACATTGCCGTCCACTCTTGGCCTTATCTGTTTGGGTCAAGTAGGGACCAAGTCAGCATTCAGTCCAGAGTGAAAGTTTTGGGTCATATTTATGCATCTCCATAGCTGTCTGCACTCCATGTTTTGCAAGGGGCTTGGACTCCACAGGAGAAGTGGGAATGGTGGCTGATACACTCTCTTACTGTCATAGACTTGGTCTGTCCCATAGGCATTTTATCCAGCCTGGCAACACTTTTCTCTGTGTGGATCAGTTTCCTCGCTCTATAGTCTGGTGATGGGTAGAACCAACTTCAGCTCCTTCTCCAGTCCTTTGTGCTAAGGTCTGAGCTGTGCTAAACCATACTTCTGGAACAATAGTTAGGAGATGAGAAAAGAAAAACCATAGGTCATCTGTTAACCATAACCAGAAGAAACAGGGGAAGGCTCTAGGTAAAACCACTAAGGAATAATTGAAAATCTACAGAGAAATTTAGAACTGAAGTGTTCCTCTGAGAGCAAGTCTATTTCCACTCAATGGATGTGGAAACTGAGGCCGTGAGAATTTAAGTGGTGAGCTCAGAGCTACCCAGTTAGGATAGCACTCCTGACAATTTCTTTACAAACGCATTCTGTTGTCATTTGCAACTAACACCTCCGCTCCCCAGTAAAAAGTATTGCTTGTCCCTGGTTGCATAGAAAGGTAGATCACAGTTAAAAATACCTATTGCTGACAGAACTGGTTTGTCCTGGAAACACCATCCCTAGTCAATCTTTCTGACCAGTGCCGGGGGAATCTTATTAGAAGACTATGCAAATGGAATCAAGCATCACTACTCTTCTGGATTGAAAAATGGCTTGGCCTCTTGGCCACCCTTCAGTGTTTGCACAACCCAGTAAATCATGTTGCCTCTGCTCTGCCCCAGGGAAGGTAGCCAAATGTTCTGTTGGTGGACTCATGATATTTCTAATCAAAAGGGTTTAACTGAGGATGTAGAACACACACACAAACACACACACACATGCACACACACACACACAGATTATAAAAACACTTCCTCTTCGTACTTTGCAGAGAAAATTATTTTCCTGGTATGGTATTTTAACACCAGGGTTATCAAGCATGTTTTATCTCCTTTTCTGGATTAAGGGTATCTCTGAGTCTGATTTATAGCCAGGTGAAATGAATTTCTATCTCAGAAGGAAAGGTCCAAAGGCAAGCTATTTCTGAATAATATATATGGCTTTTAGCTGCTGCAGAAGGAAAAAAAACAACACGGACCTGACTTTATTAAAACATACTTTTCATAACTGCATTTTGAACAATACAAGCCATAAAGGTGAAATATGAGTATGCTACTCAACATTAAAATGCTTTGTAATGTGCTTATGAAAAAAGCTAAAGTTGCAGGCAAAAAGGGCAGGTGCTCTTTGTAAATTAAAGAGCAGAGAGGCACAAGTATTCATCATATGAAATCTGAGAACCATTCAAAGTGCAGCTTTGATGGGCTTCAAATTTGGACTCCTTAATTCTCAAATCATTGGCACTCTTAGGCAATTGTGAGAAGCAGAGTGTAAGAACAATTTTCTCCTTTTTTCCATGCCACTTCCTCCTCCAGAAAACACATTTAGAAAGGAATTAGATGAGATCCCTGCCTGCCTCCTCCTCTCACTTCCTTCTAGGCACCGGGGGCAGGCTGGAGACCCTAGGGTGCCTCCCTGCTCCCTATGCACTGTTTCTCCTCCCCATTCTTAGTCTACTGCATGCTTACTGGGATGGACATTAGAGTGGAGCTGATGCCAACACATGCAAGGGGAGACTTGTACAAAGGGATGACACCTATCATTACCTAGGCTTTTTCCATCCCTCAGCATTTCCCCTTTGAAAGTCCTACCAGGTACCATATGGTTCAAGTAGAGACTTTGGCAACGTGTATACCTTCATTGACTTGTGAGCACCATCAGGAATCCAGATTTTATGAAACAAATTCTTAATTGGAGCATCAGACATCTATCTGTCTGTCTGTCTGTCTGTCTGTCTATCTATCTATCTATCTATCTATCTATCTATCTATCTATCTATCTACCTACTCATTTTCACCCAGGGACTCTGAGTGATTCTCTTTCAGTGTTTCTGAGGGTCCTGCCTATTTACTTTGGATGCCTCCATTTGGACATACCTTGTTCACAGTGAAGCTCTTTCTTCCCTACCTCCATGTTTTATACCCCTACCAAGAACAGTGCTGAGGAAAGGGCTGTGGGTGTTAGAAGCAGATAGCCTGGGCTCCTGTCTTAGGCTCCATCATTTCCTAACCACACGTGGCCATGGATAAGTCTCTCCACTTCTCTGGATTCCTCACCCCATAAAACGGAAGGCATTTCTTCTGAATTTATCTCTGACTATATCCTGAGCTCTATATCCCATATCAAAGTGCCAATTTTAATACTCCATTTGAATGTGTAACATATCTGAAACCAAAATATGCAAACCAGAATTCTTAATGCATGCTCCCCCGCCACCCCAGCCTGGTACCTCCCCACCAAAACTCACTCCTCCCGGTGACTTCCCCATTTCAGGCAATGGGATTGTCATCTGCCCAGTTATTCAGGCCTAAGCCTGGGACCCAAATTCATTTCTATCATTTCCTCTCACTTCATATTCATCTGCAAACCCCGTGAGCTTTATCTGCAAAATATATGCTGAATCTGTCCTCTTTTCTCCAGCTCCACAGGCACTGCCCTAGCCCAAGCCATGGTCATTTCCTGCCTGGACAACACAGCAGCCTCCTAATGGGTCTCTCATCCTCTCTGCTTGCAATCTTGCCCTCCTATGATTCATTTTCCATGCTGTGGCCATAGTGATCCTTAAAGAATACAAAGAGGATTAATTTGTCTTCCCAGCATAAGGCTGGTATCTGCTTTGCCTTCTGCCTACCTTTCTACTCTCACTCCCTGACCACACCCCCAACCCCTCCGGCTCACACACTTTCAACTCCCAACACACCAGCTTTCTCAAATCCTTGGGCCCAAGTGATTCTCCCCCCTCAGCCTCCTGAGTAGCTGGGACCACAGGAACGTGCTACCAGGCCCAGCTAATTTTTTTATTTTCTATTTTTTGTAGAGGCAGAAGCCTCACTATGTTGCCTAGGCTCATCATGAACTCCTGGCCTCATGTCACCCTCTTGCCTTGGCCTCCCAAAGTGTTGGGATTACAGGTGTGAGCCATCACACCTGGCTTCATGTTCTTGAACACACCCAAAACCTTTGCACTTGCTGTCCCCTGTGTCCAGAATAATACTAGTCAGCGTTCAAACCTGGGTTCCACTGTCACCCCCTCAAACCTTCCCTGACCACCCATCACACGCCACTCCATTATTCTTTTAATTTTCTTCTCAGCACTCACCACTACCCAAAATAACCTTAAACTATTTGTTTACTTTCTGTCTCCCCACTAGCATGTAAACTCTATGCTGGCAGGGAACTCGTCTCCTCATTTCCCACTATATCTCCAATGCCTAGAGCACTTCCTGATTTGTCATAGGTGCTCGATACATTTGTTGAAAACTGAATGCACTAAAATGAAGAAATGCATATAAAGCTCTAGTGTGATGTGTATCATGGTATGAGAATAATTTGTGCTTGTGCTCACCCATCATGCTAGACTGCAGGCTCTTAAATGGTCAAGATGAGATTTTGCACAAGACACATATTCGGGGAATATTTCCTGGCAGAGACCACTTAGATGGGAGCTGTCTGACTTCAGCCTCTCAGGGCTCTGCCTTCCTAGTGGAGCTTTCAGAGACCCACTAGAACTGTTTGTGATAGCCACTGCACTTTTAAGTTTGTGCATGTCAATTTAAGTGAAAAAGATGTTCTTCATAGAAGATAATCCTCACCTTCATTTGTGAATTAAGAAAATAATGGGTTTTCCCCAAATAGTTACAATTTATGGAATGAAAATTTCCTAAAAGAGGTATAAATTTAACATCTAATTTTTGGACACATGCTTCCCCATCTTCACTGGTAAAGTTATGTGATAGTTTTTCATGTTCTAGGCTGACTCCTCCCTGACTCTTCCTCCTCTAGTCACCAAATCCAGTCTATTTCCTGCTCTGGACATCTCCCTGTTCACCCTTTCTGGGTACTGCTCTCAATACCTTCCCAGGGTCATTGTAACAACCTCTTTAGTTCTCTGACAGTCTGCTGGTCTATTCACTCTATCTCTGTTAGAGTGAGCATTGATAGCATCTCTCTCCTCTGCATACAATTTCTTCCTAGACCCTCTCCTTGCAAGGTGAAGTTCATGTGCAGCACACTGACTTAAAGATCCTGTTGCTTTTCCAGACTATTCTTTTGCCTCCTCCTTGCACTTCACTCCTTGGTAATACAGTGCCTTCTGGTGTCCCAGGCCCATGCCTGTGCACACACCCATGGGGCTATGCCTGACTCCATCTCTGCATGGAGAACTCCTGTTCTTCCTTCAAAGCCCCACCAAGAAGTACTCAGGAAGCCTTTACTGACTCCATGTACTGTAGCTCCTTTCACCACCATGCACACACTTCTTGTTACTATTGTTCTATTGATACCCATAGCCCCTTTGAGCCCAAGGCATAGAATCTCAACTGGCCCATCTGTGGCAGATTATATTTTCTTAAATGGCTGCAATAACACCTCTCATCCTACATGCTGTTCTTACAATGCAACCTTGACATTCATCCCACTGAGAGGTGGGGTCTATGTCCCTTTTCCTTGAATGCAGGCAGGCTTGTACCACTTCAACCAATAGAATATGGTGGAAGTGGTACCCGGTAGCTTCTGAAGCTGGGTCATAAAAGGCCATGCAGCTTGTATCTCTTCTCTTTGGATACAGCCAGCATGCTGTGAAGAAACCCAGGTCACATGGGGAGACCACATGTAGATGCTGAAGGCCAGTTAAGGTCTCAGCTGCCAGCCAGCACCAACTGCCAGACATGCATATGAGTAAGGAAGCCTGAGATGGCTCCAGCCCCAGCTGCTGCCCAATTGCAACCAAATGAAAGACTTTGAGCAGGAACCATTGGGGTGAACCCAGTCAGCCCCCAGAACCATGAGAAATAATAATTAAATGACGTGGTTGTTCCAAACCACTACGTTTTGGGGGTAATTCATCAAACAGTAATAAAAAACAGGAATACCATTTGTGCATGGCTGTAACCTGACTCCTTGAGAGCAGATTCCAGGGTTGGTTCTGCTTCAGATGGCACAGTCCCTGGCATCCACAGCACCTTCTAAAGCTTTGGTAGAGAAGTTGAATGATTCCCACCTGGGCAGAGTTAATGAACTCTCTCCCAGTATTCTTTCACATTATTGAGACCTCCTTATGTCTGTCCTTCTTGATCATCTCTTAAAAATGAAGACCACCCCTCCCATTCCTTCATCGCCTGATCTGACCTGAAGGAGGACTGACTTCAGGACATGACAAGTTCCTCAGGGCAAAAGAGTTCACCAACTGGTTTCCTCACTGTCAAGAAAGAATCTGGGGTGAGAAACACCAGGTGCCTAAGAAGGCAGGAGAGGAAGTACCACTGACCCTTGGCTCACTCACCTTTTGAACTCTTAATGATGTAATTTGTGGCAAACCCAAAGGTTACCATGATGTGTTACTCTGCTGAGACTGGTGGCTGAGTCATGATGGGAGGCCAGTGTGTGGAGTGGGTCACTGGGCTAGTGACAAAGCCAGTTTACTGCCCAACCCCACATCTCAGTAGAGTTGCTCTTTCCTTACTGAACCAACAACCAGGCCCACAGAAAAAGCAAACTCTCTAGTGCTAGGGGTTAAAGTATTAGAAATCGATGATTCTTAGATAGGGAATAGGCACCATCCTTAACAATAGTCACACATTTGAGGATGTCTACACATACTCTTCCCAAATGCTAAGGGTCTCTCTGCTCAAAAGGGTAAGGAAGGCAAGCTTCGTTGACATCTCAGTGTTGGGAAAGCAGCCTGTCTTATGTCCTGGGCATGGAGGAAACTGTTGAGATCTGTTGGGCTGCTTTTAGCAGGTTAGATTGAAGGGGCAGCTCTTCCTTGCCTGCTTCTAGCTGAGCCCCCTGAGACCTGTCTTCAATCACTGCCATGCCTGCCCCACCCATGTTCCCACGGCAGGTTGAGAAGGACAAGGGGTCCTACCTCAATGGTGATAAGATGACTCTGGGTGAGGCATTTCTGCACAGGGCCTCATGACTTGGGCAGGAGCAAGTTTCTGGGGTCCTGAGACACTGGGCTGTCAGCATCTGGGTAAACCAGGCACCAACAGATTCCCACTCTGGGTTTACCTAGTAGTACCATGTATGGTATTAATCTTAATCAGTTGAGTGTCAGCCTAACACTCTACACTGCGGAGATCATGGGACAAAGAGATCAAACGACTTGCTCATTAGAGTGAAATCAATGTAATGTGATATTAAATTGGAAGTTTTGGCTGAAGCTTTAAGAGACAATAAATATTTGATGCCAAGGAGCATTAGGAAGTCCAATCTGAAACCTCAATGGTGAAGATATTCAAATATCACATTCACAACTTGTGAGCCCCTTACTCACATTAAAGGTGTAAGTTGATGTGAAAAGAGTCCAGAGGAAGGCTGTTGTTAGAGGCAGGATTTCTTGGAGAGAGCTGATGGTGTAGTGTACTCTGCATCCTCCCAACCCCCAGGAGGAGAAAGAGGGTGGTAGGAATGCTTGCTTCTCACCTTAAGCCTAGAGAGGTGGGCTTTAGGGGTCCACTCTGCAGAGCCATAAACTAAACAGAGCCTAGATTTTAAATCTAAGTCATCATAGGACTTTTTGTTACTGAAGCATAAGCAGCAAAAGACACAAGGTTTCTTTCTAATTATATTACTTGACTCTGGCTTATTCAGCATATTGCTGAAACCTTGAAACTTCCAAATAACCCTTGTTAAAGTACTTTTAATTGCTCAAAACCACAAGTACATCTAATATCATCTGGAGGGACAGGCAAGGCTGGGGCTATTATCTCTATTTGGCAGATGAGGAAACCGAGGTTCCAAAAGGTTAAAAAACTGGTTCACGGTCACAGAGCAAGCCCTGGACTCTAGTCCGAGCTGTGTTGACCCTTCTGCTTTGGTTTCCTTATCTGTATAATCTTGTTCAGAATTCTAGTTCCAAGCTATGCTCCAATCCATTTACCCATGTGTAGTATCAGAATCCCATTTCTATTGGCCACTCCTGGTACTAAAAATCACAGGTGCAACAGGGTTGAGGATGGGGCTCTGGTAGGAGGATTTTTGTCTCTTTCTTCCTCCTCCCAACTATATTGAGGTAAAAATCCTGCTAACCAGAATGAAAAGGAAAGCTATTCAGTGTTGGAAACCAGTCTAAAGAACATGAAGAGGCCGGGTGCGGTGGCTCACGTCTGTAATCCCAGCACTTTGGGAGGCCGAGGCGGGTGGATCACAAGGTCAGGAGATTGAGACCATCCTGGCTAACATAGTGAAATCCGTCTCTATTAAAAATACAAAAAATTAGCCAGGCGTGGTGGCGGGTGCCTGTAGTCCCAGCTACTCTGGAGGCTGAGGCAGGAGAATGGCATGAACCCGGGAGGTGGGCTTGCAGTGAGCTGAGATCGCGCCACTGCACTCCAGCCTGGGCGACAGAGCGAGACTCTGTCCCCAAAATAAAAAAAAAAAAAAAAAAAAAAAAGAACATGAAGAAAGTGCTTAGTTCCACAAATATGGAACATATCACAGCTCTCCTTTTTCATTGACATGGTGGACATTTTCAAGCTAGAAGTTTATCACACCAAAAAACTCATGATTTCCACTCTTGGAGAGACCTCCCACCATCATATCCAAGTTATTATTGGGCCTCTAACTCCACCCACTGCCGTTTCTCTCATTCTGCATGTGGAGGAAGTTCCAGCGAAGTTACCCCATATGTGGAGAACTTTAAAGCTAGAAGAGGTGATAAAGAGGCTGCTGAGGGATGGAATAAGGTCAGGCAGCCAAAGCCCCTTGCTCAGCACCTGGAGCACAGGAGCCACCCAGTAACTGTGAGCTCCCCTCTGGGGACCCACTCACTCTAGTCCCAGGCAGAACCTGTAGGCTGGGCAGGGCTATGTGTTTTCTGCCAGTTCCACAGGGAACCCACTCTGTGGTGAACTCAGGACATGCACCAATTGGTAGCCCTTGGCCTGGAACCCAGTTCAGAAGTCATATAAGCAGTGGGTTGTTTGTGCTATCTGACAACAGCCTCTCTAGGCTTCCATGAGCTTGATTTTCCCTAGGCTGAGAGATTTGCTAGCTATTTCTTTTCTGCTTCCCCATTACAAAACTGATAAAAGAACAATGCAGAGGTCATTGGTGGATAATATCAGGTCCAAGTGGTTATCAGAGAGATGGTGGTCACAAGGCAGAAGAGCGACTGTGTTATCCTCTCAAGTTTGGCTTTACTCTGTTGTGTGTGTATCCTCCTGACATACACATTCAGTGTATGTTTTCTGTGGGCCAGGCACTGTGCTAAGGCATCCTAGACATAATCTCATTTATCATTATTCCCAGTTTCCAGATGAGAAAACTGAGCCTCAGAGAATTCTTATGATCTGCCTAATATTGCACAGCTGTACATGAGGCATGAGGATTTGCCACAGGTCTGTTGAACTCCATAGCAGCACTGTCTGGAGGGCCAGACCACAGTACTCCCAACAACAGCTACCCTCCCCATCCCCAGTCTCCTCCTTACCCAGGGCCTTCATGTAGCCCTCAAAGTTTTCATTACTCTCCATCTCCCAGGTTCCATTCTGGTCCCTTGTCATGGTGGTGGCCACTGGTTCGGTGAGGGTTTGTGGTGGATGGCAAGGAGCAGGCTGCAGGGAGAATACACTGGAATGAGCTTCTTTTATAGCCTAGTGGGCCAGGTTTGTGACTCTGAAGATAAGAGGTTCAAAGGGCAGAAGCACAACTCAAAAGAACTTTTCTTTGTAAAGTTCAGCGAGACTATAGGTAACCCACGAACAAAGTCCTGGTATGGCCAGGCGTGGGTGTCCTAGTGTCCTGCACCATAAGCAGGGCCCTAGAGCAGCTCATTTTTGGCTGGCTGGGTCCCCATGGGCCCCTTGTCCCACACAGAACATTTCATCCAGTAATGGAAGAAAACAAACATCCAGGGTCTACCCCACATGTACTATGGGTCACTAGTACCCAGGCCTCAAGCCTGGAGTCTATCAGCCATGAATCCAGCACTCATAGCAAGGCTGGTGAAACTGAAAAGACAGAATTCACACCTGTGGAGCTCTACTCTACTCTGTTCCAGGCAGCATGCATACTTCATCTTGTTTCAGCTTACAAGAGCTCTGTGAGTTATGTTTAACCATCCTTATTTTACAGATGAGAAAGGATCATGGAGGTTAAATCACATGTCTAATCACAACTTGTAAGTGGTTGAGCCAGGATTCAAACTCAGATCTGTTGGGCTCCAAATCCTTTTCTTCAACAGTGTGCTAGGTCAGCTTTGAAAGAGGTTTGGAGCCTGACTTAAGAGACCAAATCTCTCTTGCTTCCCTGTGGAAGCAAGGTGCCCTGTGGACTTCCTAGCAGCAGGGTGAGACATGAGAAAAGTGTTTTCTGGGAACATGATTCTGCTAAAAGCAAGCTGAGCCTGGAGGGAGTCCAGATGGAGGCAGAGGGGTAGTGGAATGTTGTTTTAAGATCCAAGGGGAAAGCTGAGGATCACCTGGATCAAAGTGGGGGCATAGCTGGACAAGGACCCTTGGTTCAGGAATGTTCTCCAAATGGGCTGTCCCAATGGAAATGGGTTTAGTTTATTGCTCTGACACTCTATTCCAAGATGTGGTGTCTGAGAAGTGACTGTGAAGAATGGAGGTGTGGCCTGAGACAGATATACCATGAGTTCCCAAAGTGAGACCTATTTTGATGATGACACTGCAGCTCTCATATATGTATCCTTGTGCTGTGAAATCTAAGTAAATGACTCTGTGTGTGGTACGAGGGATATAAAACAGCACATTTATCTTTCAGTAAATACACTGGAGTTAGGAAGACAGAGTGAAAAATGGCCCAGCTGTTGTCAAAAGGCCAATGGGGAAAGGTAAGGGGTGAGAAAGAAATAACTTTACCACAAATGGAAAATGAGTGGAGGAAGGAGTAGACAGATAAGAAACCTTGGAGATTCATCCTGTGAAGTCCAGCCAGAAGCTGCTGTAGACTGAGCATTCAGCCTCCTGGGCTGGAGAAGTAGATAGTCCCTCCCAGGTCAAATTCCAGGGCCTCCACCGTCCCTCCTGCCTGCAACTGAGGCCTCCTACCCCGTAGGCCTCTCCTGTAAGAATGTGTAATGAGAAGCTGGCCTGGTAGGGGAAGGGGCTGGGGGCAAGACAGGAGTTGCTAATTGCACTAAGCCAGGGGCTTGGGTTTTCATGGGCATTGAGGGGGGAGGAATTTGTCTTGGTGTAAGACGCAAATTTGAAACTGAGATGTCTATATAAAGCCAGGCACTTGAAGGGCTACTCCCTCATTGAGGGTGTAAATTAGTCAAAATCTGCAGCAACAGACAAGAAAAAAGTTTATCTACTTGGCATGGGATCTACATAGGTTAAAAAAAAAAGTTCTGTTCTGCTCTGACCTTGGTTTGGGGTTTGAATTTATCCTTTCTGTTAGCTAAAATATTAAAATAATAAATGTCCTGTGCTTGTTAACATTTTTAAGCTGCCAGGAAGAAGTAAATGTAAAAGCTGTGAAGAGGAACACACCTTCAAAACCAGATCAACCAGAATTCTGTGTGATAAAGCCATGCCAAATATGAGCTCATAATCCAAAATTGTAACACACACTGACAAACACATACAAACTGATGCTCTTTGTAACCCACCAAGAGCATCATCAGAAGAAACATACAGTGAAATTAGATTTCCAGGAGTTTCAATTAATAAAATCAGGTACAGACTATAAAATAATTATGTTTAAAATGAATAAAGAAAATTTAAAAGCACTGAAAACATGAAAAAGGAATAAAATAATGTTTTTAAAAACAGATTAAAAATTTAAAAAGAGTAGTTCTTAAAAATATAATCACTAAAATTAAAAAGGTAATAGGTGGGTTAAACAGTTGATTAAACACAGCTTAAGAAAAATTAGTGAAATAGAAGATGCAGTCAAGGAGATTACCCAGAATATATTAACACAGAACATACTGTGATGCAAATGTAGATAAAAATAAAATTCTAAAATTTCCCGGAGAGAACAAAGACAACCATACAGATTACCTATAAAAGAACAATGTAATAATGAGATCGATATTAGGCTTTTCAACAACTCTGATGGAATATGACAAGGGAACAATATCTTGTAATAATGTGGGAAAATACATTTGAATAAAATTCTAAACCCAGTCAACTATCATTATATGGTAAGAGTTTCAGATATACTCTTACCATATAACCTTAGTTTCAGATATACTCTCGTACTTGAATGATATAAAAAAGTTTCAGATATAATAGCCACAATATGGAAACAACCCAGACTTCCATCAACGAGTTGATGGATAAATAAATTGTGGTATATTCACACAATGAAATACTACTCGACAGTAAAAAGGAGCACTCTCCTGATATACACAGCAAAGATGAATCTCACAGACATTATGCTGAGGGAAAGAAGCTTGACACAAAAGATCATATACTATATAATTTCATTTACATGAAACTCTAGAAAAGAACAAGCCTAATCTACAGTGATATACAATAGATCAGTTTTTGTGGGGCCAGGGAGAGCAGGTAAAGGTAAAACTCAAACTCTACCCTTGTGATCTGTGCCTTCTTATTGTATGTAAACTATACCTTAATAAAAAAGGTATAATTATGTTGATTATTTATAGAAAAGCAATTTAGTACAAACTCAAACTAAAATCATGTATTATACCCACATGAGTGATGGGAAGTAAACTTGTGCTAAGGAGGCTGTAATTACTGATTGACTATATGTTTGTGAGAGATATTAGTTTAAGCATTTTTTTTTAAATTAAGACTAACCCTTATAGAGCAGAGGTTCTCAACCTCTAACAAGCATTAGAATCATCTGGAGGCTTATTACAACACAGATCGCTGGGCTCCACCTCTAGAATTTCTGACTTAATAGGTTTGGGTTAGGGTCCAAGAATTTATGTTTTTAAGTAAGTTCCTGGGTGCTGCTGCGGCTGCTTGACAACCACAGTTGAGAACTACTGTTTTAGAGTAACAGAAATAAAAGAGGAAATAAATAGAGAGGGAAAATAAAATCCTAAAGCTTGGAGTCAGCCACACCAAGTTTTGAATCTACGTTTCAACGCTTCCTAACTGGGGGATCCGTAACGTTTCTGAGTCTCAGATTCATTCTTTGAGAATCAGGGTCATTGTAAGAATTAAACAACACCAAAAAACCAAAAAGCTCTTAACAGAGTCCTGGCACATAGTATGTGTTTGTTCCAAGATAGTAACTAGATATGGGGGCGACAGACCAAACTCCTAGTAAGTGTGTGACTTGTCCTAAGCCCTCAACAAAACACAGCTTCAGCATATTCTTCTGTTCCAGATCTATGTATGTGTAGGAACTGGGGTTGGTACTGAGGGGAAAAAGTGAGGGATAGTGGATGAGAAAAAGCAAGTGCTACTCAATAACTCAGCCACTATTGCCTACAACTTCCATTTAAGGAACACCACAATCTTAAAATTGGTAGCAGAGCCCAATTTCAAAAGTTCTGTCCTAGGGCCCCCAACTCTGTCCGCTACACTCACAAATCACATACCTGGACATTCCATTTTCTCAGTTGCCTGGGTGACTCCATTTCTGAATTTACTTACCTAAGTCCTTGTGGAATTCTTCAGGTGACTTTTAAGATGGAGGAAAATGATCAACTATAACCAATCTTTCCAGGTTACAAGAAGCTTTCTGGAGACTACATGAAAAAGAGCAGAGGTGGGTCTCCCTAGAAGCTTGGTTCTGAGATAAATCAGTCAGCTAAGAGTGAGCACAGCAAGGACTCTCAGGAATTTACCTGCTGTCCTTGGGAGCATCTGACTGCAGCAGCTGGGCTCCTGGGCTGGCTCCCTACAGGCAAGCAGTCTCTCTCTGGCCCAGGCCCAGGCCCACCCAGGCTCGCCGAGCTCTGTCCTGCTTTCTTCTTCCTCTTGATGTAAGAAGGCATTCCCTTAGCAGGCAAAGGGCCATTGGCTGGAATGTTTGCTCAGCTTGTACGCAGGTTTCCACTCCTGGGCAATGCCCCTGTGACTTGCACATCTAGCTTAATTGAATGTTCTCAGTAGGAGAACTAGATGCTCCATTAGATTTGTCCTCACATGGAGGCCCCGGGGAAAGTGTGTCTTGGAGTTCCTTCAGCCACTAGGTAGGGCTGGGTCTAGTCTTAATTTTTCATGTAAATTGTGCCCCTTCTTAAGGCAGAACAGGAGAACAGGGGGATTACAAATCCTCATCCCTCCCATGGCCACAAGGACTCAAATTGCTCTGGTCCAAGAAGGGGCCCTTTGCAATCCCCTTGTCCTCTCCAACCTCCCCCAACAGTTGAGAGTAGGTAGTAAGCTGGCAGTGGTCAATCCAAACCACCTCTTCCCAAGGGAGCTGTTCCTGCCTCTCTACCAAGGATCCTTGGAATGCCCTTGGCAATCCCATCCAGTGAAACTTGAGATTCCCTGACTTTTCTTTCCACTAGACCTAAGGAATGTATGGCATTTTCATTTGACATATTATGGAAATCTTTGCAAATCAGTACATATGATCTACTTCATTCTTGTTTATTTGTTTATCTATTCACATTTCATTGCATTTTAAAGCAGGTATTAATGTAATAACATTCACATAGTTAGAAATTCAAGCAATAGATATACAATGAAAAGTCTGGTTCACTCATGTTCATTTTCCACTATTGCTACTGTTAAACAGGAAACTATTTGTATTAATTTCTTGTGTATCTTTCCGGAGTTTCTTTATAAAATCAAATATAAAGATATATTTTCCCTCGTCTTTTTATCCAAAAAGTAGAATACAACAAACTTGAATCCTCATTTTTTTTACTTAATAGTATCTTTTTAAAAAATAATTATTTTTAATTTTTATGGGTACATAGTTTTTTATAGGTACATAATTTTTATGGGTACATAATTTTTATGGTTACAAACAGGAGGTATTTTGATATAGGCATACAATGCATAATAATCACATCAGGGCAAATGGGGGTATCTATCACCTCAAGAATTTATCCTTTCTTTGTGTTACAAACACTCCAGTTATACTCTTTTGGTTATTTTAAAATATTCTATAAACTGTTGTTGACTTTAATCACCCTGTTGTGCTTTTATAAAATACTCAATTTTATGTAATCTTTTTTGTACCCATTAACTATCCCCACTCCCCCTCCCCACTACTCTTCCCAGTCTCTGGTAATGATTATTCTATAATACTCTCCATTTCCATGAGTCCAGTTGTTTTAATTTCTAGCTCCCACAAATAAGTGAGAGCATGTAAAGCTTGTCTTTCTGTGCCTGGCTTATTTCACTTAACATGATGTTCTCCAGTTCCATTCATGTTGTTGCAAATGACAGGATCTTGATCTCTCTATGGCTGAATAGTACTCCATTGTGTATATGTACCATATTTTCTTTATCCATTCGTCTGTTGATGGACACTTGGGTTGATTCCAAATCTTGGCTATTGTGGCTAGTGCTGCAATAAACATGAAAGTGCAAATGTCTCTTTGATATACTGATTTCCTTTCTCTTTGTTATATACCTAGCAGTGGGATTGCTGGATTGTATAATAGCTCTATTTTTAGCTTTTTGAGGAACCTCTATACTGTTCTCCATAGTGAATGTACAAATTTACATTCCTACTAACAGTGTATCAGGGTTCCCTTTTCTCCACATCCTCAGCAGCCTATTGCCTGTCTTTTGGATACAAGCCATTTTAACTGGGGTGAGACGCTATCTCATTGTAGTTTTGATTAGCATTTCTCTGATGGTCAATGACGTTGAGCACCTTTTCATATACCTGTTTGTCATTTGTGTAACTTCTTTTGGGAAATATCTATTCAAATCTTTTGCCCATTTTAAAATCAGATTATCAGATTTTTGTCCTATTGAATTGTTTGAGCTCCTTATACATTCTGGTTATTAATCATTTGTCAGATGGATAGTTTGCAAATATTTTCTTTCATTCTGTGGGTTGTCTCTTCACTTTGTTGACTGTTTTCTTTGCTATGCAGAAGCTTTTTAACTTGATGTGATCTCACTTGCCTTTTTTTGCTTTTGTTGCCTGTGTTTGTGGAGTACTACTCAAGAAATCTTTGCCCAGGCCAATGTCCTGAAGATTTTCCCCAAAGTTTTCTTATAGTGGTTTCATAGTTTGAGGTCTTAGATTTAAGTCTTTAATCCATTTTATTTGATTTTTGTATATGGTGAGAGATGAGTCTAGTTTCATTCCCCTGCATATGGATATCCAGTTTCTACAGTGCCATTTATTGAAGAGACTGTTCTTTCTCCAATGTGTGTTCTTGGCCCTTTTGCTGAAAATGAGCTCACTGTAGATGTAGGGATTTGTTTCTGGGTTCTCTATTCTGTTCATTGGCCTATGTGTCTGTTTTTATGCCAGTACCATTTATTATAGCTCTGTAGTATAATTCGAAGGGAGGTAATGTGATTCCTCCAGTTTTGTTCTTTCTGCTCAGGATGGTTTTGGCTATTCTGGATATTTTGTGGTTCATTTAAATTTTCAGATTTTTTTTTTTATTTTTGTGAAGAATGTCATTAGTATTTTGAATGTCAGTAGTATTTTGTGAAGAACGTCAATAGTTTATAGTACATTTGGGATGGCATTGAATCTGTAGATTGCTTTAGGTATTATAGCATGGACATTTTAACAATATTGATTCTTCCTATTCATGAACATGGAATATTTTTCCGTTCTTTGGTGTTCTCTTCCATTTCTTGCATCAGTGCTTTATAGTTTTTATTGTAGAGATCTTTTACTTCTTTGGTTAAGTTTATTCCTAGCCATTTTATTTTATTTATGGCTATGTAAATGGGATTAGTTTTTTGATTTCTTTTCCAGGTTGTTTGCCATTGGCATGTATGAATACTACTGATTTTAGTATGTCGATTTTGCATCCTGGAACTTTACTGAATTTGTTTATTAGTTCTAGTAGATTTTTTGTGGCGTCTTTAGATTTTCCTAAATATAAGAAAATACCATCTGGATATTTTACAAAGATAATTTGGATATCCTTGTAAAAGGATATAAATACTAGTAAAGGATATATATCATATAGGTATATCAAAGTATATACAAAGTATACCAAAGGATATACTTACAAGGATATATATCCTGGATATAAATACAAGGATAATTTGTCTTTTTCCTTTCCAATTTAGATCCCCTTTCTTTCTTTCTCTTGCCTGATTGCTCTATCTAGGACTTCTAGTACTATGTTGAATAACAGTGGTGACAGTGGGCATCCTTATCTTGATCTAGATCTCAGAGGAAAAGCTTTCAGTTTTTCCCTATTCAGTATGATATTAGCTGAGGGTTTGTCATGTATGGCTTTTATTGTGTTGAGGTATGTTCCTTCTATACACAGTTTTTTGAGGTTTTTCTTTTTTATCATGAAAGGATGTTGAACTTTATCAAATGCTTTTTCAGGATCAACTGAAATGATCATATAGTTTTTGTCCTTCATTCTGTTGATATGATATATCACATTGATTTATTTGCATATGTGAAACTATCTCTTGCATCCCTGGTATAAATCCCACTTGGTCATGATGAATGATCCTTTTAATGTGTTGTTGAATTTGGTTTGCTAGTATCTCATTGAGAATTTTTGCATCAATGTTTATCAGAGACGTTGACTTGTAGTTTTCTTTTTTTGACGGGTCTTTGTCTGGTTTTGGTATCAGGATAATACTGGCCGCATAGAATGGGTTTGGAAGTATTCCTTCCTCCTTTATTTTTTGGAATAGTTTGACTAGAATTGATACTGGTTCTTCTTTAAATGTTTGGCAGAATTCAGCAGTGAAGCCATCAGGTCCTAGGCATTATTTTGCTGAGACTTTTTATTATGGCTTCAATCTCGTTACTTGTTATTGGTGTATCAGGTTTTGAATTTCTTCATGGTTCAATCTTGGTAGGTGTGTGTGTCCAGGAATTTATTCACTTCCTCTAGGTTTTCAAATTTATTGGCATATAGTTACTCATAGTAGTTTCTAATGATCCTTTGAATTTCTGTGGTATCAGTTGTAATGTCTCCTTTTTCATCTCTGATTTTACTTATTTGGATCTTTTTTTCTTAGTCTGCATAAAGGTTTGTTGATTTTATTTATCTTTTCAAAAAATGACTTTTTATTTCATTGATTTTTTGTATTTTTTTCATTTCATTCATTTATTTCTTTTTTTTCTTATAAGGGATAGGTTATTTTCAATGTTAGAGCATCAAGAGCAGAGTCCAAATTTGAATGCCATTGGAGTAGGAAGAAAAAGCATACTGAATGTGTAGCAGGGGCTCAACAAATAAGTTAGTTATTTGGTAAGTAACTTTAAAAAGAACAATTTTGGAAAAGGCTAAAAATTAATTCCTGAAATATATCTCTTTAAAAAATGAGCTCTATATTTTTCTATATAAAGTTTTTTTAATTGTGGGGAAATTTATATAATATACAATGAACCATTTTAAAGTACAATATGGTGATATTTAGTGTATTCATAATATTGTATAAACACCAGCTCTAATTTGAAAGCTTTTTTATCACTTCACAAAACAGCCATACATAGTCACTCCCCATTCCTCCCTCTCCCCATCCTCTGGTAACCTCCAATCTGCTTTCATTTCTATGGATTTACCTATTCTGGATCAAAAAGCAAACCATACAATATATGTCTTTTTACGTCGAGCTTCTCTTGCGTAGCATAATGTTTTCAAGGTTCAAGTTGCAGCATATGTCAGTACTTAGTTCCTTTTTATAGCTGAATAATATTCCATTGTATCTATATAACACAGTTTGTTTATCCATTCATTTGTTGATGAACATTGGGTTTCTACTTTTGTCTCCTAGAAATAATGCTGCTATAAACATTCAATTGCAAGTTTTTTTTTGTGGTCCTATGTTTTAATATCTCTTGGGTGTATACCTAGCAGTGGAATTGCTGATATAGAAATAGTTCTGTATTTAACTTTTTAAGGAACTTCTAAATGTTTCCAAGTGACTACACCTTTTTACATTTCTGCTAGCAATGTATGAAACTCTTATTTCTTCAGTTCACTAACACTTGTATTTCTTTTCCTTTCTATTTTTTCAAAAATATATAATTTCAATAGATTTTGGAATACAAGTGGTTTTTTTACATAGATGAATTGTATAGTGGTGAAGTCTGAGATTTTACTGCACCCATCACCTGAGTAGTGTACATTGCACCCAATATGTAGTTTCTTATTCTTCACCCCACTCCCACCCTCCCCATTTCTGAGTCTCAAGTTCATTATACCACTCAGTATGCCTTTGCATACCTATAGCTTAGCTCCCACTTATAGGTGAGAACATACCGTATTTGGTTTTCCATTCTTGAGTTACTTCACTTAGAATAATGGCCTCCAGCTCCATCCAAGTTGCTGCAAAAGAGAGCTTTCATTCTTTTTAAGGCTGAGTAGTATTCCAGGGTGTTATATATATATTGTTATATATATATATATATATATATATATAAAACTATATATATATATATAACAATATATATATATTTATATATATATATTGTTATATATATATAGTTATATATATATATATATATATATATATATACACACACACACATACATACATACATATACACATACCACATTTTCTTTATCCACTCATTGGTTGATGGGCAGTTAGGTTGGTTCTATATCTTTGCAATTGTGAATTGTACTGTGATAAACATACGTGTATAGGTATCTTTTGGATATGATGACTTCTTTTCCTTTGGGGAAATACCCAGTAGTGGGACTGCTGGATCTATTAATGGATTACTTTTAGTTCTTTAAGAAATCTCTATACTTTTTTCCATAGAGTTTGTACTAACTTACATTCCCACCAGCAGTGCATAAACATTCCCTTTTCACCACCTCCATTCCAACATCTATTGCTTTTTTTGACTTTTTAATAATGGCCATTTTGGCTGGAGTAAGGTGATATACCATTGTGGTTTTAATTTGCATTCCCCTGATGACTAGTGATGTTGAGCATTTTTTCATATGTTTGTTGGCTATTTGTGTATCTTCTTTTGAGAAACGTCTTGTCATTTGCCCATTTTTGATGGGATTACTTTTTTTTTCTTGCCACTTTTTTTTAAATAAGTGAATTATTTTTTTTTTATTATTATTATACTTTAAGTTTTAGGGTACATGTGCACAATGTGCAGGTTAGTTACATATGTATACATGTGACATGCTGGTGCACTGCGCCCACTAACTCGTCATCTAGCATTAGGTATATCTCCCAATGCTATCCCTCCCCCATCCCCACACCCCACAACAGTCCCCAGAGTGTGATGTTCCCCTTCCTGTGTCCATGTGTTCTCATTGTTCAATTCCCACCTATGAGTGAGAATATGTGGTGTTTGGTTTTTTGTTCTTGCGATAGTTTACTGAGAATGATGATTTCCAATTTCATCCATGTCCCTACAAAGGACATGAACTCATCATTTTTTATGGCTGCATAGTATTCCATGGTCCTTGTAGATTATGGATATTCCTTTCTGGATGCATAGCTTGCAAATATTTTCTCCCATTCTGTGGGTTGTCTGTTTACTCTGATAATTATTTATTTTGTTGTGCAGAAGCTTTATAGTTTAATCAGGTCTCATTTATTTATTTTTGTTTTTGTTGCATTTACTTTTGCGGTCTTAGTAATAAATTCTTTACCTAGGCTAATGTCCAGAAGAGTTTTCTCTAAGTTTTCTTCTAGAATGTTTATGGTTTCAGGTATTTTACTTAAGTCTTTGATCCATCTTGATTTGATTTTTGTATATAGTGAGAGATAGGCATCCAGTTTCATTCTCCTACATGTGGCTATCCAGTGTTCCCAGCACCATTTATTGAATAGGGTGTCTTTTCCTCAATTTATGTTTTTGTATCCTTTGTTGAATATCAGTTGGTTGTAAATACTAGGTTTTATTTCTGGGTTCTCTATTCTGTTTCGTTGGTCTAAATTATCTATTTTTATATCAGAACCATGCTGTTCGATTACTATAATCTTGTAGTATAAGTTGAACTTAGGTAATGTGATGGTCCCTATTTGATCTTTTTCCTTAGGATTGTTTTAATTATTTGGGCTCTTATTTGGTTCCATATGAATTTTAGGATTTTTTTTTTCTAATTCTGTGAAAAATAATATTGGTAGTTTGATAGGAATTGCATTGAATCTGTAGATTGCTTTGGGCAGTATGGTCATTTTCATGATATTGATTCTTCCAATTCATGAGCATGGGATGTGTTTCCATTTGTTTGTATCATATCTATGATTTCTTTCAGCAGTTTTGTAATTCTGCTTGTAGAGATCTCTCACCTACTTGGTTAAGTATATTCTTAGGTATTTTATTTTAATTTTTGCAGCTATTATAAATGAGATTGAGTTCTTGATTTGATTTTCAGTTTGGTTGTTGTTGGTGTATAGCAGTGCTACTTATTTGTATACATTGATTTTGTAATCTGAGACTTTACTGAATTTGTTCATCAAATCTACGAGTCTTTTGTAGGAGTCTTTAGGTTTTCCAGGTATATGATTATATCATTGGCAAGCAGAGATAGCTTGACTTCCTATTCCAATTTGGATGCCTTTTATTTCATTCTCTTGTCTGATTGCTCTGGCTAGGACCTTCTCATTCATTTATTTCTGCTCTGATCTTTATTATTTCTCTTCTTCTACTAATTTTAGGTTTGATTTGCTCTTGCTTTTCTAGTTCTTTAAAATGCATCATTTGTTGTTTAAGTTTTTCCTACTTTTTTGATATAGGTGCTTATTACTATAAGTTTTCCTCTTAGTACTGCTTTTGCTGTATCCCATAGGTTTTGCTGTACTGTGTTTCCATTTTCATTTGTTTCAAGATATTTTTATGCCTCTTTTAATTTCTTCATTGATCCACTGGTCATTCAGGAGCATATTCTTTAATTTCCATGTGTTTGTAGAGTTTCCAGAGTTCCTCTTGCTATTGATTTCTAGTTTTATTCCCTTGTGGTGAGAGAAGATACTTGATATGATTTCAATTTTTTTGAGTTTTTAAACACTTGTTTTGTGACCTAACATATGATCAATCCTTGAGAACTATCCATGTGCTGAGGAGAAGAATGTGTATTCTGCAGCCATAGTATGAAATGTTCTATAAATATCTATTAGGTCCATTTGGTGTATAGTGCAGGTTAAGTCTGATGCTTCTTTGTTGATTTTTTCTGTCTGAATGATCTGTCCAATGCTGAAGGTAGGGTGTTGAAGTCTCCAGCTATTATTGTATTGGAATGTATTTCTCTTTAGCTCTAATAATATTTGCTTTATGTATCTAGGTACTCCAATGTTGGGTGCATACATATTTAAAATTGTTATGTCTTCTTGCTGAATTGACCTCTTTATCATTATATAATAACCTTCTTTGTCTCTTTTTATAGTTTTTGTCTTGAGATCTATTCTGTCTGATATAAATATAGCTACTCCTGCTTTTTTGGTTTTCATTTCCATGGAATATCTTTTTCCATCCCTTTATTTTAAGTCTATCTGTGTATCTGTGTCTTATAGATGAAGTGTGTTTATTGCAGGAAACAGATCATAAAATCTTGTTTTTTAATCTATTCAGCCACTCTGTCTTTTGATCGAAGAGTTTAGTACATTTGCATTCAGTGTTATTATTGATAAGTAAAGACTTACTCCTGTCATTTTGTTATTTGTTTTCTGGTTGTTTTGTAGTCTTCTTTCTTCCTTCCTTCCTGTCTTCCTTTTTGTGAAACTAATTTTCTATGGTCATGTGTTTTTATTTCTTGCTTTTTATTTCTTGTGTATCTGTTGTAGGTTTTTGATTTGAGGCTACTATGAAGCTTGCAAATAACATCTTATAACCCATCATTTTAAACTGATGACAACTCTTGATTGTAAAAACAAGCAAACAAAAAACTAATAAAAATGCTTAACTTCATTACCCCCGCCTTTTAACTTTTTGTTGTTTCTATTTATGTCTTAGTATACTATGTCTTAAAAAGTTGTTGTAGTTATTATTTTTGATTGGTTCATCTTTTTGCCTTTCTACTTAAGATATGAGTACTTTACACACCATGATTACAGTGTTATAATATCTTATAGTTTTCTGTGTATTTACTATTACCAGTGAGTTTTGTACCTTCAGATGATTTCTTATTGCTTGTTAATGTCATTTTATTTCAGATTGAAGAACTCTTTCTGGTATTTTTTTTAACATCAAATCTGATGTTAATAAAACCCCTCAGCTTTTGTTCATCTGGGAAAGTCTTTATGTCTCTTTCTTGTTTGAAGAATATTTTTGTTGGATGTACTACTTTAAAATAAAAGGGTTTTTTTCAGCTCTGTAAATTTATGATGACACTCTCTCCTAGCCTATAAACTTTCCACTGAAAAGTCTACTGCCAGGTGTACCAGAGCGCCATAGTATGGTACTTGTTTCTTTTTTCTAGCTGCTTTTAGGAACCCCTCTTTATCCTTCATCTTTGGGAGTTTGATTATTAAATGTCTTGATGTAGTCTTATTTGGGTTAAATCTGCTTGGCATCCTATAATTTTCTTGTATTTGAATATTGATATCTTTCTGCAGGTTTGGAAAGTTTTCATTATTATCTTATTGAATAAATTTTCTACCATTATCCCTCTCTCTCTACCTCCTCTTTAAGGCCAATTACTCACTCTTAGATTTGCCATTTGGGCACTATTTTATAGATCTTGTAGGTGTACTTTATTCTTTTTATTCTTTTTTTTCTTTTGTCTCTCCTGCCTCTGTATTTTCAAATAGCCTGTCTTCAAGCACACTAATTCTTTCTTCTGCCTGATCAATTTTGCTGTTGAGAGACTCTGAGGCATTCTTCAATTTGTCAGTTGAATATTTCAGCTTTAGAATCTCTGCTTGACTTTTAAAAAATTATTTCATTCTCTTATTAAGTTTATCTGATAGGATTTTCAATTCTTTATGTTATATTGAATTTTGCTTAGCTTTTTCACAACAGCTGTTTCGAATTCTCTGAAAGGTCACTTATCTCTGTCACTCTGAAATTGTTCACTGGTGCCTTATTCAGTTTATTTGGTGAGATCATATTTTCTGGGATGGTCTTGATATTTGTGGATGTTTATCAATGTCTGGGCATTGAAGAGTTAGGTATTTATTCTAATCTTCAAAGTCTGGGCTTGTTTGCACTTGTCCTTCTTGATAAAGTTTCCCAAGTATTCAAAGAGAATTGAGTATTGTGATCTAAGTCTTTGGTCACTGCAGCCATAACTGCATTAGGAGGCATGCTAAGTCCAGTAATGCTGTGACTCTTACAGACTGGTAGAAATACTGCCTTGGTGGCCTTCAGTAAGATCTGAGAGAATTTTTTGGATTACCAGCCAGAGCCTCTTGTTTTCTTCCCTCACTCTCCCTCAAACAAACAAACAAATGAAGTCTCTCTTTCTCTCTTTCTGCTGAGCTGCCTGGAGCTGGGGAGGAGTGACACAAGCACTCCAAAGACCACGATCACTGCACCTGTGTTGGGTCATTACTGAAGCCAGCATAGTACTGGGTCTTGTCTAAGGCCTGTTGTGACTGTTGCCTGGCTACCTGATGTTTATTCAAGGTCCAAGAGCTCTTTAGTCACCAGGAGGTGGTGAATCCTGCCAGGCCTGAGCTCTTTCCCTTCAGGGCAGTGGGTTCCCTTCTGACCCAGGGTAGGTCTGCAAATGCCATCCAGGAGCTAGTAGGGTCTGGAATTGGGAACTTTAGAAATCTACTTGGTGCTTTATTTTACTGTGGCTGAGCTGGTATCCAAGTTGTAAGACAAAGTTCTTTTTACTCTTCCCTGTTTTTTCCTCAAGCAGGATTACCTTCCTGTGGCCACCACAGCTGAGAATGTGCTGGGTCACACCTGAAGCCAACATGGTACTGGGTCTCATGCAAGGCTTGTGGCAACTACTGCCTGGCTGCTGCTAATGTTTATTCAAGGACCAAGGGCTCTTTATTCACCAGGTGATGAATTCTGGGTCCTTCCCTTCAGGGGAGGAGGTTACTTTCTGGCCCAAGGTGGGTCTAGAAATGTTGCCTGGAAACTAGGTCCTAGAATGGAGGCTTCAGAACTCTGCCCTGTTACCCTATTAGACTGTAGCTGAGCAGGCATCCAATTTGCAAGACAAATGTCCTCTTTATTCTCCCCTCTTCTGCCCTTAAGCAAAAGGAGTTTCTGCTGGAGCTGCAAGCTGTGCTGCCTGGAGTTGGGGGAGGGGTCATGCAAGCACTCCCTTGGCTGCCCCAGCTGGTGTCTCACTGGGTTGCATGCACTGCAAGTCCACCGGCTCCAAGCCCAGCCCAGCATCAGGACTTGCCCAGGAATGGTAGACTTTATGTCTGAAACTGCCTTTTAAGTTTATTTAGGATTCCAGAGCACTTTAGCCTACAGTGGTGGGGCTAGCTGGAACTTAGTTTCCAACTGCTGGAATGGATTATTTCCTTCTGGCTAGGGCTGATCCAAATGCTCTTCCATGGGAACCTGCTGAATTCTGTCCTGTGTTGCTTTTGGCTGTGACAGGGCAGCACTGAGTTCCAATGCAAAGTTTCACAATTACTTCACTCTTCCTCCTCCAAACACACGGACTCTCTCAGCACCACAAGGTACTGCTGGAGAATGGCGGATGAGTGGTGTAGACAACTCAAGACCATCTTTTCTACGCTCTTCAGTGCCTCTTTCCTTGGTAGGATGTTAAAACTAAGTACTGTGATCACTCACCTGATTTTTGGTTCTTATGAAGGTGTTTTCTTGTGTGGATAGTTGTTCAATTTTGGTGTTCCTGCAGTAGAGACAATCAATGGAGGGTTCTGTTCAACTCTCTTGGGCCACCTTCTCCAATCCTGTTCTACTTAATGTATCTTGGCAAACTTTCCATATCAGTACAGAGAAAGCTTCTTCATTCTGACTGCTGCATAGTATCCCAGTGCTTGAAGGTAGCATGATTAATTTAGCCATCCAATTCATAGGCACAGGTTATTTGGGTTGCTTTCTATTACTTGTAATTACAAACAGTGCTATTCTGTTATATCTTGAACATATATTTTTGTGCACATTATAGAAAATGTCAAAGTGATTTTCATGTAGGTTGTTCCAGTGAATGAGAGTTCTTATTTTGTCACATACTTGGCAACCCTGAGATTATCAATACGATTTAAATCTGTCTGCCAAACAGATAGGTTTGTAAAAATGTACTTTATTGTTTTAATGTGAATTTCTTTGATTATAAGTAACAATTAAGAATATTTCCAAATATTTGTGAACCATTTTTCTTTTTTTGTGAGCTGCCTTTTCTTGTCCTTTGTTCATTTTAAATCGGGTTGTTTTAGCCTCTTTTAAATTGATTTTTAAAACTTGTTATATATTAATGATATGATTTAGGTTTGTGTCCCCACTCAAATCTCATGTCGAATTGTAATCCCCAATGTTGGAGGAGGGGTCTGGTGGGAGGTGATTGGATCATAGGGGCAGATTTCCCCCTTGCTGTTCTCATGCTAGTGAATGAGTTCTCACAAGATTTGGTTGTTTAAAAGTGTAGCACCTCCCACTTTGCTCTCTTCCTCCTTCTCTGGCCATGTAAGATGTGCCTGCTTCCCCTTTGCCTTCTGCCATGATTCTAAGTCTCCTGAGGCCTCCCCAGCCATGCTTCCTGTACAGCCTGTAAACTGTGAGCCAATTAAACCTCTTTTATTTATAAATTGTCCAGTCTCAGGTAGTTCTTTATATAGCAATGTGAGAACGGACTAATACAATTAAGGAAATTCATCTTATTGTATAACTGTTAGAAATATTTCCCTCAGGGTCTCAGTCACTGCCACCAGCCCATGGACTCTGTTCTCCCACCACTCTGCCACCCCCCTCCTCTGCCGGTCACAATGGAAGAAGAAATCACCATGCTTTTCATTGACATTGGCTCCAGCATGTACAAAGCTGGCTTTGCTGGGGTGATGCTTCCCGAGCCATGTTCCCTTCCATTGTCAGGTGCCCCTGGCACCATGGTGTCATGGTGGGCATGAGCCAGAAGGATTCCTATGTGGGCGATGAGGCCCAGACCAAGCACAGCATCCTGACCCTGAAGTACCCCATCAAGCATGACATCATCACCAATGAGGTGGGACGACATGGAGAAGATCTGGCACCACACCTTCTACAACAAGCTGCATGTGGCCCCAGAAGAGTACCTTGTGCTGATGACCAAGGCCCCCCCTTGTGCTGATGACCAAGGCCAACAGAGAGATGACTCAGATCATGTTTGAGGTCTTCAACACCCTGGCCATGTACATGGCCATCCAAGCTGTGCTGTCCCTCTACACCTCTGGGCGCACCACTGGCATTGCCATGGATTCTGGAGATGGGGTCGCCCACACGGTACCCATCTATGAGGGCTACACCCTCCCCCATGCCATCCTGCATCTGGACCTGGCTGGCTGGGACCTGACTGACTACTTCATGAAGATCCTCATGGAGTGCAGCTACCGTTTCACCACCATGGCTGAGCAGGAGATTGTGTGTGACATCAAGGAGAAGCTGTGCAATATTGCCCTGGACTTCGAGCACAAGATGGCCACTGGCGCATCCTCCTCCTCTCTGGAGAAGAGCTACGAGGTGCCTGATGGCCAGGTCATCACCATCGGCAACGAGTGGTTCTGGTACCGGAGGCACTGTTTCAGCCTTCCAGGGCATGGAATCTTGTGGCATCCAAGAGACCACCTTCAACTCCATCATGAAGTGTGATGTGGACATCTGCAAAGAACTGTATGCCAAAATGGTGCTGTCCAGTGGCACCACCATGTATCTGGGAATTGCCGACAGGATGCAGAAGGAGATCACCGCCCTGGCACCCAGCTCCATGAAGATCAAGATCATCATGCCCCCAGAGTGCAAGTACTCAGTGTGGATTGGTGGCTCCATCCTGGCCTCACTGTCCACCTTCCAGCAGATGTGGATTAGCAAGCAGGAGTATGATGAGTTGGGCCCCTCCGTCGTCCACCACAAATGCTTCTAAATGGACTGTGAACAGATGTGTAGCATTTGCTGCATGGGTTAATTCAGAAGTATAAATTTGCCCTTGGCAAATGCATACACCTCATGCTACCCTCACAAAACTGGAATAGCCTTCACAAAGAAATTGTCCTTGAAGGTTGTGTCTGATATAAGCACTGGATTGTAGAACTTGTTGCTGATTTTGACCTTGTATTCAAGTTAACTGTTCCCCTTGGTATTTGTTTAATACCCTGTACATATCTTTGATTTCAACCCTTAGTACATACATGTGGTTTGGTCACTTCATGGCTGAGGTAAGAACATGCTTGTGGAAGACAAGTCTGTGGCTTGGTGAGTCTGTGTGGCCAGCAGTCTCTGATCTGTGCAAGGTATTAATGTGTCAGGGCCGAGTGTTCTGGAATTTCTCTAGAGGCTCGCATGGGCTCCTGAACCAATTGTTTCTGTCCTGCTGGTCTGTCTGTCAGGGTTGGAAAAGTCCAAGCCATAGGACCCAGTTTTCTTTCTTAGCTGATGTTTTCCTGCTAGAACACCATGGACTGTTACTTGCCTTGAGTTGGAAGTAGTTTGCATTTATACCTGTAAATATATTTATCCTTTTAATTTATGTAAGGTTTTTTTTTTGTATGCAATTCTGGATTCTTTAAAGAGATGACAATGAATTTTGGTTTTCTACTGTTATGTGAGAACATCAGTCCCCAGCAACACGTCATTGTGTAAGTAGAAATAAAAGCGCTGCTGTTAAAAAAAAAAGAGAAAAAGAAAAAAAAAGAAGTATTTCCCTCAGTTTCCTGTTGCTTTTTAGCTTTCTGTATTATACTTTACAAATAGTTTTATTTTCCCCCAAACAATGCATACAGTTATTACAAAAGTCAAAGTATATAAGGCTTATAATAAAGTGGAAGTCCTTCATCTCACTTCTACTCACTGAGTTCCTGCTTCCCAGAAACAACTGTTTTCATCTCTCTTAGCTGTTTCTCTGGCACTTACCTCCAACTTCTAAATAATATGCTTATATTACTTTTTTTATTATATCAATTTTAGACATTTTCTATTGACTTCTGTCAATGGATGTTGAAGATTTCTCTCTTTTATAATAGTTCCTCCTTCCTTTCCCTCATATATACTTATGCCTTCTATTGGCTCTCTATATGTATTATTTAATTTTGGGGTAGGTCAACATTCAGTATTTGTATTATTTTGACTATTTAAATGTTATTTGTAGTTGAGCTGAATAATTTACTGTGATTAGATTTCCATTCCTGTCAACTCTTTGTTTTTCCTGGAGTTAACAATAGCCTCAGGTTTTTGTTTGCTTGAAATTGGTAGATTGGTAGTTTCTGTAGGCCCAAAATAGTTGAATATTTTCAATTTTATGTGTTTCAACTTAATACACATCTTTGACTAGAATCAAGCACATTGAATAAGAATTTTTGTTTGTTTGTTTTTGTTTTTTTTTTTTAAGATATCATCCGGGAGCCCTTCATCCTCTTACAGTAGTCCTTCTGTTTAGGTTACATCTCAACTCAAGGAGGCTGTGCTATGCTTGGTGTCTTAGAATACAGAAGTCGACTGGAATAATTTCCTAGAAAGTAAACCTGTATTTTTTGATAGAGTTGGGCAGGCATAGTCAATTTTTTTGATGGGAGAGAGGTAAAAATCTGGAATTTTATTTTATTTAATTAATTTATTTATTTTTGAGACAGAGTCTTGCTCTGTGCTTAGGCTGGAGTACAGTGGCACAATCTCAGCTCACTGCAACCTCTGCCTCCCAGGTTCAAGCGAATTTTGTGTCTCAGCCTTCTGAGTAGCTGGGATTACAGGCATGCACCACCATGCCTGGCTAATTTTTGTATTTTTAGTAGATACGGGGTTTTGCCATGTTTGCCAGGTTGGGCTGGAACTCCTGGCTTCAAACAATCCACCTGCCTTGGCCTCCCAAAGTGCTGGGATTACAGGTGAACATTGTGCTTGGTCTTTGTTTCTTTTATAAGTATTTTATTGACTCTCCTGCTCTTAGTCTTAATCCCTGCCTTCTAGGACATTTGGTGCTTCTGACTTCTGAGCCTCTCAGGCATTCTGTGAGGAAACTGGATGGCTTCTCATTGTCGTAATCCTTTTTGACACTTGCATTTCCATTTACTTACTCTACTCAGTCAGTTACTACTCATCCAACCACTTTTCCAAGTTTTCCCATCACTTATCTGCTGTTTCTTCTTTTTCACTTTATTTCATTTTGTGGATTTATGCCATCTGTATTCTTTTGTGAATAGCTCTGGAACATTTTTCAATGGGTAAAAAAATATTAGTGAGTGTTCTGTCTAGCTCATTCATTCAGGTTCTCTCTGCCTCTGGCTGTCTTTGAGTAAGCTATTTCCCAATTCTGTAAAAAGACAAGTTAACTTGTGGAACTGAGCATAATATAAATATTTTCAATCTATAGGTATTTTATTTAAATCCTGACCACAATGCAAAGAGGTTTTCTCCAGTAGGGAATGTAAATCTCTTCAAGTCAAATCCTCATTTGAATCAATTGTAACATCTAACTGGTTCCCCCATTAATTAATGAGTTAATTAAAAATATTTGCCAAGTATTCATTTTATATTTATATGAGAGTTCTGACTGTACCTTTGGAAAAAAATATCTTTAAACAATTTTGGAGTTCCTGCTGAGATGCACAATAAGTTCTCCTGATCAGAGCCAAGTTTTCCTGTCACTTATCTGTTTCTTTTTTTTTTTTTCACTTTCTTTGCTTTTGTGGATTTAAACCATCTTTATTCTTGTGCCCACAGAAGTATACTTTATGAGCAGCTTATGTCAAGACACATTTTTTCTTGGCTCCTTAAGGTGAATCCCAAGTGGCAATAGAACTTTAACTTTGCCAGCTCTATATTCTCAGGAATTTTTTTCCTATCAGTTAATTTTGTGTTTTGTTTTTGATTCTTTTCCAGCCAGTAGGTTATACTTCATTGGTGACAGCAATTACTGGGAGTTTGGCCTTATGATCTGGCTATTTGGTGATCTGTGTAGATAGATGATAGATACCTGTTTGTTGTTGGGTAAGAGATGACAGAGAATCTGGTTTGTTAGTCTTTTTAATTTGTTTTCTGTTCGTTTGAATGTTTGTCTGTTTTGAAACAAATCAATTAGAAATTGCATGGCCACTAGGAAGGAGAATATCTCTTTGATATCTGGATTGGTAAGGGTCTTTAAATTTGCTTTTTGTTTTAAATTTCTGTGTCTCTTGTGTTACTTGACCTGTGGCTAAAATTGTAGAATTGAAGCTATGAGCTTTCTGTCTGTAATTTGGAAAGGCATTTACCTCTCAATGTGTGTATATATATTCCTATTTCTGGAGGGTGTAAGTAAATAAGATTACAAAGTCTTTTAAGTTAAAGGATATTTGTTCTGATTGGTTAATAGAATATATAAATGCCTATATAAAATCCCTAAAACATAAGCTAATTAAATTTCTAATACTTTAATGTGCTATAAAAATGTGCTACAATTGGTTCTTCCTGAAGCTAACTCAGAAACCTTTTAAGAATCTGAATTCACATAATTAAGCAAATATTTGGCAAATGACTAGTTTACCAATGTGAGTTTAATAAAAACAGCTTTGTCTTTTCTGACTTATCACTATTAAGCATAATATAAGCAAACAGCTTATTTTACCTGGGTATGTGTTTCTTATTATTTTTTAACTGATCAAATAAGCTAACATTACTTTTATGTAATGTTTAAGATTGTAAAAAATGTAAATTTATGTCTAAGTGAAGTGAATCCTTATTCTGACACACTTTTTATTTCAACAGTAATTGTGTTTTATAGTATGTCATGTTGAAGATAATTTTTAAGATCTCTAGGTAACTTAAGCCTTATATCGATATTAAATAAATTAATATGTAATCAATAGATATCTAGTTACTAAGTAGGATAGGACACTGACATATATTATTAAGGATAATTTTACTTATTTTTGTATGTTAGAGAAGCTGTAACAATGAGTCATGTTAATAAATGTGCTCACTTTTGCTACACAGGGATGCATGAGACTACAAAAAGTTGTATTATGAATTTTGTTAATCTGCTAAATGCTTTGAGATGACAGAAAGATGTTAATTATCCACTTTCTTGTCTTTTCTGTGAAATAGAAGTTAATTACTTCAGTTAAAAGTTATAATTAATATGAGTGGTTACAACCACACTGGGAACAATAGTGACAGAAAAATGCAACTGAGAATATGCTTTTGTTTTTCCATAAGCAGCAGTTCTTGGAATTTTTGTTCTTCAGATTACTTCACACTTATTGAGGACCTCAAAGAGCTTTTGTATATGTGATTACAACTATTTATATTTACTATATTAAAAATCAAAACTGGGAAATATTTAAAATATCCATTTATTCATTTATTTAAAGATGGCAATGATGAATGTATAGCATGTGATCATAAATAAGAGCTTCATACTATTATAAAATTAGTTTTAAACTTCTGGACCCCCTGATATCTGCATTAGAATAAAAGTGTCACCAGAGTATGAAAGAGCATAATAAAGGCTAAAACTTCAAAGTTAAAGCTTAGTATTTAAGCTACTAAATGTGTTAAAACTTCTACAAAATTCACTCAGTCTTGATGGGCTTGGTTCCTTGATTTACTGATTGTCTTTTCCTACAATGTGAATGGTTATTCTTTTTATGGTAACCAACCTTCCTGATTTGCCTTGAACCACAGGGTTTCCTGGATGTGAAATTTTTGGCGCTAAAACCAAAACATTCCTAGAGAAACCAGGATAGTTGGTTGCCCTATTTACTTTCTGTTAATCTGCCTAGAAAGCAAAGATTCTGTGACTCACCTGAATAGTTGTACATTCTGTATGTTAACTTTATGCTCTTATCTATGAAAAAGTAGAAAAACGAGAAGAAGAAAAAAAAAAGAGGAGGGGGAGGCTGAGGAGTGGGGGTGTGCAGGGGAGAAGAAGGAGGAAGAGGAAGAGGAAAAAATGTCCCTTATTTATGAAAGTAAGTTTTTTCTTTCATGTAGGGTTCTTTACAACCATGTTACCTTGTATATTCATTTTTAAATGTCTTATTGTCACTTTAATAGGAAACCAAATACTATTTCTCAGGCACTCATGAACCTATCTTAATCAAGTGTCCAAATCTTTGACAGCTTTTTTGATTTTTGCCTTTCTAAAATCAGACCTGAAATATAGAAGAAAATAAAATAAAACTTGCAGGACATCTTTTATACCTAAAACAGTTTTTGAGATTTCCCAGAGGATTCCTAGAAAATCAAAAAGATTTGTTCTTTTACTTTATAAAAAGAGATACTGGAAATGATTAGCTTTTGTGGGTTGCATGGAAGAGTTGTCACATCAGACGATCTGTCTTGTGTTCTCTAGATTAAATTTGCATAGGTCAGATGCTATTAATATAAATATTTTAGAAACTTTATGCCTTATGAGTTATTCATCAATGCCTTGCTTTCTGTATATGTTTCAATTTTAAGGAAAACACTGATCAAAAAGTCTTATAAAGTAGTTCTGTTGAATTTTCCTATATTTGTCTGAGTCTTAGTAGTGTTTTACCTGATGATATTGAGCAATAGTGCATTTCAATTGTTGTTTAAAATATTAATTGGCCACAGCCTTTTTTCATTTTTTAAAAAGCTTGAATCGAATAATTTTAGGCCAGTGGTTCTCAATGCACAGATATACTCACAAAGTTTTATAGAAATAGAGAAGTCTAAGCCCTACTCCAGACTTACTGAATCTCTTTTCTTGATATTCTTGGTATGCTATTTACATGCTAAATCTAAGGATTATTGTGTGTTGTAGCTCAATAATTTTTCCTCTATAAAACATATTCATCTAGTTTTATAAAGTGGATATGACATTCACTAATTTCTTAAAAAGTAGACTTAATCATTACCCTAGGAGATATTTGTTTACATTTTTTTCAAGTGAATGGCTTTATTATCTTTGTTTTGCATGCCACCAATCAAACAACCAACTTTCCTTGTTGCATTGTTCTTGCATTATTTTTATTATACATTCTCATCAGTCCTTTTACACTTGAAAATTAATAAAATAATTATAGCTCTGTCATTCATGAGTGGTTTTTGTTTTACTCTAATGCTTATTGAAGTTTCTCCTGTTAGCTACAGGCTGGGGTTGGTGTCTTCAACAAAGAAGGACAGGCTCAGAGTCTTATGGAAAAGGTTACTTCAAATACTGACCCTTCAAAGTATTGATTCTTAGGTAGAGGTATCTGACTTGGAAACACTTAAGCAACTTTCAGATCATATCAGTATAATGAGTGAGGATTTCCAGAACTCTTTTTAGTTGAGGAGCAGACGGCCTCATGAGACTACTCTCTATGTATGCATTTGCATCATCTACAGATATTGATAGTTTTTTCTTTTTATTTCCGATTTTTATACTTTTATTGCTTTTGATTGTCTAAATGTAATGGCTAAACCTTCCAAAAAAGTAGTTAATAATACTGATGACAGTGGACATTTTTGTTTTCTTCTTCTTTTTTTTTTTTTTGAGATGGAGTCTTGCTCTGTCACCCAGGCTGGAGTGCATTGGTGCTGTCTTGGCTCACTTTAAACTACACCTCCTGAGTTCAAGCAATTCTTCTGCCTCCGCCCCACAAGTAGCTGGGATTACAGGTGTGCGCCACCATGCCTGGCTAAATTTTGTATTTTTAGTAGAGACAGGGTTTCACCATATTGGCCAGGCTGGTCTCGAACTGCTGACCTCAGGTGATCCGCCTGCCTCGGCTTCCCAAAGTGCTGGGGATTACAGGTGTGAGCCACCTTGCCCAGCCTGTTTTTTTCTTGATTTTAGTGGAAATACTTTTAGTAGTGTTTTTACGATAAGACTGATTTGTTAGTTTTTAGTTTAATGTATCTTGTTAAGAAGTCAGCCATCCATATCTATTTTACTCAGCATTCATTTTTAAGTTAGTATCAATAATAGATGTTCAGCATTGTATGATTTTCTCTTTTAACATATTAATATAATAAATCACATTGAATCTTCCTTACCTTCTAGGAATTAACACCATTGTTTATGGCATATTTTAAAATGTGCTTTGTGATTATATTTGGTTATATTTATTTAGAATATTTACATGTATATTTATGAATAAGGCTAATATATCATTTTTAAATTTGAGACTATCTTGTCTGTTTGGGGTATGAATACTGTACTGGTTTGTAAAATAAATTTGGAAGCTTTTCTTTTTCCTCTCTCTGTCCTAGATTGTTTTACATAAGAGGTGGTTAGGGTTGGAAGTGAAGACTTAAAGCTGTCATTATTTGAGGTGGTATAATCATTTACCTAGGAAAAATCACAGTCAACACCCAATCCATTAGAACTGATAAGAGAATTCAGAAAGTTTGCCAGATATAAGAGCAACCTACAAAAATCAATAGTATTGCCTTATGCAACCTATAACTTACTAGAAAATATAATAAAAGAGGGAGAAATTATTCACAAGGGCAAGAAATCTACAAAGAGTCTAGGAATTAATAGAAGCAAAAACACACAATATCTCTAAGGAGAAATCTTAAAACTGCCATTAAAGGACACAGAAGATGATTGAATAAAGGGGGAGACAGTCTATGCCCTTGGATTGGATAACTTAACATTGCAAAGATTTATATTGCCCACAAATTCATCTATAAACTCAATGTATTCCCAAATGAAATTCCATGTAGATGTTTTTGGGAATATGATAAATTCACTCTAAAATTCATATGGAGGAATAAAAGTCCATGTATAGCTAAGTCTTTATAAAGAACAGTGAAGGATGGGGATTTATCTTACCAGATATTAAGATATACTACAAAGCCAAAGTAATAAATATACAATGATATTGACACAAGTTTAGATAAACAGACCAGTGGAGCAAAATACAGAGTTCAGAGACAGACCACTGTGTATGTGGGAAGTTAGTGTACAGTGAAAGTGCCACTATGATTCAATGGGAGAGGAACAGAGAGTGAGCAAACTGGTTCATTATACAGAGAGAAATAAGACCAGATATCTTGCCAACACCACATACAAAGGTGCATTCTATGTTAATTAAAGACCTAACTGTGAATGGTAAAACTACAACATTTTAAGAAGATGTAGGAGATTATTTCTGTACCTAAGAAGGAAAGACTTCTTAAACAAAACTTCAGAAACACAAACTATCACGCAAAAAATTATATTTATTACATATAAATTAAGAGTTTCTGGAAAAAAATAGAAAAATTTCTAACATTCCAAAAATAATAGTAAAGAAATTTCTAACATTCTAAAAGAAAATTAAGGATTTCTGTTCAACAAAGGATACTACTGAGAAGGCTAATTTATAACAGAATGAGAGAAAACAGTTGCAATATCCAAACCAACAAATGAATATTAATAATATCTACTACAAGCACAGAAGGTAAAACTCAAAATTCTAACAAATATGTGAAATGGTATGCAAACTTATTAGGAGTCAGGGAAATGTGAATTAGACAATAATGAAGTATAACTTTATAGTTGTTAAACCAGCCAAAGGTAGAAGGTGGATAATTCCAAGTGTGGTAGTGATACACAGGACAGAAGGATATGGGAGCTTGAGGATGTGTAGATGGTACAGCCACCTCAAACATAGTCTGGCCCTATTCAGTCAAACACATTGTCTATGCATTCCCTAGACCCTTCCACTTCTGGAGTACATATCTTGAGGCAATTCTCACATAGATCCATGAGTGGCCTGTATAGGGACATTGTAGGAACTTGTGTATCCCATACTGGCAAGGTGAAGAGGTAAAATGTGGTAAATGTACATCATGAAATATTATAAAACTATTAGAAGCAATTAATTAAATGTGTACAGAGCAACATGAATGAACCCCCCTCCCAAATGAATGAAGCAAAAAAAAATGTAGGAAACACAATGAGATATATAACACAATCTCATTTACATAAGTTAAAAATATAGTACCATGGAACAATGCACATCTTGTAAAAATATGCTAACATTAAAGTGGAGAGAATGAAAGAACAAAGACAAAAAGGAACAAAGTTATACACACACACACACACACACACACACACACACACACACACGAAACCTTGAAAGAAAAAATGCAGTAGTATCATTTGCCCCTTGAAGATTTAATTAAAAATTGCCTATGATACCATCTGGGCATGGTGCTTTTGTGGGAAAGGATATTTCCTTGATAACTTTCTTGATTTCATCTAAGGCAATTGGTCTCTTTAGATTTTCTGCCTATTCTAGGACCAGTTTTGGTGTTTCTTATTTTACTTGAAAATTTTCCATTTTTTGAGGAAATAATTGTATTTACTTTTATTTCCTCTGTATCAGTGGCTGTTTCCCCATTCTATTTTTAGTTTTATGTATTTGTGATTTCTTATTTTTTCTTAGTTTGGTTATTAGGTAGTAGTGTCTTTATTTTTAAATATCCAACTCTTAGATTTGTTTTATTTTTGTTTTCAGTGTCATTAATTTCTGCTTGTTGCTTTAGCAATTTCTTCCTCCTATTGTCCTTATGCTTATTATTATTATTATTGTTATTTTTTTTTTTGAGATGGAGTTTCGCTCTGTCCCCAGGCTGGAGTGCAGTGGCGCGATCTCGGCTCACTGCGAGCTCTGCCTCCCGGGATTCACGCCATTCTCCAGCCTCAGCCTCCTGAGTAGCTGGGACTACAAGCACCTGCCACCATGCCTGGCTAATTTTTTGTATTTTTAGTAGAGACGGGGTTTCACTGTGTTAGCTAGGATGGTCTGGATCTCCTGACCTCGTGATCCGCCTGCCTCAGCCTCCCAAAGTGCTGGGATTACAAGCATGAGCCACCGCGCCCAGCCGATTTATTCAAGTTTTCTATAGATTCTTTGTCAGATGCACAGTTTGCAAATATTTTTTCCTATTCTGTAGGTTGTGTGTTTACTCTGTTGATTGTTTTGTTTTGTTTTGCTGGGCAGAAGCTCTTTAGTTTAATTAGGTCCCAATTGTCAATTTTTGTTTTTGTTGCATTTGCTTTTGAAAATTTAGTCATAAATTCTTTGCCTGGACCAGTGCCCAGAAGTGTATTTCTATGTTTTATTCTCAGATTTTTGTAGTTTGAGGTCTTACATTTAAATCTTTAATCCATCTTGTGTTAATTTTTGTATATGATTAGAGATACGGATCCAGTTTCATTCTTCTGCATATGGTTAGGGAGTTTTCACAGAACCATTTATTGACTAGCGTATCTTTTCCCCATTGTTTATTTTTGCTGACTTTGTCAAAGATCAGTGGGTTGTAGGTGTGCAGTTTTATTTCAGGGTTCTGTATTCTGTTCCATTGGTTTATGTGTCTATTTCTGCACTAGTACCAGCTAGCATTTAGTATTATCAGTATTTTTAATTTTTGCCATTCTAACAAGTATTTAGTGGTATGTCACTGTGGTTTTAATGTGGATTTTCTTAATGTCTAATTGTGTTAAACATCTTTTAATGTGTTTGTTTACTATCTCTGTTTCTTCACTGGTGGAATGTCCACTCAAGTCTTTTGCCCATTTTCTTATTGGATTTTTTTTTTATTTAACTGGTGAGTTTAGAGAGTTCCATATTGTTTTAGATATGAGTCCTTTGTCAAATATGTAATTTGCAAATATTTTTCCCATGTAGTTTTAATATTATCACCAATTTCTAACCATTTTGCTATTTAAATTTTGATTTACAGTTTAATTCAAAGGTTTTTAAGGGAGTAAGTAGAATACAAAAAGAATAAAATTTATTAATGATATAATGTTAGCCAGCAGTGGTTATCTAGGGCAAAGGGAAAGTCATCTTGCTTAGGTAGGGCTTTTAGCTGAGTCTTGAAGAATAGGCAGGGCTTGGGGGGAAAAATCTGTGGTTGATTACAGCAACCTTGAGGGTTTATTAATCAGGGGCTATAAAATAATGAGAGTCCCAAAGTGCAAAAGAGCAGAGATTTTCTGAAGACATATCCAAGCATTATCTTCATACCCCAGATTAGGTGATGCAATGCCCACCTCATCTGAAGAACAGCACCCTCTCAGAGGTGGCCTCTTTTGTGGGCCAAAGGTCCCCACCTATGGCTACGTGGCAGGAAGATTTCTTAACACGGTCTGGAGGTCTTCATAGAAGGGCCATAAATGTAAGCATGATCAAGGTTGGGCTGATAAACACACTGTGTGAAGTTCAGGCTATTAATTAACTTATTGCACAGTTTTGTACCCAGTAACTTAGAGAACTCAGGGAGCAGCAGAGAGGGAGAGGTGAACAGCATGAGACTAGGTCCTGCCTGGCTAGAGAAAGTCTAATGGAGGCCCTGTGGTCATCAAATGGGTCAGTAAGAAAGAGTTCCTTGATATGCAACCTGACTTGGCCCCTGTCTGCCAAGATTTCAGCAGAACCAAACCAACTGAAATTGAGTAAACTTAGTTAGAAAAGAGTGACTCAAGGAGGGCTTCTTGGAGGAAGCACTTTTTGAGCAAGTTCGTAAGAATTGCTAGAAAGGGAAGGATCAGGCATTTTTCAGGAGAAAATGGGAAGGAAAATAATGTCGTGCAGGAGCCATCACATTCACTTCAGGAGACAAGCCTAGCTCAAACAGAAAGAGAGTGTTCAGATTTTCAGAAAAGGGACTTCAGGGGGCTTTAAACACCAAAATGAGCAGGGCAGATGCTACATGACAGGAATTAAGGTGCTACTGTGGGCACTGGAAGTTCCCTGAAACTAACTCCCCTGCCACTTCTCACAGTGTCTGAGACATCACAGAGGGTCTAAGAGCACTTTTTTGGATTAAGGCCTTGCTCCCTTAAGGTTCTTCTTTTAGAAGCAGAAAGATACTTCTTCCTTCTGGTAATGCCCCCACACAATGGACCAGCCTACAGCGCTACACCTGGGGTTGTGTATCTGTGCTTGCTAGAAATATCCCCTTAGCTTTGGAAGTATTTAACCCCCTTGCAGGGAGTCTTTCTAGATTCCTGCATCTCACACTGCCCTCTAGATGCCAGCAAGCTCCTGGAGCACTGGCCCTCTGGAGTACTCATTCAGTCCCTTGTCCTGATGTGACATTTCCTGAGTGAATGGCCAGTCATGGTTTCAGCACTGAGCCAGTGGTCAACACACATTTACCGAGGAATGAAAGACTTCAGGGAGATATCTCAATCCCCCAAGGCCATTTTGAAATTGTTATCTGATATTGCTCTCATTTATTTATTTTATTTCATTGGGGTTATTGCTCTTGTTGTAGTTGTTCTTGTTCTTGTTTGTCTTGGTGTTTTTGTTTCGTGGCTTATAATAACAGAAATTTATTCTCTCAGTTCAGGAGGCCAGAAGTAAGAAAAAAATCGAGATGTTGGCAGGGTTGGTTCCTTCTGCAGGTTCCAAGGGGAGAATCTGTTCAATGGTCCCTGCTATCTTCTAGTGGTTGCCAGCAACCCTTGGCATTCTTTGTCTTGTGAACACATCACTCCAGTTTTTGCCTCCATATTCACATTGCCTCCTTCTGTGTGTGTGTCTCTATCTCTTATAAAGAGAGACTCATTGGATTTAGGGACCACCATAATCCGGTATGATCTCATCTCAATCTCTACCTTAATCACATTTCCATTGAGTTAATTAAGTAATTAAGTTGATAGGAGAACTGGCATCTTATTCTATCCTTTAGTTTTGGACTCTTTAGGATTCAGAACAAGTTGAGGTTTGTTAGCTCTTTCCCCCACCTGCTACAGGGTCCCCTTTTTGTAGCTTCTTGGCACCCAGACTGTGCAATGTGTCCTCATGAGAAGGGAAGAGTCTTTGGCATCACAGAGACCCAGGTGCCAATCCCAGTGCTGCCTCTTAGTTCTGCCTACAAAACCCTGCAGAGTGGAAAGAAAGTCTTGCTGTGAACTGGTGTGCCAGACACATGGGGTTCACAAGACAGGGCACAGCAGTCCTTCCTGGTTCCAGAAACCAACCTGATTGTGTATCTGAGAGTTCCTTTATTAGTTATTGATTGCTTTGTAACAGATTACCCCAAGACTTAGTAGTTTGAAATAACACAAATATTTATTATTTTACAGTCCTCTGGGTCCAGAATTTAAGAGTAGCTTAGCTGGGCTGGAGAATCTTCTCTTAATGGTGGCTCACAGGCTGTGGGTGAGAAGTCTCAGTTGCTCTCCACATGTGCCTTTCCACAGGGCTGCTCGAATGTCCTCATGACCTAGTGGCTGGCTTCCTTCAGATCAAGTGGTCCAGAAGAGAGAGCAAGGAGAAAGCTATACCTCTTGTGACCTAGAGTTGGAAGTCACACACCATTACTTCTGCTGCCAGTCCACATTCAAGTGAAAGGAAATTAGTCTGCACCTTTTGAAGAAGCTGTGTCAAAGAATTTGCCAAAATATTTTAAAACCACCTCAGCTCTCTTCTCCTCTAGGTCTCTATCCTCCTTCTCCACTGCTTCATCTACTTAAGTCTTATCACCACTCTGCTCCCCTCACCTCCTATCTCCCACCTCCAGGGTCTAGGATCTGTTAGAATGGTGTGTTTGTGGTAGTGGGGTGGTGGGTGCCAGATTAGATCTTAGAAGTCCTAGGCAGCATTGGAGGGGGCTTTAGTTCCTTCTAGTTTTAAAACTTAAATGTACTTAAGTTTTAAAACTTAAGGGTGTGGTGACTCGCGCCTGTAATCCCAGCACTTTAGGAGGCCAAGGCGGGTGGATCACCTGAGGTCAGGAGTTTGAGACCAGCCTGATCAACATGGTGAAACCCCATCTCTACCAAAAATGCAAAAATACAAAAATACAAAAAAAAAAAATTAGCTGAGTGTAGTGGTGCAGGCCTGTAATCTCAGCTACTTGGGAGGCTGAGGCAGGAGAATTGCTTGAATCAGAGAGACAGGTTGCAGTGAGCTGAGATCATGCCATTGCACTCCAGCCTGGGCGACAAGAATGAAACTCTGTATCAAAAACAAACAAACAAACAAACAAACTTAAATGTCTACAGGAAAATTCTCTGGTTAACACTGAGACTACCTCCTGTTATATAACCTCAATGCTCACAAAAATCTCTTATTCTGTAGTTCAAATAAAAGATGAATGAGGAAAGAAAAAAATGGGTTAGGAAGAAAGAATATCTTATTTTGACATATATAAGTGCATACTTTTAACCAATTTTATTAACTTCTCAGAGATTCAATTTATTTATCAAGAAGATGGGGATAATAATATTTATCTCACAAGACTGTTATGTTAGGACTATTTTAGTTGCAAATAATAGAACCCCAACTCATACTAGTTAAGGGTTGGGTTTGCTTATTGACTTATAAGTAAAAAGTACAGGGTTAGGACTGACTTCAGGAAGGACTGACTCCTGCTGCTTAAATAAGGAAGCACCTCTTCATCTCTTGTGCCCTGCTGTCCTCCATGTTGGCCTCAGGAACAGAGGTGCAACAAGCAAATTGGCAGTGGTCCACTACACTCATGGTGAAGATCGAAGGATATAAAGGAAATAAACTGCCCTGCACTTTTGATGGGAATTTTTTTCTGGATTCTTCTGCTTTCCCATCTCTCTCTCTCTCTATATGTGATCATTCAATAAGTCCTTTGGATTCTCCCTTAGCATTGCTGCTTGCAAACACCCCTCCTCTCCATTCCACTGCCTTGATGTGGCCTCCTACCGCCACTCCTGGACTACTGGGGCACCTGAACCTGAATCTGGCTCCAGATGATCCATTATTCCCACACACCTCTGAACAGCCCCTTGGCTACAGAGGTCCATGTGGATGGTTTATGCCAGAGAAAGCTGGCTGCAGATGGGTGGTAGAGCAAGCTAGCTGAGATGGAGTGGAGATGTATTGTAGTCATGGTGCTGGCACCACATTTCCCAGTGCAGCCCTAGAAACCAGAGCACCTGTGAGCTGAGGGAGACCAGATGGCCAGAGTGCACTGCAGCTTCTCAGCTTCCACTCACAAGCAGCTTCACCCTCCATCTTCCCTTCCAGGAGAAGTGATTGCTTTCCGTACTTTGATCTACAGTGGAAAGTGCCTGCCTAACCCTGCCAACCAGCTCTGCAAGGGGATTCACAGTGAAGCCAGATGGAGTTTGATTTTGTTCAGGCTTATTTATTTTAAATTTTATTTATTTTAATTTGCTTTTAAAAAAGTTTTTAATCATGAAATATTTCAAACATCTATAGAAGCAGCCAAGATAGTTGAATGAATTCCATATACCCATCACCCAGCTTCAAAATTTATCAACTCATGGCAAGTCTCATTTCAACTCCATTCCTGCTATTATTTTCCTCCTCAGTTATCTTGAAACAAATCCCAGACATTATGCCCTTTTACCCATAAATATTTTAGCATATATTTCTAAAAGAGAACTTTTAACATACATGACCTTAATGCCATTGTCACACCTGAAAATTTAGCAGTACAGTATTTTTGGTAATATCAAATATCCAATCAGTTTACAAATTTCCCTAATTACCTTTTTAAAGTTTATTTTGTTTTTACAGTTTATTTGTTCAAATTAGCCTTCAAATACAGGCCATGTAGTACAATGGATTGATATGTCTCCTGAATCTCCTTTAGTCTGTGGGTTCCTTCTTGGTTTCTTTTTTGTTCCTTGCAATTTATTTCAAGAAGAAACCAGTCTTCTGTAGAATTTCTCTCAGTCTACATTTTACTGATTGCATCCCTATAATGTCCTTTAATTTGTCCCTCTATCTCTGCATTTTCTGTAAATTTGTAGCTAGATCCAAAGTCTTGATCAGGTTCAGAGTTGACCTCTTGGCAGACCACGTCATAGGTGCTGTGTTGTAGGAGGCACAAGCACCTCCTGGTTGCCTCTCTATTTTATGATATCACTGCCTTGATTCATTCATTCATTAGGAGGTATTAGCTTTTTCTTAATTATAAAGAGAATATATTCTCATTTTAAAATGACTTAAATCATATAACATGATATAAAATGAAAAGTAAAAGTCAAGTGTCATGCTTTTCCTCCTGGCCCTCTAAGTTCCACACTTCAGAGCTAAACATGTTTACAAGTGATCATGTATTTGAAGTAATTTAAAAAATTGAGTTGGGCTTGGTGGCTCACTCCTGTAATCCCAGCACTTTGGGAGGCTGAGGCGGGCAGATCACGAGACCAGGAGTTCAAGACCAGCCTGGCCAATATGGTGAAACCCTGTCTCTACTAAAAATATAAAAAATAGCCAGGTGTGGTGGCAGGCGCCTCTAGTCCCAGCTACTTCAGAGCCTGAGGCACCGGAATTGCTTGAACCTGGGAGGCAGAGGTTGCAGTGAGCCGAGATTGTACCATTGCACTCCAGCCTGGGTGACAGAGTGAGACTCCATCTCAAAAAAAAAAAAATTGATATAATTACTTCAAGAAGGTGAGAGGGTATGTATGGCAGAGATATGCTAAGTGTAGCCTCCCCACCCCACAAACTCACATGATTATGTATAAAACAAAGCTATTATATGTATAAGACTCATATAATAAAAGTATAAGTGTATATTATATATAATATTATATTTATATAAACATTATAGAAAAAAATAGCAATACAAGACAACCATCTTGGGAAATCTCAAGAGGTACGTGATAATTACCAAATTAGTGGCTATTTTAGAAAATATTCTTATAGTTTAAAGTAACAAAATTCTACTGGCTTAAGCCTGAAAGAGAAATGTGATATGAAGCTACAGGAATAAGTCTTAAGGTCTTCCAGTGGGAAGTGTCACTTGGCCTGACAAAGGATTATTGTGTCCACAATCTAAAAAGCCACCAGGAACATGGAAACTTCCATTGCAGGCTTCTCTCTGCATATTTGCTTTATTTTTCTCTCTGCAGACCAGCTTTTTCTGCCTTGGTATACACAGGTCAACAGAACACTCCTTTCCCCTCCTGCCCCACCAAAACTCAGGCTCTGGATCCTCAATTTGAGCAACAACAGAGACTCACCAGCATCTCTGAATTCTCATTCCAGATTTCCAGGGGAGAGCTGTTTGGTGTCATGAGTCAGGTGTCTATCTAACCTGGTCAATCAGCTATGGCTGTGGGCCAGGCTGGAAAGAACAGACATGGCAGCAGCTTCCTCTCCTGCCTGGCACCATGGGTACGAGAGGCTGGTCTCAGGGAAGAGAAGAGGGCTATGAGATAGGCAGATACCCATCAAAAGGTGTGGCAGTCAGTGTGCTTTATTGCAAACAGAACGCACTATAGCTCAAGTGGAAAAGGAATTACAGAATTTTAGGTATCCCACAGATCTCTAGGATCAAGCCTAAAGGCTATGCATCAGGGAGCAATACACAATCTACACTGCAGTACTACTCAGTGTCCACCGCCAATGTAGATAATGCCCATGACACTGGACAGCAGGAACCAGAAGCTCTACCACTGGTGCTGTCCCAAAGCCATTCCTCTGCTGCCACCATTTCCAAAGGATCAAATCCATATAATCTACCTTCCTCACATGGCTCTCTTTCCAAATCTCTTCACTGGGGTGCATCTAATTAGGGGAACCTCAGCCTTATGCCTGAAGCATGGTTGCAAGATCAGCTGAAAAAGTGAGTTCATCCTGCTGTTAATACCTAGGAGAGATGGAATTCCTAGCTGGGTGGAAGGAAATTCCCCAAACACGGGAGAGTTGTTCAAAAGATGGTGGGCAGCCACAAACAAGACCAATGACTACTAGATGTGTCTAAGATGGTAAGACTGAGTTAAATGTTAGGAGCTCAAACAGGGCCTCCAATGGGGAATGCAGTGTTGAAGGCAGGGACTATTTGGCCCAGATATCACATTCATGAAAGACTTTGCAACTTTTGATATTATCTCCAAATGAAATTACACACAAAGGTTGAAGAGAGACAGCGATGGGACAGAATGAAGTTGTTCTCCGCCTGTAAACTGTGCATGATGATTGGACCAGACTGCCCCAGTTACACTATGAATTCATAAATTTTATAAGTCCCATGCTTATTTTGGAACTAGCACCACCTAATTATGTTACATTGTATTTAATTTGTTATATGTAATCACTTAAAATAATCTTCAACTTTTGTAATTCTGATCTAGTATTTCTTTATTGGGGGCACCTGTTTCAGAAAGTAGAAGTGGCCAGGATCACCTTTGAGAGGCTCAGCGCTCAAACAAGGGGGATCTTGTGGGCTGTTGGTTGTCTCTGAAGGACTGGTAGGGTTTATTTTGATAATTGGAGGGGGGATAGGAAATGTCATTATTAAGTGTCCCTCTCAGAGTGAATCAAATATATATGTGTATATATATATACATGCAGTGTTGGCATGGATAGGGAACAGCTAGGAGAGTTACACAGGTGCAATCGCAGTGTTGAGCTGTTTAATTTGCTCCTGAAAGGAGCAATAGTCGTGCCCTGGTTAATTGAGACAGAAGTTATACATTAGGGCTTCCAGAGAGGCCCTTGGGGTTCAATTTGCCATGTTTTTCTTGTGGAAAGATTTTGGAGGTTGCCCAGGGAATATTTTAGGAGTCTTGGGAGTTTAGGGTCCGAAGTCTGTCCTCCCACCAGCTCTGTGATTTCGGGTCATGGTGTCTGTGCATCAGAAGCTCCAATGTCCTGACTAGTATCTTGTGTGTGTGTGTAGAGAGAGGGGTGGCAGACAACCTGCAGCTGGGTTTGCATCCTCAGGAGGTAAAAGCCCTGTCCTAGCCCCTCTCCTTGCTACTGAGACAGTGTCTGGGGGCTTCCCGCCCTAGCCAGGCTACCCACTAATCTCCCTCCTCAATTTCTATTAAATGCTTCCCTGGCTCTCCCTGGGTTTCAGTTTCTATCCATGCCCTGTGAGCAAAAAGTCATGTGGATTCCACTCCTGAGGTGCCTCTCAGGCCCATTTAAAAAAAAAAAGAAGAAAAAACCCCACATGTAAATCGGCTTGTTATATACCAGACACTGTTCAAATCTCTTTGCAAATAAAATATATCTACTCTAAGTTGCTTACATGTATTAGATTCATTTAATCCTTACAAAACATCTATGAGTAGTAGTTAGCCTCAATTTACAGATGAATAAACTGAGGCACAGAGAGTTTGCATGACTTGCCTTAACTTCACAGAACTAGGAAGTGGCAGAGCTGGGATTTTAACCCCGGCCCTGTGCCTCCAGAGCTTGGACACTCAACCACTTCACGCTCTGCCTTTCCTCACTGAGGGCCTGTTACTGCGCTGGGCTCAGCTTCAGTGCATCCTGCCAGAGTTACTTCACATGACAGTCCTACTTTTTAAAAACTTGCAGTTATGTAATGTATATATATTAATAAAGATTCAGAGGCCAGGCGCGGTGGCTCCTGCCTGTAATCCCAGCACTTTGGGAGGCCGAGGCGGGCAGATTACTTGAGGCCAGGAATTTGAGACCAGCCTGGCCAACACGGCAAAACCTCGTCTCTACAAAAAATACAAAAATTAGCTGGGCATGGTGGCTGATGCCTGTAATCCCAGCTACTCGGGAGGCTGAGAAAGGAAAATTGCTTGAACCCGGGAGGCGGAGGTTGCAGTGAGCCAAGATCACCACTGCACTCCAGCCTGGGCGACACATGAGACTCTGTCTCAAAATAAATAAATAAAAAATAAAGACTCAGAGTATGTTTTGAAATATTGTAACTTTCAGTTCAAAAATGTCAAAAATCCTGTACTTTTCAAGGTGGCAGGCCCAGGGAATTGTCAGATGTGGTTAACTCTACTTCCACAGCCTAGAGGTACCAGGTAAGCTGATAAATACACAACCTCCATCCTTTGTCAGTCCTCGTGGGCATCACAGCCATGCTTTGGAAATTCACAGAGTTATTTCTTTATTAATGCCCAGTTATGTTATCAGGTGCTGTTAGAATTGAAAATCTTTTTTTATATCCTATAACAATGGCATCCAAGTGCTGGTTAAGTGTGGAACTTGCAGTAGTGTTCCAAAAATGGAGCGAACATCAGTAGCTTTGGACCAGAGGTGAGAGGTGCTAACATGCCACCAAGAAGCCCGAACGACCCCCGTGATGCATGCTGCCACCAACTTAGGAGCAAGCCCTCTGCAAATTTTGGATAGTGCTGAGAAAATGAAAAGCAGCATTAAAGCCAAAAGTCTGTTTCTGTGGTTATAGATTTATGTAAAATAGGAAACATTCCTCTTACTTTACATGTATTTCTTTGGGAAGATTAATCTCATATGAAGTGAATTTCGAATTAAATGTGACTGTCCTGTGCTAACTGGTATTCCTCACTCTTTTTTTTTTCTTACTACCAAGAGAATGGCTGCCTGATTAATTCTGCTCAGAGGATGATCATGTCACTTTTCTGCTCAAAAACCTCCTGTGGCTCCCCACTGCCCACTAAGATCAGTCCCAGTATTCAAGCTGTTCAATCAGCGTGGGACTGAATCTTCCCATGGGACCAGAGGTTCCTGAGGGTAGGGCCACAACTCCTACATTCCGTGCACACTTAGGCTAACAAGGCCGTAATTTTGAGTCCTCCATCAGAACTTAACTGTTGGGTGAGGCTTTTATGCATTGGGGGTGGAGGTGTGATGGAAGTTGCAATACCTGGGATGGGATGGGAACTTGCGGTGTTTCAAACATTTCTGCATGCCCAAGAAGATTAGTGCCTGGCACATAATAGATCTTCATTAAATATGTGTGTGATGAATGAATGGTCTTTATAAGACTCTTTACCTTTGAGTTTTCCAACCTCAGGAACAGAGACCAGGGCCACAGCGGTGCAGGGGTCTACAGAATATTATGCAATTTTGAGTTTTCATTTCCTTGTCTAGGCTAGGGAAATGATTCCTATAATAAAAAAAAGCATTTCTTACATTTGTGTGAGGCAGGGTTTCTCAATGTCACGACTATTGACATTTTGGGTGGGATAATTATTTGTTGTGAGAGCTTTCCTGTGCATAATAGGATGTTTAGCAGTATCCGTAGCCACTAACCAATAGATGCTAATAGTGCCCTGCACCCAAGTTGTGAAATAAAGTGTGTCTCCAGATATCGCTAAATATCTCTAACCCTGGGGGTGGAATGAGCACTGACTGACCCCCCAGTTGAGAACCCTGAAACTGGTCTAGGGCACCAGTTTTCAACTCCAGTTGCATATTAAAATCACCTGGGGGAACCTTAAAAACATAAGTAGTGGCCGGTGCAAAGGCTTACACCTGTAATCCCAGCATTCTGGAAGGCTGAGGCAGGATTGCTTGAGCCCAGGAGTTCAAGACCAGACTGGGCAACATGGTGAAACCCCATCTATACAAAAAATACAAAAATTAGCCAGGCATCATGGCACACACCTGTAGTCCCAGCTACTTGGGAGGCTGAGGCAGGAGGATTGCTTGAGCCTAGGAGATGGAAGTTGCAGCAAGTCAAGATCGTGCCACTGCATTCCAGCCTGGGCAGCGGAATAAGACCCGCTCAAAAAATAAGCAAACAACATAGTATGCCTGGTATTTTGAAACATTTAGATGTAATTGGTTGTAGGGAGTGGCCTGTGCATATGGAATTTTGAAAACTCTCCAAGTGGTTCTAACATTTAGCCAGGTCTGAGAACTACTGGTCCAGTGCTTTGCAGGTTACAAGTTTCACAACCCACCTGTGCAGTAGGTGAGGCAGGTTCGTTTTGTGGTTTTCTGACTGGAGAAGTGAAGTCCAGAGGAGTGTGGTGTTGCCCTGTGAGTGCTGAAGTTGGGATTTTTACTCAGCTGTTCTGACTCCTAACTCTTGTCAAGGAGTAGGGCATAGTCTGGGCATATTGTCAGATTCACAAAGGGAGTCCTCCATGTGTCTTCTCTTTTCCAATTGTTTTCCCTATCCACGATCTCTCACATCCTCACTCCTGTTTGTGTTTCTTTATGCAAAGGTGCAGCTAGCAATCTCCTACACTTTAGTGTGAACGTGAGGCTGCTCTGTCTCTTTTAGGGGGAATTGCAAGTTCTGCTTCATCTACAACAGTGAAAAGAAAGGGCTGATACCAGCCCGTAGATGGGGTGGATGGTCTGAGGGTGGTGACATCTCATGACATCTCTGAAATTAAATCCAATAGGTAATTACTTATGTTTAAGTAATTTTATGCTTTGGGCTTAAAATTCTGTCCAGTTCCATTTCATTCACAAATAATGATGAAGCATCTCCTTGGTGTACTGTGCAGTTATATAGACATTCTCTGTTGGTTGGATCTCTAGGGTGGAAGGTATCTTCTCCTGCTTTTGTGGCACTCACTATACTTTGGCCACAATTAGATACATAACATGGTAGCTACTTGATACACAAATGATTGAATGTCAGGCCACTCTCCCACCTCCCATTCTAGACCCAAGCCTGTGCCTCTGGAGAGAAACACGGTGCAATTTCAGGACATGTGGCTGAATTTATCCACTCTGCCCATGGGTGGCACTAGGAGAAGCTGGCCTCAGAAGCCCTGGAGAAAAAGTGAGCACAGTGGGCAGTGAAACTTCCCCCAAACAGACGTTTTGAACACAGATCACTTTATTGGCATGGCTTTGTTTTAAGAAAAGGAAAAGTGACAAAGCCAAGAGACAGACTCTGCTAACAGATGCCTGGGGGTGGCTGGACATTTTTGCCTCATGCTGTGCAAAGAGGGGGATCCTGGCCCACACATCCTGCTGATTCCTTGGGACAAGGTTGTCTGCCTGGGCCTCACTGCACCTTCTTGAATACTTGCTTGCAGACCACACCTTCCACTCTCATCTCCTGAAACAAAAGCAGATGTTGGTCATTGGCCAGAGCAGAGTCACACTTACGGCAAGAACTCTAAAAATACTCATTGGCTGTTATTTTTCCCCAAGAGTTGGTTTAAGTAACCAATTGTTTGGAAAGACAGTTAAACTGTATAGTGGAGTGCTCTGCAGCACCCTACAGACAGAGCTGGCTGAGAGGAATGGATGTGGCTCAGAGCTGACCAACAGGACCCCTTGACGCTTCCCCTCCCGAATCACCTCCCGCTGACCCAGATTGAGATCATATCTTAGAGAAGCTTAGAGAATCCTTCTTGGCTTTGGCCTATACAATTTGGCATGGTGAATATATACATCATTTGGGAGCAAATGTTTGTTCTGTCACTTTCTAGTTGTGCAATTTGGACATGTAATCTAATCTTTCAGAGCCCCCAGGTCCTCATCTCTAAAATAAGAGCCATATTCCTATTCTGAGAGAATAGAGTTATAGAATGCAAAAGGGCTTAGCTCATTGCTGATGCTTAATGGATATAACTCCTCACCTCTTCCCTCTGATTAGATGATTGGGTCAGCCTAGACCTTGAAAATACATTGCTTGGTTTTTAAAGTCACCCAGGCATCTTTTCCAGGCCCTTGGAAGAGAAGCTTTAGAACAGAACCAAGGCCCATCCATGGTGCCTTTTTCCAAGGTCCATCTGGACCTCAACAATGACCAGGGCCTCTGGGGACCCGGCCTGACCCAGCCCAGGAACCTACCAGGTGCAGCTCATCACCCTCGATCCACTGGGTCCAGCCACGCCCCTCCTTCTCACCCTTCTGCACACACTGGAGCTTGTCTCCGTCCCAGCTCACTGTTGTCTGCCAAGAAAGAGACACATTTGTCAATCCTGAGCAAGCGGGGAGCTCCTGGAGGCTGGGGGAGGGGGCAGCTCCCAAACTTGATAATCTGGGATGTGCTCACGTCAATTTCATTGTAGAAAATCTGCAGCCTAATACTCCCTGTCCATCACATGCTTTTATTAAAGTGTGTAAATCAGTTTTAAAATTTATGAAAACCTTCATAAATTTTATTTAAAAGGGTAATTAGGAGGGAAAAAGTCATTGGAGTGGGGCTGTCATTGCAAGCACTGAGAATGGGGCTAAGGTGGAGAGGAGGGCCTGAGGGCTGAGCACAGCTGGGTGTGAGGGGTGAAGGATGTTTTCCAGAATCTTATGGTGAGGGGCAGACTTCTCAGAGTGTACCCTGACCATCCCCAGACACTTCATTCATCCATTCATTGTTTCAACCTATGCTAAGTCCTGGGATACCAAAAAGACCCCACCCCTGCCCTCAAAGCGCTCTTCATCTCACAGGGAGAATGACCTTAGATATAAATAACCCAGTGAAGGTACAAATGGCAGCTGTTAGCTGCCTACCTGCTCTGCCAGGCACTCTCTGTGCTGTCTCTGAAGCCTCATGCCTATCCACGTGAGCAGGGATTAGCATCTCCTTTTCACAGATCAGCTTAAGGGACTTGCCAAGTTCACCCATGTTGTTCAGTAGAAGAACCAGGTCTGAACACAGATCTGTGGGGCTCTGAAGGTCCCCACCCCAATGGACTAAATTGCTTCTTGAAGCGTTCATGGTCACCAGGGTTATAGGCCAGAGGCTGTGGGAGCCCAGGTGAGAGTCCAGGGAGTGGGATTCACTAGGGCTGGGCTCTAAGGAGAGAAGAATGGAGCTGAAGGAGAGGAAAGGAGGCGCTGTGGAGAAGAGCTCCCAGTAGCCCACCACCCGGTGAAGGCCTGAGGTGGGACAGCGGGAAGTACACTTAGGAGCTCATCAGGAGGGCACCAGGGAACTGAGGAGGAAGGCGAGGAAAATCCCACAGCCCAGCCTGGGCTTGGCAGAGCACAGATGAGCACTGTGACACCCTCTACACCCCACATTTGAGCCCCCACATCTTCCCTGAGCACTGTGAGCCCTGCCATGTGCTGGGCATGCTGAAGGGAAGACAGGCAGGAGGAGGAGGCCCAGCCTGTGTCCTGGGGAGATTTCAGTCTTAGTGGAGCAGAAAAGGCCCACCTAGCAACACGGGGCTGAAAAAAGTGTTGGACTTCAGAGGCAAGGTGGTCCTGTCATCCCAGCATAGCCATGAGTGTGCCCTAGACTGGGACACATGTCGCAGATGTGGGCACACAGAAAGTGCAGTGGGCATCACTCATATTTGGGGCTGCCCACCTTCTTTTGAATAGCCGTCCCATATGGGGCAGTTCTGTGTTATGAGCCTGGCCTCCCCACAGTAGTGCTCAGCACTCTGTTTGCCCCTTGCTCACTGTGTGGCTCTCAGCAAATCCTTCCCTTTTCAGGGCCCCTGTGCTCTCATCTGTCACATGGGGACATTAACTCAGGCCTTGAATGTAGAGAGCTAAGGTTCTAGGATCCTTGTGTTCCTTGCCATGCTCAGCTGAGTCAGGACAGTCAGCAACAGCCGAATAAAGGATTTGGGAGAGGAGACTTATGGGAGATGGGTGTGGCGTTAGTGGGGCCACTCCCTGCAGGAGGACCTCCCCACCCCAGGCCTCCCACCTGGGCCTGCTGATCACTACTGCCCCCTGCTGTTGGGGTGAAGCCTGCAATGCGACACATGCACGAGGGAGGCAGGTGGAGCCACATGTGCTCCCCCAGCTTTGCATAGGAGTAAGTCTGCTCTCTGCTCCAGAGAGAAATGGGGCATAAAAGGACTTGGGGGGCAGATCCTCTCTCTGATCCAGAAATTCACTCAGGGCACAGTCTAGTCCCAGGCTAGAGAGAACGCAAAACATAGTGTGGTTAATGTGTGGTGAGACATGTCATGGGTAAAGACTACTCATGACCTCATGCCATAAATAAGACAGGACACCCATTCACTTATCCGTGCTCCTTCCATCCCAGGCCTGTAGAGGGAAGTGGGGACCCAGAAATCAGTCCTCAGCTTCAAGAAGCTCATAAGAACACTTGGTTTCCTCATCAACTGATCTTCTCTTCATGTGTTTATCCAGAAGGCTACTGTGCATATGAAGGGTTCCGGATTCACTCAGAGGCACAAGAGACAATTGCTTGTTTTCAGCTATGACATACATTTTTGCCTCTTCTGGAAATATTAGTCAGGAAGTATAGTCATAGTCTTTGTATTGGAAAATTAAAAAAAAAAACACCGAAGAAGAAAATGGTAATAAAAATGATACATGTAGTTTTGTTTCTTTAGAGATGATTACTCTAGGCCAGGCGTGGTGGCTCATACCTGTAATCCTAGCACTTTAGGAGGCTGAGGCAGGTGGATCACCTGGGGTCAGGAGTTCGAGACCAGCCTGATCAACATGGTAAAACCCCGTCTCTACTTCTTTACTGAAAATACAAAATTAGCTGGGCGTGGTGGTGCATGCCTGTAATTCCAGCTACTTGGGAGGCTAAGGCAGGAGAATTGCTTGAACCCGGGAGGTGGAGGTTGCAGTGAGCTGAGATAATGTCATCGCATTCCAGCCTGGACAACAAGAGCAAAATTCCGTCTTAAAAAAAAAAAAAAAAGAGATAATTGCTCTAACATTGTATATGTTACAATGTATGGTAAATTTCCATCCACTCTTTTTTTTTTATATCTATCTATCTATCTACATGTTTCTGTTTTATACAAAATTAGGATTGCATCATTTATGGTTTCATATCCTCATTTCTTCATTTAATTGAAGCAACTTCCCATTTCAACAAATATTCTCCATAAGCATTATTTTAATTGCTACGTAATATTCTAGGAAGTAGCTACATAGTGTGTGTGTGGTCCACCACAAAATGAAAATGAGGGATTCTTTGCTCAAAATCATTAAGATTTTTAAGCTGGTGACAGCAGAGCATTAAACCAAGTGAGGGGCTTTCTGAGCCTGGGGCCCTGATGGACTGCCTTTGTCACAGGCCCACAAAACAGTCCCTGATAGTATTTGATTGTACATACATACTGTTATTTAGCCAATTACCTATTTTGGACATTTAAGTTATTTATTTATAATTCTGTGCTACTATAAATAAGACTTCTTTGTATACATAGTTTTGAACACATTGTTCCCTTAGAAGAAATTTCCAGAGGAGGAATTGTTGCATCAAAGAGTGTGCATATTTGTAAAGCTTTTGATGAGTATTGCCAACTTTATCTCCAGAAAGCTCACACCTATTTACCTTCCAACACCAGGGTCAGAGAATGACCATGAGAGAGATGTTTATTAATGGTAAAGCATGCTTTTGCTCCTGGGGCTACTGTGTTACCATTTCCAGATCGCTGGCATCTTTTAACAGGGGCCATCTGGATATAAACAATAATAATACCTTAGCCCAAAAGAATGACAGATGGCAGAATTTCAGGCAGCTTGACAGATTGAGGGATAGAGAGAGCAGAAGTCTGTTGGGGTGTAGAGGAGCCTTTCTGAGAGCCCTACAAACCAGGCTTCTTAAAGGGAAGGATCCCTATCACATGCATACTGCATCAGTCTCCCAGAAAGCCTTTCTTAACCCCAAGCTTCTGTTGACTCTGATACTGGACAAAGCAGAGATTATTTTCTTTGACCTCAGGTGATCCACCTGCCTTGGCCTCCTAAAGTGCTAGGAGTTGGACAAAGCAGAGATTATTCTTGTCTGTATTGGATGTAGAGGGGTGGCTGAGCTCAGAGAGGTTCCATGACTTTCTCTGGTCACCTAGTAAATGAGAGAAAGAATCTGGGCTGGAGCACGGGCTTTGCATGACTTGGTGCCCACTTGTTTCCCAGTCTAGGGCAGGGCACCTGCCAGGTGCCCACGAGATGGTGGCTAAAATCATTGGGGGCTGCAGAAAAACACATGGACATTGTGCTAAGACTCCGAGCAGACTCCTGGAGGAACACCCTTAAGTTCATTCCAACCATTGTGGGGGTATGGGTGCTGGGAGTCAGAAAGAGGTCTTAAAGATTTCTGCCTGTAGAGGTCCCCACAGAGAAGTGCCCAGGCTGTCATGGCCTCAAAGGAGTTTCTAAAAATGGGAGGGGCATTCTAGGCAGAGTGAAAAAGGATGAAAGGGGTAGGAGGTGATGAGGGAGAAATGACAACAAGCCAGTGTTGTAGAAGACTATCCTGGAGTTAAGGAGAGGAGGAACAAGGTTGTTGGGGGGTGGTGGGGAGATGGGGCCAGAATATCAGACTGAAAAACCCAGACTGTGGCCTGGAGCATGTTTTCAGTGCCTGTCTTTGCTGCCTGTGCTGTTGGGTAGAACCATCCAGGCGGGCAGGTGGGCCAGGGAATTGGTCAGGTTGTACTCTGGGTTAAAGAATCCTGGAAGCTTACTGGCCATTTATACTTGGCTCCTGGTCCCTGCCCGCCTCCTACTATACCACCTCAACCTATATCAGGTTGACTTAGTATGGGCAGCAAAGAACATGGTATCAGAGAGAGCTGGGTCCTCTGTTCCTGACTATGTTGGATGACATTGGGCAACTGGATTAACCTCTCTGAGTCTCTGTGCCCTCAACTGCAAAAGAAGGCTAAACGATACCTACTGTGGTAGACTCTTCCACTGGTGACTCCCGAGTCTCATGATATTCAAACCCCTGTGAAGTCTCTTCCTACATCGGCTTGGTTTGGCCACGTGACTAGCTCTGGCTAGTGAGACATGAACAAGCATGATGGAAGTAGTGCCTTTATAAACACTTGTATGCTGGGGGCTTGTCCTCTTGGAATCTTCCCCTCTTGAAACCCAGCTGCTATATGTTAAGGCAGTCCAGGATATTCTGCCAAAGAGAAAGGGCACAAGGAGAAGCCCTGGAGGATGGGAAAGAAGCCACTTGGAGAAGAGCTGAGGCGCCCCAACTGAGCTTTCAGCTGAACACAGCCACAGGCAGCTGAACTGCACAATTAACCAACAGAATCATGAGAATATAAGGTTGTTGTTTTAACCTATTAAGTTTTGGGCTGGTTACATGGCATTAGATAAACAAAGCACCTACTTCACCAGGTTGTTCTGAGGATTTGAGAAAATATACAGAAAATGCATAGGGCTGGCATATAGGAGGCACTAGGTAATGGTAATCATGATGCCCAGAGCTTAGATAAAGATGGGTTTCCTTGTCAATGTTGAACAATAATGAAAGCCTTTTTTTTAAGAGTTGGAGATTTGTGAAGCAGTGACTGACATGCTATTCATCATGGCCAAGGTTTTGGAAGCTCCTTCTCTTTCTAGGATACTGGGATCCATGAGGAGACCTGCAGGGGCTGCCTGCTGAGCACCACGATGCCTGCTTCCTTTATATGTTAACTGGTCTTTGTTTAAGCAGAAGATCTGTTTGAAGACCCCCACTGATAGCTGGGATGGCTCAGCAGTGTGATTTAATTCTCCCACTCTCCCCATGTTAACTTTTGGTGGGACTGGATTTTTCATTTTAAGTTTTTTATCTTGTGGGAATAGACTAGTTATTTCAAAGAGAATCTGATTTGTCATAAGAACAGAAAAAGGAGGTGTGGAGCCAAGGAGGGGGACTATCACTTAAACACAAATGACAGGGAAAAGGAAATAAGTAATGTTGGAAGGTGAATGCCTAACAAACAATGATAATTCATTTTCTTGTGACACAAAGTAGAACTTATGAAAACAACTTTCCCTAGGACCCAATAACTTATTCCATGACCTCCCTCTGAAGTCAGCAGCCAGCTGTCTTTGCTAGATCAGGAGCAGTGAACATTCGGGGACAAGGATTCAGCCAGATCTGAAAGGGTCGTTAAATGGTCATTTAATCTGGTTTCCTAGATTAATCCAATTAATCAGGGTCTAATGGAAGAATTTCAGGTAGGAAGATATTCCTGATGCTTTTCAAGTCCCACAGAAAAGGCAGGTGGCTGTGGGGGTGGGGTGAACATGGGTACAAACCAAAGGGGCTAGACAATGCTGCTTCCCCCAACCCCCACATGGGCTCTGGGACCGCCTTAGAAATGAAGCCCAGACAATCCAAGAGCAACCAGGAGGGATGGCCATCTTCAGCTCACCTCCTCACAAGAAATTTTCATCCCACAGACCACCCAAAAGTCTGCAAATGGGCTGGAACTAGGGAAGCTGGTTGGAAAGTGAAGCCAGTCTAACTTTTCTATTAAAAACTAATAATAACCCCCATCACTTTGGCCTTGCCGGCAGTTTACCCAGAGACATGTGCCAACAGATGAATGAAGACATCTTTGTACCACTATGACAAGGGACTGTTACTTCAGAAGCCATTTTCCAGCTCCTCTGACCACTTAGAAACCCCAGCCGTCACTGCTGCATGGGAGAGTGACACAAAAAGCCCAGCTCCCACAGGCAGCCTGAGTGAGTGTCTCCCAGGGATGTTTCAAGGCCCACTTGCCCCACTTAGGTGACTTATACTAGGAGTGCCAGACAATTCCCACTAAATAAGCCATCTCTTGGCAGTGACCGGTATGACCTGCAAATGGTAGGAACTCTATTTGGTATCAAGAAACTTGTGACATTCATTAACACTCCCATGCTAAAACACCACTCTCAAGAGCAGGGGATGTTGGATCACTCACAGCCCTCCACCCAGCCCTAGTAGTCCCTCTGTTTACGGATCCACCTCTGGAGGGCTGGGACTGAATTCTGTTGTTTCTGTGGTTCCACAGCCAGGTTATGAGAGGTGAAGCCTTGCCCGTGGTGATACTGCCTGCAAAGGCCAGAGCCAGGACCGACCCAGGTCTGACACCAAAACCCATGCTCTTTCGATTTGGGGTAAAATTTCAAAACCAGACAGTGAGTAGATACTTTCTCCGCATAATGGAAATTGCTAAAAGATGCAAATCCTGGAGTTTGATTTGAAAGTGTGCTTCTCCCTTTGAGGGTATGTGTGTTCCTGGGACAATTAGAGGGTTTTCAGCATCTGGTGCTTGTGTTAAATAAGTGATCAGGAGGGAAAAGTAGGGGAGATGACAGAGAACCTGCCAGGTGCCAGGTACTGTGCTGGGAGCTTTCCACAATGTTTCACTAAATCTTCAAGCTTTAGAGCTGATAAAAATTAGGCTTCTATAAGTAACCAGCCCATCACCAAGGGGTTAGGGCTTGAGCCATAACTTGAACCCGGTTCTCTCTGGCTAAAAAGTCCATGAGCTGCCCCTGAGGCCAGGCTGATGAGTGGGTGGGTAGCGGCTCCTCTTCTCTGATCCATTCCTGGGGGGCTGGAATCAAAAGTCAGCACATTCAAGAGGAAAAGCCAGTTTCACTCTAAAAGCAGATTAAAACTAAATTAATAAGGCCTTAAAATGTGAACGAGTAATTAGAGACATAATAGATGTTCAAAGCAATCACTATAAATAGTATAGCCACAACAAAGCTTTTGTGAGCATGAAAGAATGCAATTCTAATACCATGAAAAAGCTAACAGCAAATGATAACACAATTATTAAGACAAAATGAGAAAATGTTAAGACTAATAAACTTGACATGTTATAGTTATTTTTCCTTAAACAATTCAGAAAGTTCCTAGAGTCAGTTTAAACCATTGGAGTGCTCAAGGCCAAGGTTCTGGATAAGGAGGTGGGAACAGGACTGGAGAAGGTCACAGGGCCCTGTGGAACTGCACTCATTCATCCCAGGGACCTAGCACTTAGGGTGGCCCTAAGGCTGGGCTGCACAGAAGCTCTGTCATGGGGTAGCTCAGCCTGGAGAGAAGGCAATGACACCTCTGTGCTATATGCTGGGAGGGATGACGGCCCGCAACCCAGCCTGGGGGGTCAGGGAAGGCTCCCTGGTGGGAGTGATAGCATTGCTGTCATTATCAGTCACCATAATCAATATCATAACAACATGTGTTGTTATGATAATGATAATGCCCAACATTATGTGCTGGGCAGGGTACTAGGCAAAGTATATGTCATACCAGTTGACTCCTGACAACCTCCTAGAGCAGGTATGCTTCTCATCATTTTACAAATGTGGAGACTGAGGCCTGAAGTTCACCCAGCCGTGAAGTGGGGAGATGAGATTTGGCTCTAGAGCTCATGCTCTTGATGACTGTGCTCTGCAGTTCCCTGCTTTAAACTGACCCTTGACTGAGCAATAGGAATTCACCACGTGGTTCTGTGCAAGGGAACGGCATTCAGCAATCATGGGTTTCACACCTCCTATGCACCAGCTGTAGGTGCTGGAGAGAGGGAAGTAAGGTCAGTGGCCTGCTCTTGAGGGCTCACAGATTATCTGAGAAGAAGGTAAGAAGACAGAGAATTCCAGCAGAATGGTAAGTACTGGTAGACAAATGCTGGAGGTTATGGAAGTCAGAAGGCACCTCGACAGCCTTTAAGGTAGAGACAGAGGCCCATCAGGGAAGGCTTCCTGGAAGAGGTAAGGCTAGAAATAATGCTGGAAGTGATGCCAGAAAACACCATGGGAGTTAGCAAACAGTGGAAAGAAGAACCAGGTGTAGTGGCTCACACTTGTAATCCCAGCATTTTGGGAGGCTGAGGCAGATGGATCACCTGAGCTCAGGAGTTTGAGACCAGCCTGACCAACATAGTGAAACCCTGTCTCTACCAAAAATACAAAATTATCCAGGTGTGGTGGCGTGTGACTGTAATCCCAGCTACTTGGGAGGCTGAGGCAGGAGAATTGCTTGAACCCGGGAGGCAGAGGTTACAGTGAGCTGAGATCACGCGATTGCACTCCAGCCTGGAAAACAAGAGTGAAACTCCGTTTCAAAAAAAAAAGAAAAAAAAAAGTGGAAAGAGGAAGAAGAGGAACAAGGGAGTCCCAGGCAAAGGGAACAAGCCCAGGCAGTTGCAGGAAAATCAGGGACAGCAGGGTCTGCATGAGGGAAGTTTCTACATAGGTTTTGCCCAGCTTAACTCTGTGGGTTGACCTTCCCCATGAAGGCTGACCCTGTACCTCTGACCCAGAATTTACTGGGGAGATTGCTCACAGCCTCTCTTCTTCCTCACAGTATGTCTTCGTGCTCCAGCTGGCCAAACCTGGTGCCATGGAAAATCCAGATGCTTGCTTACCTGGCAGGCCGTGCTGGATCTGCTACCTGGGGCCAGTACAAGCAATTGGTGTGTTATTAGTTCCACCAGCAAAGGCAGGGGTGTGGAAGTTGGGGGTAGGGTGGGAGAATAAGAATAAGAGAGGGGACATCCTGTCAGAGAGTGCTTAGGAGGGGCACTGAAGGCCTCATCCCTTCCATGGGAATCTCTGGCCTCTATTTTATATATATACATAAAATATATATATATATAAATAGATATATATATATATCTCAAGGCAAATAGAAATAAATAGCTCCCAGAAGATAAGAGGTGCTAGATCAGTAACCAGGTAACCAGGGAAGAGTGAGCATGTCAGGATCTCTTGATGAAGAACTCCTTGGGGTCTGGGATCCTTTTATTCACTGCAGGATACCAGCCCCCATGTTAGAATCCATGGCAGAGAAAATGTGCATTACCATTTGTTGAATGAATGAATGAATAGCAGAAAGCATTCTAGTGGCACTCTTGCAGTGAACACCACGCTTTCTCTGAGCAATGTGGCTGTTTCTTCCTCACAGGTAAGCCTTATAGAAAGGGGTTAACCATTGGAGTGATTTGACCCTGAGTCTCTAAGGCTCAGAGTGCTTAGGCTCTATATGCAAAGGCACGCAACTAGGAATAGTATAAGACATGGTTTAAATCCCCTCTGCCTAGCTCTGAGCCCATGGTCTGCCTACTGTTCCCACATGAACATTTTGCTGGCATGAATATTATGGCCATTGAATATCACCTGGCAGGCTGCGGGCCTGGTCTGGCTCAGTCATGGGACAGCTGCCTGCCTGCCAAGCTGGGCATTCAGGAGGGACCCAATGATAGCCTTGGGTAGAGGCAGACCTGAACTGCAGGTTCTCACCTTGTTCTTGCTGGGTGACCAAAGCAATTTACTCCACCTCTCTGAGCCTTCACTTCCTCATCTGCAAAATGGGGCTAGTGAGCCCAGCCACAGAGCAGAGCCATCAGGATGAAATGAAACAAGGGGTTTCAAGGACCTATTTCAGTGCAGGACACACAAAATGTGCAGTAAGCAATAATTCCTCTCTGCTCTTGGCCTAGTCCATCCTGTTCCCTGCGGGTATGGAGAGGCAGGTGCCTTTTCAGGCCAGCCTCCACTCTCATAATCCTGCTAGCTCTTCTCTGGTTTGCCAGGTATCCCTTCATACATGTGACCACCCCCAGAATTTGTCTTCTGGAGGTCACAGGTCAGTGTGAGAGGATTAATAATAACAGCTCATACTGATGGGGCAGTTTGCACTGTGGGTTTTCCCACACACCGTTCATCTAATCCTCACCACAAAGCAGGTATCCCCTATTTCATAATTATCCCCATTTCGCAGACAAGTAAAGGCACAGAGAAGTGAAGTAGCTTGCATAAGGCCACCCACTTTGTAAGGGGCAGAAATGAGATCCCAAAGATGACAGTCTGGCTGGTCCGGCTGGTCTAGCTCTAGAGCAGAACCAGTTACAACTCAGTCAGACTGAGTCATTTTCTTCATGTATAATATAGGAAGAATTTTGGCATCTTCATCATAGAATTATTGTGAGGATTAAAAGAATTAATGCATGGAAAGTGCTTAGAAGAATTTTTAGCACATGGAATACCTAATAAACATGAGCTATTATTAAATGGCAATTGCATCTTGCAGTGATATGGTCAATGACTACCATTTATGTTTCTGAGGTTCTGCTATTTTCACTTAACATTCATTTAATGAACACATTGGAGCCCACTGAGCCCATGATGGTGTGGCTGCTGCTGTGTAGAATCTCAGACACATTAACTAGCATCACAGGTGCCCTAAAAGCAGCACCTGAAGAGAGAGGCTGCAAGGCAAAGGAAGGGCACAGTGGTGGGATGGGGAATCAGGATGGGATCAACAGAGCAGATAAGCCTGGGCTGGGTCTTGACCAGTGGGTAATTCTCCTCCTAGAGGAAGAGGCAAAGAAATACCTCAGAGAAGTGAGTAGAGGGATGCAAAGAGGATGGCAAGTGAAGGCACTGACAAATGATGGGATGGGGCCAAGCATAAGGAGTGAGGGAAGGAATAGGGCTGGAGAGACAGGCAGGGCCATGATCTGAAGAGCCTGAGTGCCATCTGGCTTTTACCCATCAGCACTGGGAAGCCCTTGGGAATTTTGAGCTGGGGAGTAGCATGATCAGATTCCCTTTTTAGAAAGGGAGGGATGGGCTGAAGTGTTGAGCATGGTAAAATGGAGATGAATGTGAAGATACTGCAGTAATTAAATGAAATAATCCATGGAAAGCGCTGAGCCTGGCACACAGTAAGCACGAGAGATGTTAATTGTTATTATTATTACTGGCACGAGATATTCAGAGCAGTGGGAATGAAGAAAAACAGGAAGAGACGTTAAGAAGCAGAATCTATGGAACTTGGTGACTGAATGCCTATAAAAACTTTTCATTTATCTTCATAGTGATCATTTACACGGCTACATAGTGGTCTATGGAATTAAAAAGCCAGTCTTTCTAACCACCCATAGTTATTTGATATTTAGGTATACCAGCAGGAGACAGCCTGTTCTATAAAAACCATACAAAGTAGGGAATCAGAGACATCCGAAGTGAGATCACAAATCTATGGTTAATCAGTAATGTGAACCTGGGCAGGACCTTTGGCTCCCTGTCTGTAAAATGGGAGAGTAGCACCTCCTATCCAGGATTGTTAGGAGATTAAATAAACATAAAATGACAGGGCAGGGCCTGCCGCATAGTAGGCCCTGAGATAGTGGTTATGCTTCTGTGGGTTGTTGAGAATTATTATCACAGAGTGACTAACAGATACCTTTGTACAAATAGAGTGATTTTCCTGGAATATAATCCCATAAGTGGGATCCCTGAGTCAAAGAGTAAGATGATTTTCTGATTTATTGCACATTGTGAGAAGATTATTATTATTATTTTTTATTTTCTTAGTGCAGGACCAGTTCCACTGTAAAGCTGGCAAAGGTAGGTTTTGGAGACTGGGTTCCATGCCATCCCCACCTTCACACCCATCTTGTTTATACCATTCTTTCCCAGAGTATTCCTATGCTATCCTTGGACCCTCAGTTCAGGAAAGACAGAGGGAAGAAAGAGGGAAGGGGTGGGAAGAGGAAGGAAGAAAGGAAGAACGCACTAATCCCTGTATTAAAGGTAGCTGGCACCCTATGGTGTTTGCATTCTTGGAAACTACCTGCCACGTAGTGAGGAAGCCCAGGCACCCAGCAGAGAGTAAGTGTGGGTTAGCCATCTGGAAAGTGGATCCTCTACCTCCCCACTGGCAGGGCAGGCAGCAGGGACAAGGCATCCCCACTGAGCCCTGTCCAAATTGCAGATTTGTGAACAAAATAAATATTGTTGAGTTAGGGTACTAAGTTTCAGAGTGGTTTGTTACACAGCAACAGGAAACAGAAATAATTCATCACCATATTTAATTCTCACATAACTCCATTAGGTGGGTATTACCCTTGGCTCCTTTTACAAATGAGCACATTGAAGCTCAGAGGGATAAAGTACCCTTGCCAAGGAAACAGCTGTACGGCAGAACCAGGATTCAAATCCAGGTCCATCTCAAAGTCAAAGCTCCTAATTGCTCTGTTGTACCTCACACCTGTCCAGCTGCACACACTATTGGTATCACTTACTTGGACCCTCAATTGCAAACCACTGTGGGCTGCTGCAAGATTGAGGTCCCCAGGCAGTCTTCATCCCCCACTACCCTGATCCTGGGATGGAGCTACACCTACCTATTCTCATTCATCCCCTAGAACTAGGCACATTTTACCCCAGCACAGGCTTATTACATTGAATCATGATGAGAAAAATCACAGGAAACTAGGCACAGGCCAGCCTGCTTCCTTGTTTTTCTTTGTTAGTAGTTATCAAAAGCATGGTCCTTGAACCAACAGCATCAGCATCATCCAGGAACCTGTTAGAAAAACAAGTTCTCAAGCCTCACCCCAGACTTTCAGAATGAGAAATTCTAGGGGTAAGGCATGCTCAAATTTGAGAACCACTGCTCTAACTACTTATGTGGGTCTTAACGCTTGATATCTGGAGTTTGAATGTCTTAGGATGTTTTCAGATGCAAGTGGCAGGAAACCAATTCACATAACTTAAGGTGAAAGAAAAAAAATGTATTGGTTGAAGTACATGGAAAATCTAGGAATGGTGCGTCAGGAACTCTAGTAACCCTCTAATGTTGCATTCTCTCTGTCTCTATTGGCCTCATCTTTTACTTTCCTTCAATTGGATTTTTCCATGCAGCTAAGGAAGGTGGGGTAAGGGGACTGGCCTCAGAGAACACCAAGCTTACATCATAACAGCTCATCAACCTTTAACGGAATAGAACTCACCTGTCTCTCAGGGTTCCTAAATTAACTCCCAGGAAATGGTGACTGGCCCAGCTTGGGCCACATACACAAGTATGTGACAGGCCACGGGACACTGTGATCACCCTATCAGAAGGTGCTCTTCCCAGAAGAGACAGGGTACTATGATTTGCAGCCCCACCAGGACCCAAAAGGTTGAGGAGGAGTAATTCCCACCATAAAGAAAACAGTGCTTCTCTTGGGTGGGAGGTGGAGGAACAATGTTGGTCAGAAAAACAAACAGCTGTAATTCATTCAGTAAATACCTGGCCATCATAAGTGATTATGCCATGCCCCTCAGTCTCGGGTATCACAGGCCCTGGCCCTGTTCTCACATAGTATTGTGGCTTCCCAAGCTCATGTGCCCTGTACTATCTCTATGGTCCTCAGCTTTGCCTTGTGAGACACGCTGAGCAGCAATTATGATGCCCGTTTTGCAGATATGAAAACAAAGGCAGTGTGTCTAATCATTTAAGGCCGCTGTCAGATAATCGAGAAGAATTCAAATAGATGTTCTGACTCTAATACCGGTGCTCCTTTCACTCATCCTAGGCCTTGTCAAAACTGCCTGGGTTTACCTTCAGACTGTGAGAAGGCTCACAATAAGGAACTGAGGTGCTGGCCTTCAGCAAAGCTCTGTGGGAGACCTTGGGGTAGAGAGCTTTATAAACAGACTAATTAGAATTCTTCCTCTGCCACCAGCTAGCCCAAGGGTGACCTTGGGCTAAAAAGGCACTTCACTTCTTTGAGCCTCAGATTCTCATCTGTGAAATGAGTATAATGATACTTACTGAACAGCATTTGTTGTGGGGACCAAAGGAGAAAAAGTACAAAAAGCAATTGGGGCAGGCATGGCACTTAGTAAAGATTCAGTACATGTTATTTTCCTTTGTTCCTGCCTAACAAAACCCAAAACCCAACAAAGCAGTGTGATTTTTGAAAGCTACTTTGTGAATTTTATTTGGGTTGCTTTAATTCTTCTTTTTGTAATCCTCAAAAGCACGCTGCTGACACCGATTTCAAAGGTCGGAGAACTTTAGCTAAGACATGAAAGAGATCCTGTGTTTCTAGCCTGGAAAGGGCCCAGCTGAATGCCGGGTGCCTGATCTGGGCAGGGGCAGCTCTCAGAGGCTCCCACATCCAACGGCATTCTCAGCGCTGCAGCCCAGGGAGTTAATTTAGCCAGTGGCATTGTGTGTGCGTGTGTGTGTGTGTGTTTTTTAAAACAAATCAAAAAATCTCTTTAATGGGTCAAGAATAGGATCAGAAAGCTGGCAAGAGTTTAAACCAAAGTGTCAACAGTACTTTGTTGGATTTCATGTATTACCATATATAATTAGATGGATGGATGGATGGGTGGAGAAATAGAAGGATGTAAGTAAGGAAGTCAAGGGAGGGAAGGAAAGGAAACATAGACGGTTAAAAAAGAACTTAGAAAATCTGTAAGTGCTGATATGGAAAAATGTGTAAGAAATATCACTGAGTTAAAAAAATATGTAGAGAAGTGGATTCCTTTTTTTCTTTTCCTTTCTTTCTTTTGGTTTTAGATAGAGACCTTGGCCAACTGCCTAATCAATAGATAGATCAATTATAAGTCTGAGGAAGATTTCCGGACAGATCCACCAAGTGGGAATCAGGCCAAGTGGGGGAAGGGGCCCTTTTCAGCCCATACTTTCTTGTGCTATTTGAATATTTTCCTTTTATAATAAAAACAAAGAAAGCGACAGAGGGGCGGAGGGCTGGGAGCAGAAGGCAGGCCCTGTGGAGGGGTCATCCTAAGTTCAACGATGGATATGAAGCTGAGGCTCCAGCCACAGGGGGAGGCGCCTGTTCCCCGAGTGAACAAAGCCATCTCCTACAGGAAAAACATGACCTGGACACGGGGATGACAAATGGCCCTTCTGCCACCCCCGCAGAGCCAGGCTCACGGCTGTGATTCCTGGCCGAGGCTCAGTCTTCTCCCACAAAACCTGCTCATGCTGGGGGGACTTCGAGACAAAGAACCAAATCATTTTGAGGCGCTCGCTTCCTCGGGAGTGAGAAAACACTATCTGAAGTCAGAGCACCTTCCTTTCTCAAGAGCTCCCACCCTGCCAAAGCACATATGTGTTATATTCAACAAATGCTGCTGGTTCCTTGCTGGGCCTGATCGCACATTTTTATGGACAAAGGCATGCAGGAAGCAATGGAGAAAAGCCCTGTGTCTGTTCAGCTGAGCCCAGACTTTGTATATCTCTACCAAAATAGTGCCTGCTGTTTGTGGTCACATAAAATCTGATTAGATCAGACTGGAAATGTGAGCCTAGTGATGCAGAGCCGCCCAGATCTGAGTCCCTCCACCCCTCCACCTGGGGAGAGAACACAGAGCTGTTTCAGGTGGTTCTGGGCATGGACTGCAATGTCCATAGGACTCAGGTGATGGGCCAAACTGGCCCTCTACATGCCCATGGCCCTGTACACCTAATTTTACAGTTTTCCATTTTTTTATAGAGACACAGGAACAGAGTATGTTTCTTTACTCCAGAGCAGTGATTCTTAAGCTTTAGTTGCATCAGAACCACCTGGAGGGCTTATTGAACCACAGATAGCTGGCCCCACTCCCAGAGTTTCTGATTCAGTAGGCCAGGGGTGTGGCCAGATAATCTGTATTTCTAAGAGGTTCCCTGTGATGCTGCTGCTGCTGCTGCTGCCTCTGCTTTGGGATCCACAGCTCTAAAGGAACCCACAGTGCAAACAGCGACAAATGGCCATTTGATCCTTGACTTCAGGTAACAGGATGGGCTGAAGACTGTGGTAAACTAGGAAATGTAACATCTAAAGGGAGCAGCTGCAACATATTCCAGGGATCCACGCAGTGCAGGAATAAACAGGTGCCCAGTGTTTCCAGGGCCTTTCCTTTTCTTGTTGTTTTTGTTAAGAACAGCCAGAAATACGGATTTTCTGTGAAATCTTACAATCTTTGGCAATTATTGGCAACTGACTCTGAAGCTTTTCAAACATTGTACAGGCCAAACAAAACACATCTGCAGGCTGGGTTTCACCCTCTGGCTGCAGTTCTAGAATACAGATAAGGTTCCCATGGAAAAGAGGCAGGATCAGAGATCTCTCAGCCAGTGAGAGCCTCTGCCCTTTGGGGAGGGATGTCAGCCTGGCCACACCTCTCCCAGCAAGGACTCACAGAGGCCTGTCAGGGTCACATCAAGTCTCCCTGCCAGGTTCTCCTGGCTCTCTTCTCTCCCAGCCACATCTTGCACTCCAGGCATGCTGAAGTCTTCGCAGACTGCTCCTCTCTCACCTCTGAAACTCCCTCCCAGCCAGGCTTTTCTGACCCTGGGCCTTTGTACATGTGGTTCCCGCTTACTGGAAAGCTCTTATCCTTTTCTCCACATCTGCCCTAATTAGTCCTTTAAGGCCCCTCTCAGCTGTCGCCTCCTCTGGGACTTTCCCTGACCACTGCTTTCCTACTCCCAGCTGTATGCTCCCCAGCCCACCGTGCTCCCATCATGCATTGAGCTGTAATGGCCTGAAGATGTGCCTGTCTCCTCCACTGGCCTGGGTGTCCAGAAGGCCTTGTTGCCTCTGCGACCCCAGGGCCAAGCCCAGGGCTTGGTGTGGGACAGCTTTCGGCCGTGGCCTTTCTTTCAACCCCTTTCTGTTTGCCTGGCTACTTCCTGTCTATCCTATAAGCCACAGTTCAGACTCCAATTCCTGTGGGAGCGTTCCCTGACCTCTCAGACCGAGCAGGGAGTGCTTCTCTGCCTGTATCAGCACAGTGTCCACTACGTCGTGATTGGCTGCTTCAATTTGCCTCCTCCTTACACTGAACTCCATGAGGGCAGGAATCGTGTGTGATTTGTCTCATTGACACAGGGGTTGCAAAGATAGTGGAAGCACCATGAGATGCTTGTGGTGTCCAGAGAGGAATGAAAAAAATAGACGAATGACCGATCCCAAGTGAGAATGGGACTCCTGTAATATGCTGGGAACAAACTCCTCTGGGCCACTGCTCCTGGCTGATGGGTGCCCAGTGTGTGAGGCAGAGGGGGTAGCAGTGAAAGTGATCTTTGGCAACCACCTTGTCCAGGACCCCTGGCGGCCCTCAGAGAGCCCAGCTGGTGGCCTCTGGGTACCCAGCTCCCCTCCATTCACAAGTCTCAGGCCTGACAGCTGCTCTAATTCTATCATCCTACCCCCATCCAGCCATGTCCTTCCGGCAGTCCAAAGCAGCATACCACCCAGCGGCCAGCCCAGAGAGAAGGGCTTTTCTGTACTGCATGGGGCTAGGCGAAGGCTTGAGCAGAGCAGACAGGCTGTTCCATCTCCCAACAGGCCACAACAGGTGAGCGAATGGCTATCTACTTGAGAGTGGGCATCCCTGAGTCCTGGGGCAGTGATAGTAACCATGCATCCTAGACCAGTTTCACTGGATTCGTCCAGTGGCTGAATCTGCACGGTCTGCTCGACTACTGCTTGATGCTCGATTGACGCTGATGCTGTAGTGAGAAGAAAAGGTGGCCCTTGTCCTTTCCTTTGTATCCAAAACCCTCCCTTCTACCTCCCTGCTTTATTTTACAATGAAGCACAGAAGTCACCTCTTTCAGAAATTCTTCTGGGATCCCCTTCTCTGGGTAGTCCCCATCCCCTCACTCCCACCCTGTGCTTTTCTTTGCCACACTGTGTTGCGAGTGTTGGTGTGCCTGCCTCCACTGCAAAGACTTTGCTTTCCTGGACATCAGGGCCTGTGACATGCTCTGCTGTCCTGTGCCTGCCGTGGTGACCAGCCCGTGAGGGAAGCAGTATGTTCAGGGCAGTGGTTAACTAAAATCCTCCCTCTGCACTTCCCCAAGGTCACACAGCAAGAAATCCTGCAGTGGTTTTCTTATCTGTAAAATGAGGCTTGAAAGGGTGTTGTGAAGATTAAGTCAGCTAATGTAACGTTTGAATAGCATCTGGCATGACAGTAAGCACTTGATGAGTACTGCATTTGCTAGTATTACTAGGTGATCAATAAATGTTTCATGTGTTAATGGATGAAGAAAGGAAGGAAAGAGTGAAGATAATTAGTACAAGCCAGCACATGCCAGATTTGTGGTGACCCAAAATAAAGGTTCGATGTGATCTGTGAGTTCCACAATAGTGAGTGGGGGTAAGGATTATTCTTAAGGAGCAAAGTTCCATGCAGTGTGCCGGGGAGCAGGTCTTGGGCAGTAATGAGAAAGGCAGATGCCATCTGAAGGTCTCCTTTCCTATTGTGAGTCTTTCCTGCAGATTAAGAGTCCTTGAGATTTTTAAAGGCACAACCTGACATTTCTCTGCAACAATGGTGTTTTCTCCCATTAGTGGTCCTTCCAAGGCCACTCCCTGCTGACTACCCCCTCTTTCCCATCATTCCAAACAGCAGACTCAGATACCAATCCTGACTGCCTTCAGATGAATAGACAAGGTGGGGGGATGAGTCATCCAGGCTCCAGATGCCTATTCCCAGACATGGGCATCCCTTCAACTACAATCCTAACAGACCTCAGCTATCTTGTTTCTGCACAGACTACCAGCAGAGAAGCTGGCAGAAAGCAGGACTGTGGGCTTCAACATCAGAAGGCCCAGGGCTCAAGTCTCATCTCTTACAAGTCTCTTCCTCTGTCTGAGCCTCAGTCACTGCATAACATGGGGTTACTTATCCCTCCCTCACTGTGCTGTGCTGTAAGATGACTAGCACAGTGCTGGACACACAGCAGACCAGCGGTAAAGACCCTTGGTAAATGGTGGGAGGTGGTGGGTGAGGACCCCATCAATAAGCAAGGTGGCTCCTGGGATGAACATAAGCCACTTCTGAACCCAAGACTATAAAGGGAGAACAAGAGTACCTTGACCTCCCAGCAACCAGATAATGTTGATGGAGGCCTGGGGCTGGCCTTCCGGCATCTGCTGTGGCAGTACTAATTGGGATGTCCTGGGTCAGGAGTTTCCCACCCTTGTGGAAGGGAGCTCTTGGCCCTCCCTCTTCCCCCACTGCTGTTTCCTCTGGTCTGGGCTGGAGGGGCCCTGACTTACTGAATAGGTGTCAGCTGCAAAGTTCAAAGAATGCTCAGTAGGCATTGGATGACAGGGTGGGGCAGGGGATGGCCAGGAGCCAAATCCCAGCTCTGGGGCAAGGATGGGCAGATCAGGGGGCTTCCAGCAGAGATCAAGGGGCCCCCAGCTTCCTGGAGTGACTTCACACTAAGTCATACTGAAAGTTTACACTTCAAAGGGGTTACCTGTGTTTCTTTTTTCTTTCCTCCTTTCTTTTCTTTTACCCTCCACCAGCCCAGTCAGCCAGAGAACGGCATCAACAGACATGCTTTGAACTCCAGACCCTCCCTAGCTGTGCTACTCTGGACATGTTACTTCATCTCTTTGAGACTGTTTCTTCATCTGTAAAATGGGCATATTCATATCTCCCTCAAAGGCTGTGTGAGGCTTAGGTGAAGTCATGTGCATAAAGCACCGGGCAGAGTGCCTGAACGCAGTGGAGACACAGCACATGGCAGCCTTCATAACCATCACCTTCCAGTGTAGATAGAGCAGGATGCTTCATGAGTTGGTGCTGCCCACCATGGGGGCTGAGAGTGGGAAGAGTTTTCAGTCCCTCAGGCCCTTGCCCCCTCTCGGATGAACTAGCCCAGCCCTTGGTCAGGCCCCCTGGGCAGGAGACACCAGGTGGACGCGAATCCTCACCATGCACTTGCGGTCATCTATGCCTGTCAGATCCTCCTCAAACTCCTTCCCAACCTGGAAGTCCATGATGTAGTTCCTAAAAGTGCTCAGCGTGCGGATGATCATATGGTCACCGTCCTGCACGATCTCTTTGTCTGGCTTCAGCAAGTTGGCGATTTTGCGCAAGGCCACATTGACGTCTGCGGTGGGGGTTGAACGGGGAGAGAGAGAGCGCCAGAGAGTTGGCAGGGAAACTCAGAGAACCGTTCCCAAGGTAGCGGGGCCCCAGGAGCCCTCTCCGCCCGCGAACACTGTTAGGGTTCCCGCTGGCTTTGCGTTGTCTCTGCGCACAGCCTGCCTGTGCCTCCCCTGCCGCCCCCAACAAAGTTTTCTGCTCTTATGTTAACCGTTTAAAAACAAAAAGTAGCAAACCAAGCCCCAGATTTACTAATGAAATTACCCACCTCCAGGGCCAACGAGCAGACATTTGCCACCGGTTAACCTAACAACCCCGAATTCTCCAATCTGCAGCCTGGGGGCTGCCCTGGGAGCGGTGGCCGAGGACGCCCTTTCTGGCGTCCGGGGGCACCGGACCGCGGCTCGCCGGGATGGAGGCAGGCAGGCAGCGTCTCGGGAGGGCTCTAGGGAGCGGCCCGGAGCTGCTCGGCGGGGCGCCCAGGGCGCAGCGGGCAGCGCTTACCGAGGGCGCGCAGGTACTCCTCGAAATTCTCGTTGACCAACATCTTCCAGTACCCAGTGAAGTCGACTGGCATTTCGGGGAGTGACTGGAGCCAGTTGGCCACAAGCGGGCGGGACGGCTGGAGACTGCCGGGACAGCGGCTGCCGGTGCTACGCGGGTGGTGGGCGGCCCGGAAATGAGCGCCCTCCGGGGACAGGGGGCTCTGCGGGGCGGCGACAGCTGGATTCCCAGCGCGCACAAAGCCTGCGGGAGGATCCATTGTAGCGGTCGCTCCTCCCCGCTTAGCGAGGGCGGGCGCAGGGGCGGGGGATGTCGAAGGGTCAGGTTTGTCCAGGCCGCGCCACCTTCGTTTCAGACGTTCAGTTCGTTTCCCCTACAAAGGAAGAGGAGACCGGAGACGGGACGTTTGCTTTGTTGGCCGAACTCTTCGGCTGCTGGGGATTTCCTTCAAACGCCATTAACTTCTCACACTCAGCAGCCACTCGGGAGTTGGGAAACAATCTCCTGGGGTTTGTGCTGGCGTGATTAAGGAAAGAGGCCACTTACAGGCCTTTGTCTAAAGCCTCGCGCCGGTGGTGGCTGGGGTCAGGAAAGCTGGGAGGTTCAACTACGGGCGAGAAAATTGGGGCACTTTCCACGTCTCTCCCGAAAATAAAAGAAAGGATGCCGGGCACGGCGGCTCACGCCTGTAATCCCAGCACTTTGGGAGGCCGAGGCGGGCGGATCACCTGAGGTCAGGAATTCGACACCAGCCTGGGCAACACGGTAAAACCTCGTCTCTACTAAAAATACAAAAAATTAGCCGGGCGTGGTCGCGGGCGCCTGTAGTCCCAACTACTCGGGAGGCTGAGGCAGGAGAATAGCTTGAACCCGGGAGGAGGAGGTTGTAGTGAGCCGAGATCGTGCCACTACACTCCAGCCTGGGCGACAGAGTGAGACTCTGGCTCAATAAATAAATAAATAAATAAGTAAAATAGTTGATGTTATTTGAAGTGCATGTGGCTAAAAAAGCCTTCTGGGTGATTCTGATGCACAATCAACTTTGAGATCCACTGCTGCTTTATGCAAATGTAAGCAATATACTGTTTATTAATGTTTCCTCCCGTTTCACCTAATGGCAGCACTGTACTCCACGGTGTTCTGGACTTTGCTTTATTCACTTAATATATTCTGGAGACTTTTCCATAGCTGTACATAGAAAGTATCCCCATTATTTTACGGAGTATTCCATTGCTTATCCAGCTTGTCCCCTGATGGACAAACTATATTGTTTCTGATCTTTCACTATTAAAAGCAGTACTGCAATGAAAATCTTTGATCACATCTCCTTTGTCACCTGCGTGGGTATGTCATTGTGGTTTAACTGCATTTGCCACCAAGTAGATGACATAATCACATGGGCTGACTTTTTGACCCTCTTTTTGACTACCTCTTTTAAATCGCTTTTTGCACAAATCACAGCCTAAGTGACAGCAGATAACATTTTCTTCCCCTCTAGCACCACCTTCCCCAGGGTGCCTCCCTGGGGCTCACATGTGTTCTCACAGTGCAGGCTGAATTAGGAAAAGGAGCCTCTTCCTCAGGGTAGAGACAGCTTCCTCCCAGGCAGCAACTTGGATTTCAGCGCTTCTCACCCTCTTTCCCTAGACTAGGATTTGTTTCTTAATCTCTGTGCTACTGACATTCTAGGCCACATAAGTCTTTGTTACAGGAGCCTGTCCTGTGTACTGTAGGATATTTAGTGGCATCCCTGGCCTCTACCCATTAGATCCCAGTGGCACCCAGACACAAAGATGTCGCCAGACATTGTCAAAGGCACTGGGGTGTGGGTGCTGGGTAAACCAGCCCTGGTTGAGAGCCAGCTCTAGGCCCTTGTTTCCCACTGCTTCTTTGTCTGGCTCTGGATGGTTAGGTCATCAGTTGTTCACACAAGCACTGGCTCTGTGTCCCTCCCTAGCCAGCCCAGGGCTCATCTTGGCTGGGCACTCAGGGCAACCTATCCCAGTCCTTCCAACCTGAAGGTGCAATAAGACACCTCGCAAGGATGGATGGGGCCTGGCCCAGGTTCTGTAAGGCATCCCACCAGGGCCAGCCATGCTTTGGGCTTTCTTGTTATCCTGACTTACCAGAATGGAGCATTGGTCAAAGGCTTAAGCAGTGAACTGGCCATTCCTTGGTCACTTCCAACTAGTCTAAACTCTTCTCCCTGCTCTCTGATGCCTCCAGCCCAGCTAGCCGGATTTCTCATCCTCCCCAAACTTCTCCCTTTATGCTGAATCACCTGAGATGGTTTATGCCAAATGCTCAGCACAGTGCCTGGCACACAGCAGAGGCCAGTCTGTTCTGACTCCCTGCCATGCTTGGAATGGCCCTTTCGTGCTCGAGGCAGAGGCCTGCCCACCTCTCCAGTCCTTCTTGTCCATCCCAAAGAACCACAAGCTTGCCACTCCTCCCTCTTCTGACCACGTTGGATAACTTCTGCTCACCTGATCTCACTTTTCTGACCTGGTCAGCTGAACATATAGCACTTAATTCAGCTAGTTTCACTCAGTTTCTGTCTGTCCACCTCTTTGTCTAGTCTTCCAAATGGGTCAGTACGCTCCTGCCCTTCTGGGTCTCCTCCCAGGCACAGCCCCTGGTGGCTGTGCTATTTCTTGCAGCAAAGGGTAGGCTGCATGTGTAGGCTTTAGAGGCAGAATGCCTGTTCTTGCTAGCTGGGTCACTGTCTACCAGAGTGATTTGGGGTAAGATACTTGATCTCTTTGTGGCTTAGTCACCACATCTGTGAAATGGGGACACTCTGACTACCTCTCAGGGTGCTGAGAAGCAAAGGATGAGGAATCTACAGGGCGTGGCACTGAGTACTGTTCCAGATCCACTGCTGTTTGAGCCAGAGGGGCCCTAGAAGGGAGGGAAAAGACAAGGGAGAGCCTGGGTGCTGGTTTGTGCCCCTCTTCTGGGGCTTTAAGATCAGTCTAATGAGTTGAAATGGGAAATGCTCTTCAGAAGCATCAGCTACCATCAAAGTTATCCTTCCTCAGCCCATGCTGTTGTGCTTGATTTAATCCATTTGGTTCTCGATTTGGAAACAAAAAGTATTTTTTGGAGCTCCTTTCTGTCTGGGTTAATCTTCCTTGGAATGTGTGAAGCAAAGAAAGAGTAACTGAACACAGTATGTAAAGAAGAAGGAGGGTGTCTGTGTGGGCTTGCAATCAGTGAGGGCTCCCTGGACGGGGTGAGGCTCTAGCTGGAGCTTGAGGACAGCCAGGATCAGAGAGATGAGGAGGAGGAAGGATAGTCCAGGTGACCAAGGAGACAGGTGAGCAATGGAGTGCCAGAGTGCCAAAGCAACGGCCAACTTGTAAATGACTGAGAGAAAGAGATGTCAGTATACTCAGGCACCTCTAATGGGGTTCGCTTTATTCAATAGCTTTAAAGAAGAGCAGCAGAGATCTACAACCAATTCTTGGGGGCTCAAATTGCTCCCAAGGCCACAAAGAAGAGCCAGACCAGTGGGAAACCACCCTGGCCTGTGTATAGAGTGAGTTAGACAGGCACAAAGAACAATTTTATGTTGGGGAGGAGAGGAGACAGCCAAGGATCTCCAGCGTGAGCTCCTGAGTGAGGGAAGCTCAGGGACACTGCAGGCCCTTCCTGTGAGGATAGGAAGGAAATATGCCTTTTCATTTTTCAGCTGATCAGTCAACTCCACAGGAACAAACCAGAGCTCAGAAAAATATGTCCATGGGCCGGGCATGGTGGGTCACCCCTGTAATCCCAGCACTTTGGGAGGCCGAGGTGGGCAGATCACTTGAGTTCAGGAGTTTGAGACCAGCCTGGCCAATATGATGAAACCCCGTCTTTACTAAAAATACAAAAATTAGGCAGGTGTGGTGGCACACACCTGTAGTTCCAGCTACTTGGGAGGCTGGACAGGATAATTGCTTGAACCTGGGAAGCTGAGATTGTGGTGAGCCGAGATTGTGCCATTGCACTCCAGCCTGGGTATCACAGTGAAACTCCATCTCAAAAAAGAAAAAGAAAAAAGAAAAATAGGTCCATGAAATGATGCCTCAATCGCCTGCCTTGTGAGGCGGGCAGTACTATGCCTGTATCACTGCAGATCAAGCAGCTTGCCAGGGTCCCCAGTTGTTGGGGTGGCAGAGCTTCCCAAAGGCAATGGGGTTGGAGGAGAGCCCTGAAACAGACCCTGAGGTTCTGTCCCCAGCCCCCAGAAGATATTTCTCTCAAGATCCTGGGGTAGGGGGTGACTTGCAGTCTCATCCCACCCTGTCTGCCAGGTCTGCCCCATGCCAAGAGATTCACTCCTAGCAGGGGAAAGGTGGCCTGATACTTCTACAACTTATAAGAAAATATTTCTCATCTGGCTTCCCTGTCTCTCAGACCATGTCCCTGCTTTTCTTCTCAAGGGCTCATTGTTATCTTGGAGACTTCTAAAATCTTCCTTTTTCCTGTGTTCAAATATGTCTCCGGAGTTATGCGATGGAGAATGACCCTGCTCAAATCTCCGAGCCATTACCATGCCATCTATGAGGTTAATGTCTGAAAGGATGAGAGTGGCCCAACAAAGCTGCCTTCCTGTGTAGGGGAGTGAGAGAGCTTGTCAAGAGGCCACAGAGGCTAAGGGGCATTGAGGTCTACTGAGGACACTCCTCTTTGATGAGTTCATGAATATTCAAACATGCAAATGACATACCATGTCTACAGGCCCCACAGTCTTCAACCCACTTTCAAGGGTGGCTGGTGGATTTATTTCTGTGTAGAAAATGGTTCTGCAGTGTGGGTCAGCTACTTTCTATCTGACCCTCTTCATACAATCACATATTTGTTTCTCAGATTATGACATACAGTACAAGAGATGGGTTTCTTTCTCTCCTTTTTTTGTTCTCTCTCTTTCTTATTTTATTATAGGAAATTTTGAACGTATGTAAACTTAAAGAGAATAGTATATTGAGCCACCATGGATTCATTTCCTAGCTTCACCAATTATTAACCCATAGCCAATCTCATTTCATCTATATCACCACCTACTCCCCAATTTTCAAAATTATTTTGAGGCAAATACTGGATATCATATCATCTGGGGACATTTCAAAAAGTATCTCTCAAAGATAAGAACTCATTTTTTAAAAGCTTAAAACAACAAGAACTTTTACAGTTCTGAAGGTCAGAAGTCTGAAATGGGTCTCATGGACTGAAATCAAGGTGTTGGCAGAATTGCATTCCCTCTGGAGGCTCTAGGGAAATATCTCTTCCTTACCTTCTCTAGCTTTTAGATGCTGCCTGCATTTCCTTGCTTGTGGCCACTTCATTCGGACTGTTGCTTCCTTCCTTACATTTTCTTCTCTGACTCCCTTGCCTTTTGTATAGATACCTATGTGATTGCATTATGCCCACCCAGATAATCCAGGATAACCTCTCCATCTTAGATCTTTAATCACATCTCCAGAGTCACTTTTGCCATTAAAAAGGTAGCCAGCCTATTTGAGATTAAGATATGGACACTTTGGGAAAGCCATTATTCTGCCTACCATATCAAGGAAAAAAAAATCTCATTCCAGTAATAAAAATGTCAGTCAATATAATAAGCAAGGCCTTAATGTGATCTCAACATTCTTTCTGTCCCAATTTATGACTTTGGGCTAGAAAGCTATAGGAAATTATTTTTCTGCATTTTGCTTCTCTTATGTTACCCAGATAGCTGGGCTTTTTAAATTTAAATTTTTATTTTTTTTTTCCTCCTGTACTAAACAAGGAAAGGGGGTAGTGATATTGGACTGTGAAGTTCTTACTTCCACTGTAATAATCTGCTTCTGTCTGTCTGGGTTGGTGGGTATTCAAAGGCAGTTCCTTCTCAAGGCGCACTTTTGTGGGTCCCTCTGAGATTATCTTGCTGAAAACATATAATTGCATAGCAGTGCATGGACAACGCAACTTCTTTGGATGACTGCTTCTAAGAAGGAGTCACTTTTTGGAAATATAACCACAACATCATCATGACTAGAAAAAAATATTAATTCCTAATGTCATCAAATATTCAGCAGGTATTCAATTACCTCTTTTTTTTTCAGTGTATTTGTTTGAATTGGGATCCAAAAAAGTTTTATATAATACCATTGGTTATCTCTTTTATTTTATGGTTTATTCTTTCATTATAAGATATAAATTTAAATATATATATACAGCTCTGCTTTTTTGGATAAATAGTAGCATAACATACACTTTTCTTTAACTTAGTAAAACATCCTGGAGATTTCTCCACGGTAATATACAGAGAGCTTCCTCCTCTTTTTTTTTTTTTTTTTTTTTTTTTTTTGAGACGGAGTCTCGCTCTGTTGCCCAGGCTGGAGTGCAGTGGCGCCATCTCAGCTCACTGCAAGCTCCGCCTCCCGGGTTCACGCCATTCTCCTGCCTCAGCCTCCCAAGTAGCTGGGACCACAGGTGCCCACCACCATGCCTGGCTAATTTTTTTGTATTTTTAGTAGAGACGGGGTTTCACCGTGTTAGCCAGGATGGTCTCGATCTCCTGACCTCGTGATCCACCCGCCTCGGCCTCCCAAAGTGCTGGGATTACAGGCGTGAGCCACCGCACCCAGCCTCTTCCTCCTCTTTTACAGCTGCATGGCGCTCCCTTATGTGGATATACTATAGGTTCTGGAACCAGTATCGTACTCATGGATACATAGGTAATTTCCAGTCTTTTCCTGTAAAAAACAGTGCTGCAGTGAGTGGGTTAAATCTTTTTATATTTTTGCCAGTGTATTTTTGGAATAGATTCCTGGAAATGGAATTGCTATGTCAAAGGGCAAATACCTAACGCAATTTTGCTAGATATTGCTGAATTTCCTTCCATAGGATTATATTATTTTGCCTTTCCACCAGCAATGTATGAACACATCTGTTTCCTCACAGCCTTCCCATCAGATGATGTTTTCAAACTCTTGGATTTTTGCAAGTGAAAAAGGGTATCTTGGGGTAATTTGCATTTGCATTGGGGGAGGGTTTTGATACCAAGAAGTGAGTAGTCATTTTCTTATTTAGCTAGCATTATAAAAGCCTCAATTAATCCCCTCTGTACATGTGAATAATTATCAGAGTGGGATGCAACTACTCAACACAAATATGACTTCCGGGTTTGTTTTATTAAATTGTATTTATAAATTCTACTTGCAGTTCTTATTCCTGGATGTACGTCATGTGAATGGCTGCTCAGTGTAACATGCTACCAGAAATGCCATATGTACCAGGCTCTGAGTACAGCTGGGTTTCCAAGGATCTGGGAAGATGGGAGGTGGCCCCATAAGCAGCTATATCTATCCACCATCTTGGTAGGCTCCCCAGTAAGTTATGTCAGGGTCCAGTTTTAGGGAGGGAGGGTCATCTTTCACATGCCTTCCTGTTCTTCAACCACAGGCTCATGTGGCAGACTCTTCTGTGTTGCCACTAGATGGCTAGGGCACCTTGGAAAGGGTGGTTTAGCAGGTGGAACTTGGCAAGGATCCTGCCCACAGTGATGACAACGTGGTTCAGTGGGCAGATCCAGGCACTCAATGAGGCAACTGCTATTAGTTGTGGCAGTTTTGTGAAAAACAGAACACCTACTTTTTCTATCCCAGCCTACTCGCCCAGACTAACATCCTTCTACAAATATACCTCAGTCTCGACTCTCCAGTCCTGCAGCCCTGTAGACATCGATCCATTTGCAAGAGAAGTGCCTCCTGGAAGAGGGAACATGGGTCCTGTGGAAGCTTGTGGTATCAGTGGGGCAAGCATAGATGTGGACTGGGGATAGGGGTTACCCATCGGCTGGTAGAAGCCCACACATGAGTTCCAAGGTTGTGCCAGGGAGAACTTGCCTTGTGTCCTGACAGCCCTATCTTGGGGGTGAAGACCTTATGCGTCTCAGAGGCCCATCAACCCGGATAGTGGGACTAAGGGGACTTTGGTGGAGTTATGGATGCCTAACAGGTTGGTTGCTCAGGGCTTGGATCAGCTGAGAAACAGCATCTCAGGTAGTGGCATAGCTGATAGGAAATCAGAAACAGTCAGCCTTTGAATTTCAGTCTGATTTTAGTCTTTAAGTGGCCATTTCAACCTATGAGAGACATGATAGATGAAACGACTGAGAATGTCATGATTCTGTCCCTTATGATGCCATGACAGTGATCTAAGAATGTTTTTTAGTCAGAAGCAATTACTAAAGGAATTTTCAAGTGAGATGTCAATGACAATTTGGTTTTATTAGAGTCACTGAAAGTTGGGGTAAGGGTCAGTATAATTTATCTGCCTACTGGTGGCCAGTCAGCCTCTCTATGCCATGACATGCCCATAAAAGGACTGAAGTGGGAGGTAGAGCAGGCTATCTGAGAAGCTTGGCAACTAGGAGCAGCCATTGCCAAGTTAGTTTTAGACAGAAGAGAGGTGTAAGCAGATTATTCATCCACATGGGTGCTTGTTTTGCTTTCCATAGGGCCATTGAGCCAGTGGTGAGGTATGAGGGAGGATTGTTTTTTTAATCTCTTACCTTGAGCAGTCTTTCTCAAGTACTTGGTGTACTTGGGCCTTGAGGACTTAAGACTTATCAGAAAATTTATTCGATTTGGTGTTTTCACTTTGGTTTAACTCTTAAAATGTATTTTTGGCCAGTAGTAAATTTGAAAAAGGTATGAATTATATACATTTACAGCCTTCCCCACCTCCTGCCTTTTAAGGAAGATGGTAGTTTTGTGTATTTCACCCCGCACCCCCTTATTGAGCTAATCAGGAGCAATGGGTGATGGTGAGAATTGCAGGTGGTCCTATAAGGTGAATAGAGGAAGAGCAGGTAGTTAGCCTTGGAAGAAAAGGGGAGATGGGAAAGGGTGAGGGATGGGAGGGTGAGATGAGATGGGAGTTCTTGCACAGAGTTAGACTTTGCAAAAGTAATTGTTATGACTATTTATGGGTTTTGTGCTGATTGTAGAATCCTGGGTAAGATAAAACTCCATTGGGTCTTCATTTTCAGAAGAGCATGAGGTTTAGAGAGGTTTTATAACTAGCTCAAGGACACATGGGTAGAGTGGCAGGGCCGGGGACTCAGTTTGTCCCTGGCTTTGTCTGATCCTAAAGCCCAATGTCTTAACTACCTATTGCTTCTGGAATGAAGCAGAGATCCATGGGATCCTGGCCTGCTGGACCTGATAAATGAGCCTGCAGAAGGAAATCCCAGAGAGAAAATAAGTCTCCCAAGTCATCATCAATATGGGAGTAGAACTTGAATCCCCAAGTGAAATGAAAGCACAGGGCATACATTCTAAACAGAAAAATCTATAAACAGTTAAAGATTAATGCACCTTAGTGAGGCTCTGGCCAGATTTAAAAAGAACAAATCTTGCCATAGCAATGTTTTTACGTTCTTGGGGCAGAATTATACAATGAAGAGATGAAAGGGGAGCAGCTGGTCAAACACGCATTGATTTCCAGGAAGCCTGGGATCAAGTCCTCTAAGGCCCTCCCTGTGAGTGAATCCAGATCAGGGCTCATGCTGACCCATGACTAAGAGGGGCGGCCTCGAGCAGTGTGCCAAAGTCACCCCTTCAGGGTTAGCCTCAAGGCCTCAGTATCTGTCTTGTCTCCTCAGAAGCAGCAGAGGATAAACACGATGTTTAGGCAGCTTGTGGAGAGTCTGTACTTCCAAAAAGATAAGAAATAGGCCAGGAGCACATTGATTCAAGAACAGAGAACACATTCCCAGTAGCATTATAATAATATTTATGAAGCCCCAGTGCCTCTGGAGAGATAGAGTCCAGTGCAATGAACAGAGCTGGGTTTTAGAGTCAGCCTGGTGTTGAGTCCCAGGCCCACCATTCTCTAGTTGAGTGGTCTTGGGTCAGTCAGTCACATAATGTCTCTGAGCCATCATCCTCACAGGGTTGTTTTGAGGAGTCAGTTTCCTTCTCTTCCTTGTCCCTGCAGGTCCTCCACTATCCAGCCCCAACATCTTTTCCCAGCCATATGCCCACTTCCCTTTTCATTACCATCTTGTGCTGGTGGCTTTGTCTTCTGTGCCCTCACAGTCCAGTCTTAGATTCCCTTCCTGTAGATCCCCTGGCCCAAATATTCTCCATCTTCTCTTTATCCTCCACTCACCAAGGTCCTTGTGTTCCAACTCCACCATGATCTCCACTCTGAATCTGGAGAACCCTGGGCTCTCCCAGAGGTGCTGCTTATACTGCCTTGGGTGGACAGAGATTTTTCTCATGCATGAGTGCTTGTTCACACCTGCTTCAGCTCCTTCACCCAGACTGTCAATTCTTTGTGGCTAGTGACTGTCTTAAATTCCTTCTGTATTCCTTGAAGCACCTGGTTAAGAGCTGGACACACAGTAACATGAACTTAAAAGAACTAGAGGAAGGTGCCAAAGCTGTGGGCTTATGAATCCTTTCAGCAAACACTTCTGGGCACCTTCTGGGTGCCTGAAACTGGGCTAGATGCTGAGGGCAGTGCCATGAGTGAGACACAATCCTGAGGAAGTCAAAGTCCAGTGGGAGACAGAAATGTAACAAGTAGAGGATTGTAAAATGTGCTTCAAGGTTAAGATGGTGGTTGATGGCATAGGAAAGCTGGCATCTTCAGGGAAAGTAGAATAACCAAATGTGGCTCAGCATGGCAAATGGGGAACAGTGGGGGGCAGGAGGGATGAGATGGTCCAATACACTGGGAGAAAATATTGGAGAGACAGGCGGGGCCAGGCCATGGAGAGCCTTACAGGTGATATCGAGCTACTTGGGTTCCATCCTGTAGAAAACAGGGAGCCACTGAAAAGGTTTAAGCACAGGAGTGTCACTACAAGAGAAAGAAGAAGAGGAGAGAAATGTGGTTATGGAAACAAAGTTATATACGTGAGCTTCTGTGGCAAGCCAGCCAGCACAACAGGAATGGAGCATACTGTAGGGGTGCAGTGGGTGGGGAGGGGAGGGTTCTGCCTTCCAGGAGATGGCCAGGGCTAATACAATGACAGGCACAGCTGTCTTGTTCTTGTGCCGCCATGCTCCAGGGCTATAGGGATGAGAGTGGGGTGTGAAGATCACCTTCCCACCCAGCCACAAATCCATCTTCTATCACAACAACCTCCTTCTATCTACCCACATAATACACCTCCACAGGAATTGTCCCACCGCCTACCTATTCATCTATCTACACACTCACTCGTTCATATACAGCATTGCACGTATAACTATCCTTCTGTCCTTCCTTCCAACTGTCCATCCGTCTTTATTTTAAAACAGATATTTTCACTTTAGTGCACGATTGAGAATCACAAGGGATGCAGAGAAATGCTCGAGGCCTGCGTAGATTACAGAAGTGGCCATAAATCACAATGCTTTGCAGCTCCTCTCATCAAGAGATGGGGTATATTTTCCCAACCCTTGAATTTAGGCTGGCCTCATGACTTGCTTTGATCAGTAGAATTTGTGGTGGAAGCAATTAGTTGTTATCGGTTCTGGGCATAACCTCCAGAGGCCTTGCAGCTTCTGTTCTCAGACACTTGGGACACTACTACCTGCTTCCAGGTGAACACATCTGGCTGGTCTGATGGGTGACAGACACATGGCTCAGCCACCCACATTATCTCAGACAACCACCAGTCACCACTGTACATGTAAGTGAGCCCAGGCAAGATCAGCTGATCTTTGCCCAGAGGTACCAGCTAACTGTTAGACTCATGAAAAATAATAAGTGGTTCTGATTTTAGATCACTTAATTTTGGAGTGGTTCATTACACAGCAAAAGGTAATGACTCAAGGGAGTAGCATATTCAAAATCCTGCCCATCTTAAAATAATTGTATCTGCACATAGGCTCCCGGGGCCCTTGACAAAGTACTTGCCTTTATTTTCCTTGACAGACCAAATAGTGGATGTGGAGGAGCCCCAGGCAAGACACAGGAGCACTGGGATACATCGTGATGAGCATAAAAGAAAGGTTCAGAAATTTTTTTTCATAAAGCCTGATGAAGACCATGACGAGGATGATCCCAGCCACTGTTTGCGTGGTCACCATGTAGCAAATATGTTGCGTATATTATCTAATTTAATCCTTGAACCACAGCATGGGATAGGTGTTCTTATCACTCTTTTACAGATGCAAATAATGAAATTTGGAGAGAGTAAGTAATTGGCTGAATACCGCATACATAGTTTCAAGTCAAAAAATCTTAATTCTAACCCAGTTCTGTGTGATTCCAAAGCCCACACTGTTTTCTGTTATTGCCACACTGTGGAGTCATTATTTGGGTAGCCTCCTTGGAGGTGTGGGATAGGGTGTGATTTTTGTTGAATTCACACCTTTCAGTTGGTTATTTCTCAGTCTAGGGTCCACCTGAGGAACTAAGAAAACCATTTTGTTTGGGCCTCTGGATGTCTGGGCAACCACAGTGTACCTAAGGGCAGGAGAAGCACAGAAAGGGGCTCAGGGAGGACCGGGGTGATGAAGCAAGAACACAGTTGGTTAACTTAGAGCTTAGGGTTGGGTCAAGATGCCCGGTGTGCTACTGAGAATTGATGCAGTGGTCTGGAGACCTGAGAGTCCAACTCAGACTTGCTCTGGAAATCTGCCTGCACCCCATTTCATTCCAATCTTTCCAGGTCAGGCAATGTAAATGGATTTCTCCTCATGGACTCTCTGACATTCCCTGATTCAGAGGCAGAGAACCCCCATATCGCCTCAGTTATCTAATACAGAGTGACACCAACATAAGCCTTGAGGTCAGAGGAGGGGGACCAGAGTTAGGAGGGGGAGCTTTCTGGAAGACACGGGGCTCAAGGGGGTCCCAAAGACAGAATAGTACTAAGAGGGGATAGGAGGAGAGGGGAGTGCATTCTGGATCAGAGAAATGGTATGGGCAAATATTGTGAGGTGGGAAGCCAGTGATTTATTACAGCAACAGAGAAGATCTCAAGATGTTCAGGGGAGAGGGTTCATGGATAAACAACTAGAGAACAGACAGGAGCAAAAGGAAGTGATGAGATTCAGAGGCTCAAAGGTCGACCGAGAAGCCAGGCGTTTTTCTCGAGATGATGAGAAGCTATTGAATGCTTTTGACACCCGAGTGACTGCAGCACAATTTGAAGATATTTTGGGAGGAATTATCTTGGGAGGGGGTGAAGGGCAGATGCGCTCCATCCCCTAGGAGCTCTGCAGAGGTTCATCAGAGGCCAAGCTGTCTGCTGCTGCCAGGGCACGCCTACCTGCATTTCTTCCTTCTCTCAATTCTCAGTGTCTCCTAAATAGAGACCATTTGCCTCAGAGTCCTGGGGTGTTGTTAAAGCCCAGATTCCTGGGCCTACTCCAGGTTACTGAATCAGAGTCTGGATGCGCCCAGCAGATGGCATCTTTACCAAGCTCTGTAGGTGAGTCTTATGCTCTCTGCATGTTGGGAACCTGAGCCCAGATATCTTTATAGCTCAGTTGCCCTGGCCACTTCCCTGTGCTCTGACCCTGGCAATCTGGGGCAATCTGAGGCCCAGGGCCTTGGCCTTCCTGTCTCTATTAGCAGGAGCTCAGTAGATGTCCATTAGTCATAACTGAGATGGCAGAGGACACCGTGGGCCTGATAACATTTGTGAAGGCTGGGGAGAATTTTCTGAAATAATCTCCATGGCTGGCACAGTGTTGACATAGATGTGAATGTCTGGGCTTGGTCTGGCTGTTCCAGAAAAACAGTATTGCTCATCACAGCAACCATCACCATTGTCCACTTCTGGCCTGCTGATGGCAGGCTTTCCAGCCAGGCTGTGGTCTTATTTCACCCATTCATTCACTCAGGGTTTGAGTTACTTTCCCTCCTCCCTCCCTCCCTCCCTCCCTCACTTCCTTTCTTCCATCATCCCCCTACCCTTCTTTCTATTTAAGATGCAAGGAGCAGAAACAGATTCTGGAGAACTTAAGAAATAAGAAAATTTATTAGATGGATTATCAAGCAGTAAACAACATTTTTGGGAGGGAAATAAGAAAAACAAGTGTGACCTCATACTGGGTTCTGGTTAGAACACAGCCACTAGAACAAACTCCAGTCTTTTTCAGTCTGTTGCTGTACTTCAGGTTTAAAATCTGGGAATGAGCATGCAGCAATGCTCCACCAGATGAGGAAGAAAAGCTGTTAAAAGGAACTCAGGATGTTGTTAGGAAGGGGGAGTGGATGCCAGGCCTTCACCAGACTATCCAGAAGCCATTCCATGGGGTATTTGGTCTGCATACTGTGAGACACTGAGCTGGTTCCAACACAGCCCCTGCTGTCACCAGGTACACAGTCAGGCCAAGGAGACAGCCACGGAAATGGGAAAACCAGGATGAGTGGAGATGTGACTGGGGATGTACAGGGGCTCGGGAGCACAGAGGAGAGACTCTCCTCCAGCTTTGATGGGAATGAGGTGCAGGGTACTGGTTAGGGAAGACAGGTCTCTGGAAGAGATGACACCTTGAGATGAGATGAAAATCCACACAATCCTCACAAGCATCCATTTGTACAAATTTGCCATCCTTTTTCCAAGAAGCCAGTTGAATTTTGGAGACAAGGTTCTGGGGCTGCAGAGGATTGGGCCCTCATGCCTGGCTTGATGCTCCCAGTTCTGAGCTCAGTGCGCCTCTTGGGCAGGAGTTTCCTGGTTCCTCTGCAGAATCGGCCTGAAGGTGGTGGCTCACCAGCCAGCTTCAGTCCCTTTCCTCTGCCCTCCCCTGTGGAAGTCAGGCTCATCCAGGCCCAGCTTCTGCCCAACCAGCCAGGCTCAGGTGCTGGATGCCCACAGTGGAAGGAGAACAGTGAAGAGGGGCTGACATGTAGGTGCCATCCCCGCCAGCTTTCCTTTCTCCCTCCAGTGGTGTGGTTTGGCCACCAGCATGCCACCCTAGTCTACTGCCTCTAGCAAAACAGGAGTAAGAGGATATATGCACAAAATGCCAGGTTACTTGGGTTACTTTGTGATTTAAGGGGCACTTACTCAACTGTTTGGGGTGCCTATCATTTCCTTCTTCCTACTTACTCTTCCCCTTTACAGAAATGTCACTGCCACAGTTTGAAGAAGAAACATATGGCCCCGACCTGCCAGTCATGGCCACATGGGCAAGGATGAACAAGTCCATTCAGGGACAGCGCATGTCTCTGGGAATTTGGAATCATGACACTGAGATGAGGGGTGAAGGGGGAGGGTCATCTGGCCATAGATGTTAAGGCTGCTGGATAGGGAGAGAGAAGGAGAGAGAAGAAGAGAAAGAGAGAAGATAGGGAAGAGAGAGAAGGAGGGAGAGAGAGGGAGAGAAAAGGAGAGAGAAAGGAGAGAGAGGAGGAAGGAGAGAGAGAGGAAGAAAGAGATGGACAGAGGGAAGAAGAGGGAGAAAGGGGAAGAGGAGGGAGAGAGGGAAGGACAGGGAGAGAGAAGGGAGAGAGAAAGGAAGAGGAGGAGGAGGGAGAGAGAGAGGGGAGAGGAGGGAACTTCAATTTCTTCTTTTTTTCCCAGTTCTCCTGAAACCTATCATATGTCCTGTCATTGGGTCCTTCCATTCTTGACATTCTTATGATACCTGATGCTCCCACCTCCTTTATTTAGGCAGTTTGAAGAGTTCCTTTTTGCCAATAATTAAAAATAATCCTTGACTTAGGCACCCAGCAAATGCTAGGAACAATGTTTGCCCGTGAATTGCTATCTCTTTGTGGCAAATAAATTCCTGAAATTCTTCATCATAGATTATCTGTTGAAATAAATAAATGGATTTTGCTCATGTTTGTCTCAAAGATAATGAAGGAGATTCTCTGGAAAGGAATAAGGAAATGAGAATTTTAGCAGCTCTATGGGATTCTGCTTTTTATTTTTTTAAAAATCAACTTACTTAAAATCTACTGTCTACAATCTGGTAAGATCTATTAGAATAAAATGTACACATACCATTTAACATAGCAATAAACACTCCTGGGAATCTATCCAACAAAAGCACTGGCTTCTAAGGGTTTATGCATAAGAGTGTTTGTTGCAGCATTGTTTGTAGCAGGAAAAAAAAAACTAGAAAAAAACTTTAGACAGTAACTTACTAAACTGTTCTTCTAAATATTGTGTTGCACATACTATCAAGTATATGTGTATAAAAAGGGGTTCTTCCCAGGAGGCAGAGGTTGCAGTGAGCCAAGATCGCGCCACTGCACTCCAGCCTGGGTGACAGAGTGAGACTCCATTTAAAAAAAAAAAAGGTGGGGGTTCTTTGTGAAAACATGCCTCAGAAACACTGGTTTACACAAAGTTAAACAGGTTTGTTTATCATGGGCTTCTCAGAACAATTCAGATGATTATTCAGACATTATTTTATGAAATATTTATTGAGCACCCACTATGAGCCAGAAGCTGTACTTAGGAGAAGAGTCAACAGTTTCAGGAGTCATGAGTGTCCCCAAGGAGAAGGGCAGGGAGGTAGGACTGCAGTGGGCAGAGCCAGAGAGGCTTCCTGCGAGACGTGACTTGAGGTAGAGAGTTGAAGAAGACTCTGAGTTACTCCAAGGAAGTGGAGAAGCAAGAAAGCGTGCCAGGCAGAGGGAACAGCACCTGCTGGAGCACTCATGGGAAGGAGGGTGGGGTGAGAAACTGGAGAAAGCCCCATGGATGAAGCAGAGACAGAAAGAGCTGCCGGGGGGAGGCGGCCACCCCATGAGGAGCTGGGTTTTCACTTCAAATGCAAGCAGGAGAAACTCAGGGGAATTTTTCTTTTAAACACCTTAATTAAGGTGTCATTTAAATAACACAATATCTACCCATTTTATGGGCACAGTTTGATGAGCCTTAGTAAATGTACACAGTTGTGCAACTATCATCACAATCTAGTTTTAGAACATTTTTATCACCCCCAAAATTTTCTTGTGCCCACTTGCTGTCAATGCCATTCCCAGGCACTGACCTGCTTTTGCTTCTATAGTTTTGCCTTTTCTAGAAATTTCATGTGAATGGAATCATTTAATATGTATCTTCTGTGTCTGGTTTCTTTCACTTAGCTCATTTTGAGGTTCATCCATGTTGTTGCAGGCATCACTAGTCCTTTGTAAAATTGCTGAACAGTATCCCATTGCATGGATATAATACATTTGTTTATATATTTGTCAGTTGAGGGGCACCTGAATTGCTTCCTGTGTTTACTATAGTGAATTATGGTGCTACAGATGTTTGCCTATAAGTCTGAGTGGACATATGTTTTTACCTCCTTTTAATAGATATCTAAGAGTGGATGCTAGATTGATTTGAACTATTTTAGTGGGCATAAAATGGTATCTCAGTGTGGTTCTGGTTTGTATTTCTCTAATGACTAATGGTGTTGAGCACCTTTTCATGTGCTAATTATATTCATCTATGTTATCTTCTTTGGTGAAACATCTTGTTTGGGGACTTGCTTGAGGGACTCACAGACCTCAGAGGCAGTTGCATCCATGCAATGGTTACCATAGTGAAACACCACACAACAGGAGGAAAGGCACATAAGGTAGAGTCTGGAGGTGTCCACATGCAGGCTTTTAAAGTTCTGTCTTCTAGGGTGGGGTTTGCACTGAACATGCTTCTCTCCCCAGCAGTGAAATGCAGCAACAGTGCATGCTGTTTCTGCCTGGGGGCCTTGCTTGAGACTCGACATCCAGAGTTTTTTGTGGCCTAGTGATGTAGGCACTCTTCTGCCACACAACCAATGGTGATTACTGAAATTCCAAACTCCTAGGAGAAAAGCAGGTGTGCACCATTAATCATACTGTTTGTACAAACAGTTTAGGCAAGCTGGTACTGTAGGATTCAGTGCCCTGGGAAGGCAAAACAGCCTTATCAGCTGGAAACATAGGTAACATTCCAAAAGCCAGGTTCTCAGATGCCAGGCAAAGGCCAGCTCCACAGGCAGACCCTTCTACAGAGCAACATCAGGCCTGCTGTGTTCCCGTCTCCCGCACATGTCTAGTCAAATCTTTTGGTCATTTTTTAATTGAGTTGTTAGTCTTCTTATTTTTGTCATCAGAGTTCTTTAGATATCCTGAATTTAAATTGTTTATTAGATATACATTTTGCAATTTTTTCCCCAGTCTGTGGCTTATCTTTTCATTTTCTTAATGTCCCTCAGAAGGAGTTTGGGAAGGGAAGTAATATGACCAGATTTGCACACACATACAGCTGCCCTACCTGCTATGTGGAGAATGGACTGGAGGGGTCAGGACTGGATTGGGGCATCCTGTTAGGAGGCTGTTGGGTGATCCAAGTGAGAGATGATGGCAGTTTGGATGGAGAAGCAACAGAAGGGATGGAGAAAAGCAGCTCCATACAGCGGGTGTATAGAAGGTAGGACTGAGAGGGCACGCACTCCACACATTATAGATTTTCAACAGGGGAACAGAAAGGAGGCCTCCCCAAACTCATGCACAGAACACATTATTATTATTCTTTCTAGTAGTGAAACTCCATTCATTTGTGGGATTTACATATTTGATAATTTGGAAATGTAGGACAAGATGAATTTGAAGATTCCCTCTAGTCCTCACAGTCTGTGGTGCCATGAACAATCCTCTATGAGGTTATTTCAACAATACTAAAATACTCTGAGGCGTGTGCCTAGATGCATTATTACAGATTGTTTATTAGTCACACATGTATATCTATAATGCCAATTTTTGATCCAGGAAAATAACTTCATGACTGAAACTGAACACAATCTGTGCATGAAGATCCTTGCAGAAAGGGAGGGCAGAAATACTGTTAGCCTAGAAAGTGTGAGGATGGGGATAAGGAAATTCATATTCATGTATTAACCCAATTACCAAATGTACCTTGCAAATCTGGAGCGCTGTTGGTTTAACATGGGATTTCACATCATTCCGTCCCAAGTGACACAGACAGTATTATAAATGAAAAATCCTTTCCTCAGGCTAGGATACAGAGCTCCTCTCATTTGGGCACTACATGCTATCACAGGAGAACCTTTATTTAAGGCTGGAAATTCTATTTACTCAGGAGCCCAAACCACTGTTTTTCTGTTCTTGCAAAATAAACAAAACACCCTGGCAAAGCAGATGCAGAAAAGACCCGAGGGAACGGAAAGGAATGTGGAATCAGGTATGCAGGTCAGTGTTAACACAATAAGTCAGGAGCACAGCAGTGATACATATTTCTCTTCTGATGCTAAAAAAAGGAGGCTACATGAATCAATGAGATAAAGTGAGAGTACAGAAATTAAGACATATAATGTTTTATTTATATATGTATTTAATGAAGTAGGTTTTGTTGTTTTATTTTAGAAAGAGACAACATAAAGGCTCAGAAATGGATGTTTTGCCTGGTAGGGGCTGCATGATGCACACATGGATCAGGGAGATGATGACATCACCTCCAGACTGGTTGGACTTGGTGCCCTGAGCCTATGGAAAGCCTGGACAGGGGCATGGGGGCTTCAGACACCTGCTGTCAGGTGCATGATGCAATAAGGTACCCCTTCTCCAGGAAGTGATGATGAATCCAGCTCAGCATGCTGCACATTTTGGCCTCTTCTTCCTCAAGGCCTTTGCATGTGATGTTCCCTCTTCCTGAAAGCCAGCTGCCTCCACCCATCCCCAGATCTTGTGAACTCACCCTTCAGGTCTCAAATACATTGTCACTTCCCTTCTGTCTACACTGTCATCAGGGCAAATGGCAAATCCATTTTGTAGAGTCAAAACCTTGTATAATTTTGAAGGCCCTTTTCCAGAAATAAGAATAAAAATTATTGATTTGAAATTAGAGATCCATATAATTAGGGCCCTTTCTGGGACCCTGGAAACAAAGATTCTCTGCCCCTGGGGAGCTTCCAGTCTGGCTAGACATGCACTGGATCCAAAGAAGGCTGGGTAGGCTGAAGTCAGAGGCACTCAGAGTCTTAGAAAACCAGAACTAGAAGATAATTTAGAGGTGTCTGATTAAACCTCCCATTTTAGAGGCAGGGAAATGGAGGCTCACAGTGGGGGAAGGGAGTTAGTCAAAGTCACACAGCTTGCTGTGGCAGCTTTTGGACAAGGCTGTCTGATTCCTATCCCCCTGGATTCTCAGGGTCCTTAGGGACCTCTTGGAGTGCAGAGTTCATTTAGGGTGAGGAATGGCTGGCAGCTTCAGCGGTTGCAGGGATCAAAATCTGCTCCCCACCCTGACCTTGCTGGATCCAGAAAATCCTGATTTCCTACTTCACTTCATGACACATATGCAAACACTGAGATGTTTTGCGGGGGGGGAGAAAATAGATTCTTCCTAACGGGCCCTTTGTTTTTCTGCATGACTAAACCTGTAGCAAGGATGAACCAGAGTAAAACCATGGAGACGTAAATTCTGAATGCATTCAGTCATGTGGTCAGCAAGTATAATGAGTAAACCCAAACATAATTAGGCCAATCAAAACCTTTCCCTAATTTGGTAACGGAATGACAAATCCTACATGCACATGAGGCCCCTGTTCTAATATTTCAGAGACCTACCTGAAAAGAGCTATCGGCCCAGTGGTTTCTTTTAGAAGGCCGTTTGTGTGGCACCAAAAAGCAATTGCTTCCTCCATTCCTACTACCTGGAAACACAAACTTTTAAATTCATGCCAGTTCAATTGGAACAGTAGCAAATTTCATGAAGCAGCTAAAAAGAAGAGCAACAGCTGGTACATCAGGCATTAATAATATAACAAAGGAAGAAAAAAGAGAAATTTTTCATTAGTACTTTTTGATGTCAATTTATTATTTATCCCTTTGCCAGTATTCAAACAGACAGGCAGTCATAAAACATTAAAAAAGATCCTTTAAAACGGTCAGGCATCTGTTTTACCTCAGTTCCTTTTTAGAAACCTGGAAATCAGGAGCCCCGGCTTTTATGCTATAGCAAGTTTGACACTTGCTGTATCAAAAATATTGCTTGAGGATCACTACGTAGAAAGAGTTTTGTTTAAATTTTATGAAAAGCTGGTTAGGCAGGCAGACAATGGTTTCTAAGGCAAGATCCAGTGTAAATCAGCAATGTGCTGTTTCCAACTGTTTGACTCCTCAGTTCATATTCTGAAACCAGGGCGTTGACAAAACCCACTGTTCAGTAATTAGCATCCTGTCAAATCTTTCCAATCAAGACTAGCATGCTGCACCTGGTCCTAGTTAAAAAACACATTGTGGGCAATTCTGATCTGACCCTCAGGGGCCGCTGCCATGCTCAGAACTGCATTCAGCGTGCATGCCATAATTACCATCCACACAAAATAAGTAGACCTCCTTGTCCAGCAGCTCTGAGAGATTCTGCCTAATCCTAATGACCTGCCACACCATTTTAACTTCTTTGATAAATGTCTATCCTTGTGATTTAGACCTTTCCTCTCCTGTAAAGAAGGTATCTCTTCCTGGGACAGAAGACTCCTCAGAAGTAGAATCACTGTAGAAATAAAGCAAATGAAAAATGGAGAAGCAAAAACCAAAGTAAAACAGAAACCTTAACAGCCCTCTCCCCAGCAGGAGCTTGTTGGAGGAGGTGTGGGTGCTGAGTCCCCCCTCCCTAGCTTGTCTTGCCCTCAGTGCTCTGGGTGCTTTTGCCTTTCCAGGTACTGCCCTTGGTGTAGAGGCCATGGTCCTTGATGTACGTGATGACAGCATCGGGAATCAGGTACTTTACGCTCTGCCCTTGGCCCAAGGCTCGCCTGATGTATGTGGCACTGATCTCATTCTGCACAGGCTCCTTGGCCAGGTGAATGTTGTGCTGGTGCATCCGTAGGATGGGAGATTCTGCGATGTAACCTTTTGGGTCGTGACCTACTCGGCCCACGCACACCAAGCCAAACTTCTCCACTATTTCCTGGATGTGCGCATCCTTCCAGAGGTTGGGGGTCTGGAAGGTCTTCAAGACGTCTGCCCCACAGAGAAGCTTCAGCTCAGGCACAGCTGCAAAAACAAGGATGGACCCAGTAAAGTTAGAGAGAGGTCACTGCCAGGAAAGACAACATCATTGGAAAGTCTCACAAAATGCTTTTCTTGGATGTATCGAGAACTCAGTGTCTCCATGTTCATGACTTGAAAAGAAAAAGCATGTAAATGAATCTGCAGCCATTTCAGGGAATACAGTTGTAAGTAATGATTTAATCAATACACCTTTTGTTTAATATTGGAAAAGTGCCAAGGAATACGATTTTTTTTCTTTTCAGTGTTCTAACAGAAGTCTGTCTGTGGTTGCTTTGGACCAAGGCAGAGTGCTCTAAAGGTGGCTGTGCTGTACCCAGTACTGTGTCTTCTGATAGAAGGTAAGGTTCTGAAAGCTCTGAGACCAACAAGCCATGGGCCTTGGACAAGTCACTGCCTTATTTGAAATCCATTTCAGCCCTTGTGTTACTAGGAACTAGTACCTGGCACTTTTATATAACAATCTCACTATAAAGATTAATTATAAAGGCTCTTTGGATAAACAAAAGGTCTCTAAGACTCCAGCTGGTGGCCTTTTCATTGCAGTTTCCAATAAAACAAAGCTCTAGAACAATGCTTAATGTGGATAATCCTTTGGAATGTGTTCTAACAGAATGCTAATTGTGATAATGAAATAATACATAACATTTATTGGGAGATTACTGTGGGCACTACTACTAAGCTCTTTATGTGTATAATACCATATGCACCCCAGAACAATTTATGAGGTGAGTATTGTGCCCATTTTATGGAGGGGGCAACTGAGGCAGAGAGAGATAAGTGACTTGCCTGAGGTCACTCAGTTAGGCAGATAAGTCAGGTGTCAAACCCAGGCAGCCATCCTCCAGGTGTGGCATTTGTAACTGCTGGGTTCTGCTGCTGCCTGCTGGTGGAAATCTGTACCTGCATTATACTGGAGAAGCCCTTCCTAGAGTTCCAGACTGATTTTCCTGGCACTATCCGTGTCCCTCTTGGTGAGCTAATCAGCAAAGGAAATCCAAGTCTATGCTAGAAACAAGCTGCAGGGTCTCTGATTCTTCCAGAAGCTGATCCCAGCTTCAGTAAATGGCAAAGACTGGGGTCCCAGAGTACTGGCCCCTGTCAGTCACCACAAAGTCTGAGTAAAGAGAGGCTCCAGGGCTACCATACTGGAGAAAAACTTGTGTAAATGGTCAGTTTAGGATCCTCTAAGGTGGAACCTTTAAAGGAATCCAAATGTGGACCAGAGAGATGAGTTCACACAAAAGCACTGGAGCAACTGTGGAATGGAAAGTGAGAGACTGGAGGTGTCATGGAGAAGTCTGAGTCCTGGCCTCAACTGGGCACAGGCTGCTGTGCGGCCAGAGCCAAGACCTTTCTCTGGGTATCAGTTTCCCCATCCATGAGATGATGAGCTCTAGACTCATTTAAAGCAACATATGCAATCACAGAAACACACTTTTCAAATGCTCTAGCGGCATAATACTGGTCTAGTAAACGATATTCAAACATTCCTTCATTCATGCATGTATGAACTCTTAGTGGTTACAAACTAAGACTCTAGAGCCAGACACCTTACACCCAAATTCTGGTTCTGACGTTCAATACCTCATGTGATCTCAACTTTAAAATGAGGATATTACCCTTCATTTATTCATTCATTCACTTATCCATTTACTCATTTATCTACCACTCTATTCATAGAAACACCCACTCAACATTTATGAATTGTCTCCCAGTGTCTGGCCTTTTTAAACCAATAAAACAGCATTTAACAATTATTCAGTAACTCACACTTTTCACTAATTTGGGCTGGTCCCATTGCTCACAACACATATGTATATTTGAACGGTTCTGCATCTGTGAAGTTTTACTCCAATTTCTTATCTATCCAACCAGTGTAGTATAAAGGAGAACAGTGTTTGGTCTTTCAAACAATTAGGTAGTTTTATGTGGTCTTCCTATGGGGGAGGTACTATGATGTGCATTTCATTCCAGGATTTGCTGGGACCTGGGACACACCCCCTCTCTTCCTACAGGTCAGAGAACAGAGAAGATACCACCTCCTTTTTCCAATAGATTTTTTTGTGGGGACAATTTCTGCATGTCAGTTTCAACATTGGGTACCGTTTGATTCATTAACAATGACAGCAAGGAATACTATTCACTTTGAGCCTTGCCTAGAAGGAACAAGGGCCCACACCTCCCCTGCCCCCCAAATCAAAGGCATGTCTGTGAGGCTGGTGGTGCCTGTTATTTCATGACGACAATACCATGTGATAGATCACTTCTCGGGCAACATGGGCCTCAGACTTCTAATTCCTGGCAGTCCTGTCTTCAGGGCTCACAAACGCATTCACACATCTCTTCCAAATCCATTTACAACACTGTTACAAAATTTTTAGACCGAGTGACTCTATCCAAGTCCTAAGTATGTAACTCCAGGGTGTAGTATAAAGAAATCAATACGATTTCTCCTAACAGTGATACAGATACATAAACAAATGGGATGTCCATAGGCATTCTGGGGGCAGTGTGCTCTACCTTTGAGTAGCTAAGGGCTTTGAAAGGTAGATAAAACTGAAATTTACATAGACTGTGAGGGAAGTGCCACTAGGATCTTTGAAAGTTTGGTTGTCCTAAGTCTGTGAGATCAAAGAACACCAATCTTGAGGTCAGTCAGCTCTGGGTTCAACTTTAAATCTGCTGGTACCCTCAGGAAAATTACTTAGCCTATGGGCCTGTTTCTTCAGCCATAAAATGGGGATAGTAAAGCTTTCTTTGGAAGTTATGGGAATTGAGTGATGGAGAGAATGCAATGTAAATTTCCTGTCTGGCGCAGCATGTGAACACTGCCACCAACAGTGATGTCTGTCATGGTACCTCACAGACACACTCAGAAATGTGGGACTTCTGGGTCTAAACAGGACATGAGAGATGAAGCATCTGACAGGCAGCACCTAAATTTACCATACAAGGCCACCTTGGAACATTCAGTATAAAACGGAAACAGATAAAGGGCCTGCTCTGTTGGGAGAGGGAATCCTCTGAATGTGGCTGAGCTGTGCTTGGTTCCATCAGCCATGGGTGGGCGCCACCTTCACAAAAGACAGACAGAGTCAGCTGTTAAAGAACTGAAGGCATCATCCATCCCAAAGTGTCACACCCAAGCAGCCCAGAATGTAGCAATCCATATGACTCTGGGTGAGCCCAAGGAGGCCTGCAAATCATAGAAGTGATGGGCAAAGCAAGGCTCTGGCAGCCAGAAATTGCCGAGCTCATCACGTAATTTGCAACCCCAGAGTATAACAGCACACCAATAAAATACGCAGCACACAAAATGGTCCTTTAGAAATATGTCACTAGTAACACACATGCCATCTCATCAAAAGCCAAACTTATGCTGAGAAAAATTCCACCTTCCTGTTTTTAATTGCTCTACATTTTACCCCAATTACAAACATCAAACTGTGTTCATTATGGAATGTATGGAAAATATGTAAGTATTTAAAGCAGAAATAACAACAACAATATTAATTCTGCTTTCTACAAAACACCATCAGTTTTTAGTGTATTTCCTTAGTCTTTTCTATTTAGACATGCTAACAGATGGGAAGTATAGTCATATTTTTATATACTTAAGATTATATGCAGTATTGTATCCTGATTTTTTTCCACTTCCTTCATAAGTGTTTCTCCACATCATCAAAACCTTTTATGTAGTTTCTTTATGCTATGTATACAGTATAATTTAGGTATACTTTCCTTTATATTTAAACATTGATATTGCTTTTACTTCCTGCCATTGTAAAAACTGTTGTGATAAACATCTTTCTGCATAAATCTTTGTCCCAATCTCTAATTATTTCCTTAGCCAGATTCCTAGAATGGGAATTTATCAAGCAAAGAGTGCAAAGATTTTTAAAGTCCCTGATATATTTTGGTAAACTGAAAAACATAGTTTTCTTTTTTTAAAAATTTTATTATTATTGTACTTTAAGTTTTAGGGTACATGTGCACAACGTGCAGGTTTGTTACATACGTATACATATGCCATGTTGGTGTGCTGCACCCATTAACTCGTCATTTAGCATTAGGTATATCTCCTAATGCTATCCCTCCCCCCTTCCCCCACCCCACAACAGTCCCTACTGTGTGATGTTCCCCTTCCTGTGTCCATGTGTTCTCATTGTTCAATTCCCACCTACGAGTGAGAACATGCGGTGTTTGGTTTTTTGTCCTTGTGATAGTTTGCTGAGAATGATGGTTTCCAGTTTCATCCATGTCCCTACAAAGGACATGAACTCATCATTTTCTATGGCTGCATAGAATTCCATGGTGTATATGTGCCACATTTTCTTAATCCAGTCTATCGTTGTTGGACATTTGGGTTGGTTCCAAGTCTTCGCTATTGTGAATAGTGCTGCAATAAACATACGTGTGCATGTGTCTTTATAGCAGCATGATTTATAATCCTTTGGGTATATACCCAGTAATGGGATGGCTGGGTCAAATGGTATTTCTAGTTCTAGATCCCTGAGGAATCGCCACACTGAATTCCACAATGGTTGAACTAGTTTACAGTCCCACCAAAGTGTAAAATTCTCCCTATTTCTCCACCTCCTCTCCAGCACCTGTTGTTTCCTGACTTTTTAATGATCGCCATTCTAACTGGTGTGAGATGGTATCTCATTGTGGTTTTGATTTGCATTTCTCTGATGGCCAGTGATGATGAGCATTTTTTCATGTGTTTTTTGGCTGCATAAATGTCTTCTTTTGAGAAGTGTCTGTTCATATCCTTTGCCCACTTTCTGATGGAGTTGTTTGTTTTTTTCTTGTAAATTTGTTTGAGTTCATTGTAGATTCTGGATATTAGCCCTTTGTCAGATGAGTAGGTTGCAAAAATTTTCTCCCATTCTGTAAGTTACCTGTTCACTCTGATGGTAGTTTCTTTTGCTGTGCAGAAGCTCTTTAGTTTAATTAGATCCCATTTGTCAATTTTGGCTTTCATTGCCATTGCTTTTGGTGTTTTAGACATGAAGTCCTTGCCCATGCCTATGTCCTGAATGGTAATGCCTAGGTTTTCTTCTAGGGTTTTTATGGTTTTAGGTCTAACATTTAAGTCTTTAATCCATCTTGAATTAATTTTTATATAAGGTGTAAGGAAGGGATCCAGTTTCAGCTTTCTACATATGGCTAGCCAGTTTTCCCAGCACCATTTATTAAATAGGGAATCCTTTCCCCATTGCTTGTTTTTCTCAGGTTTGTCAAAGATCAGATAGTTGTAGATAGGTGGCATTATTTCTGAGGGCTCTGTTCTGTTCCATTGGTCTATATCTCTGTTTTGGTACCAGTACCATGCTGTTTTGGTTACTGTAGCCTTGTAGTATAGTTTGAAGTCAGGTAGCATGATGCCTCCAGATTTGTTCTTTTGGCTTAGGATTGACTTGGCAATGCGGGCTCTTTTTTGGTTCCATATGAACTTTAAAGTAGTTTTTTCCAATTCTGTGAAGAAAGTCATTGGTAGGTTGATGGAGATGGCATTGAATCTATAAATTACCTTGGGCAGTATGGCCATTTTCATGATATTGATTCTTCCTACCCATGAGCATGGAATGTTCTTCCATTTGTTTGTATCCTCTTTTATTTCATTGAGCAGTGGTTTGTAGTTCTCCTTGAAGAGGTCCTTCACATCCCTTGTAAGTTGGATTCCTAGGTATTTTATTCTCTTTGAAGCAATTGTGAATGGGAGTTCACTCACGATTTGGCTGTTTGTCTGTTATTGGTGTATAAGAATGCTTGTGATTTTTGTACATTGATTTTGTATCCTGAGACTTTGCTGAAGTTGCTTATCAGCTTGAGGAGATTTTGGGCTGAGACGATGGGGTTTTCTAGATATACAATCATGTCATCTGCAAACAGGGACAATTTGACTTCCTCTTTTCCTAACTGAATACCCTTTATTTCCTTCTCCTGCCTGATTGCCCTGACCAGAACTTCCAACACTATGTTGAATAGGAGTGGTGAGAGAGGGCATCCCTGTCTTGTGCCCGTTTTCAAAGGGAATGCTTCCAGTTTTTGCCCATTCAGTATGATATTGGCTGTGGGTTTGTCATAGATAGCTCTTATTATTTTGAGATACATCCCATCAATACCTAATTTATTGAGAGTTTTTAGCATGAAGTGTTGTTGAATTTTGTCAAAGGCCTTTTCTGCATCTATTGAGATTTGGTTCTGTTTATATGCTGGATTACATTTATTGATTTGCATATGTTGAACCAGCCTTGCATCCCAGGGATGAAGCCCACTTGATCATGGTGGATATGCTTTTTGATGTGCTGCTGGATTCGGTTTGCCAGTATTTTATTGAGGATTTTTGCATCGATGTTCATCAAGGATATTGGTCTAAAATTCTCTTTTTTTGTTGTGTCTCTGCCAGGCTTTGGTATCAGGATGATGCTGGCCTCATAAAATGAGTTAGGGAGGATTCCCTCTTTTTCTATTGATTGCAATAGTTTCAGAAGGAATGGTACCAGCTCCTCTTTGTACCTCTGATAGAATTTGGCTGTGAATCCATCTGGTCCTGGACTTTTTTTGGTTGGTAAGCTATTGATTATTGCCTCAATTTCAGAGCCTATTATTGGTCTATTCAGAGATTCAACTTCTTCCTGGTTTAGTCTTGGGAGGGTGTATGTGTCCAGGAATTTATCCATTTCTTCTGGATTTTCTAGTTTATTTGCATAGAGGTGTTTATAGTATTCTCTGATGGTAGTTTGTATTTCTGTGGGATTGGTGGTGATATCCCCTTTATCATTTTTTATTGCGTCTATTTGATTCTTCTCTCTTTTCTTCTTTATTAGTCTTGCTAGTGGTCTATCAATTTTGTTGATCCTTTCAAAAAACCAGCTCCTGGATTCATTACTTTTTTGAAGGGTGTTTTTGTGTCTCTATTTCCTTCAGTTCTGCTCTGATTTTAGTTATTTCTTGCCTTCTGCTAGCTTTTGAATGTGTTTGCTCTTGCTTTTCTAGTTCTTTTAATTGTGATGTTAGGGTGTCAATTTTGGATCTTTCCTGCTTTGTCTTGTGGCCTTTAGTGCTATAAATTTCCCTCTACACACTGCTTTGAATGTGTCCCAGAGATTCTGGTATGTTGTGTCTTTGTTCTCATTGGTTTCAAAGAACATCTTTATTTTTGCCTTCATTTCATTATTTACCCAGTAGTCATTCAGGAGCAGGTTGTTCCGTTTCCATGTAGCTGAGCGGTTTTGAGTGAGTTTCTTAATCCTGAGTTCTAGTTTGATTGCACTGTGGTCTGAGGGACAGTTTGTTATAATTTCTGTTCTTTTACATTTGCTGAGGAGTGCTTTACTTCCAACTATGTGGTCAATTTTGGAGTAGGTGTGGTGTGGTGCTGAAAAGAATGTATATTCTGTTGATTTCAGGTGGAGAGTTCTGTAGATGTCTATTAAGTCTGCTTGGTGCAGAGCTCAGTTCAATTCCTGGGTATCCTTGTTAACTTTCTGTCTTGTTGATCTGTCTAATGTTGACAGTGGAGTGTTAAAGTCTCCCATTATTATTGTGTGGGAGTCTAAGTCTCTTTGTAGGTCACTAAGGACTTGCTTTATGAATGTGGGTGCTCCTGTATTGGGTGCATATATATTTAGGATAGTTAGCTCTTCCTGTTGAATTGATCCCTTTACCATGATGTAATGGCCTTCTTTGTCTCTTTTGATCTTTGTTGGTTTAAAGTCTGTTTTATCAGAGACTAGGATTGCAACCCCTGCCTTTTTTTGTTTTCCATTTGCTTGGTAGATCTTCCTCCATCCCTTTATTTTGAGCCTATGTGTGTCTCTGCCCGTGAGATGGGTTTCCTGAATACAGCACACTGATGGGTCTTGACTCTTTATCCAATTTACCAGTCTGTGTCTTTTAATTGGAGCATTTAGCCAATTTACATTTAAAGTTAATATTGTTATGTGTGAATTTGATCCTGTCATTATGATGTTAGCTGGTTATTTTGCTCGTTAGTTGATGCAGTTTCTTCCTAGCCTTGATGATCTTTACAATTTGGCATGATTTTGCAGTGGCTGGTACCAGTTGTTCCTTTCCATGTTTAGTGCTTCCTTCAGGAGCTCTTTTAGGGCAGGCCTGGTGGTGACAAAATCTCTCAGCATTTGCTTGTCTGTAAAGGGTTTTATTTCTCCTTCACTTATGAAGCTTAGTTTGGCTGGATATGAAATTCTGGGTTGAAAATTCTTTTCTTTAAGAATGTTGAATATTGGTCTCCACTCTCTTCTGGCTTGTAGAGTTTCTGCCGAGAGGTCCGCTGTTAGTCTGATGGGCTTCCCTTTGAGGGTAACCCGACCTTTCTCTCTGGCTGCCCTTAACATTTTTTCCTTCATTTTAACTTTGGTGAATCTGACAATTATGTGTCTTGGAGTTGCTCTTCTCGAGAAGTATCTTTGTGGTATTCTCTGTATTTCCTGAATTTGAATGTTGGCCTGCCTTGCTAGACTGGGGAAGTTCTCCTGGATAATATCCTGCAGAGTGTTTTCCAAGTTGGTTCCATTCTCCCCGTCACTTTCAGGCACACCAATCAGACGTAGATTTGGTCTTTTCATATAGTCCCATATTTCTTGGAGGCTTTGTTCGTTTCTTTTTACTCTTTTTCCTCTAAACTTCTCTTATCATTTCATTTCATTCATTTCATCTTCCATCACTGATACCCTTTCTTCCAGTTGATCGCATCGGCTCCTGAGGCTTCTACATTCGTCAGGTAGCTCTCGTGCCTTGGTTTTCAGCTCCATCAGGTCCTTTAAGGACTTCTGTGCATTGGTTATTCTAGTTATCCATTCGTCTAAATTTTTTTCAAAGATTTTAACTTCTTTGCCATTGGTTCAGATTTCCTCCTGTAGCTCGGAGTAGTTTGATCGTCTGAAGCCTTCTTCTCTCAACTCGTCAAAGTCATTCTCTGTCCAACTTTGTTCCATTGCTGGTGAGGAGCTGCGTTCCTTTGGAGGAGGAGAGGCACTCTGATTTTTAGAGTTTCCAGTTTTTCTGCTCTGTTTTTTTCCCATCTTTGTGGTTTTATCTACCTTTGGTCTTTGATGATGGTGACGTATAGATGGGTTTTTGGTGTGGATGTCCTTTCTGTTTGTTAGTTTTCCTTCTAACAGACAGGACCCTCAGCTGCATGTCTGCTGGAGTTTGCTAGAGGTCCCCTCCAGACCCCGTTTGCCTGGGTATCAGCAGTGGTGGCTGCAGAACAGCAGATATTGGTGAACCGCAGATGCTGCTGCCTGATCGTTCCTCTGGAAGTTTTGTCTCAGAGGAGTACTCGGCCGTGTGAGGTGTCAGTCCGCCCCACTGGGGGATGCCTCCCAGTTAGGCTACTCGGGGGTCAGGGACCTACTTGAGGAGGCAGTCTGCCCGTTCTCAGATCTCAAGCTGCGTGCTGGGAGAACCACTACTCTCTTCAAAGCGTCAGAGAGGGACATTTTAAGTCTGCAGAGGTTACTGCTGTCTTTTTGTTTGTCTGTGTCCTGCCCCCAGAGGTGGAGCCTTCAGAGGCAGGCAGGCCTCCTTGAGCTGTGGTGGGCTCCACCCAGTTGGAGCTTCCTGGACGCTTTGTTTACCTAATGAAACAACTAACTCGGCAATGGCGGGCACCCCTCCCCCAGCCTCGCTGCCACCTTGCAGTTTGATCTCGGACTGCTGTGCTAGCAATGAGCAAGACTCTGTGGGTGTAGGACCCTCCGAGCCATGTGTGGGATATAATCTCCTGGTGTGCCGTTTTTTAAGCCCATTGGAAAAGCGCAGTATTAGGGTGGGAGTGACCCGATTTTCCAGGTGCCGTCTGTCACTGCTTTCTTTGACTAGGAAAGGGAATTCCCTGACCCCTTGTGCTTCCCGGGTGAGGCAATGCCTCGCCCTGCTTCGGCTCGTGCACGGTACGCTGCTTCCACTGTCCTGCACCTACTCTCTGACACTCCCCAGTGAGATGAACCTGGTACCTCAGTTGGAAATGCAGAAATCACCCGTCTTCTGTATCGCTCTTGCTGGGAGCTGTAGACTGGAGCTGTTCCTATTCGGCCATCTTCAAAACATAGTTTTCATTTCATGTAAACTTCCTTTTTTTTTAAATAGTTACTTTAGAATAGAACAAGTGAGTGGGATTTAGGGTCTGAACAGAGAGAAAGAGGCCCTCAACAATATAGGGCCAAGCAGATTAAGTTGGTAGCCCCTAGAAAAATGATTCTGGAAAGAACCTGGAGTGGGCTTTGGCAGAGGGAGAGAGTTCATATTAATGAGAGCAGCTGGGGCTGGTTCCACAGGGAAGGTGAATTCTGAACTGGGCCTCACAGACAGATAGGTTTTCAATAGGGGAACCAAGAATTAAGAGGAAGGAGGGGAGGCCAGGCAAAAAGCTGAGACAGGGATTCTGGAAGCATATGCAGAGAGGTGAAGTGTGCGAGGATGGTGGCCTCAGTGTGTTGTCCCTCCTGAGTCACTCTGGCTGCCCCTGCCTCTCACTGGAGGCTCCAGTCTGCCCTAGTGGCATGGAGTGCCTCACACTTATGCTATCTCCTGCCCTTGTGCTTTCCTTAGTCTGCCCCTTGGCCCAGAAATGTCTCCAACCTCAATAATCCAGTCATCCTGCAAGTCTCAGTGCAGGTGCCCCCTCCTCCATGCAGCCTTCCTAATTCATGCCTGGACTCACCTCCATTCATACCCTGTCTCCAGCTTGAGGTGGGGGCTGGGGCTGGCTGTCTCTGTTCTCAGCCTGAGCCCAGAGTCTGTTCCAGTGAGGTGCTCAAAAAGTGTCTGTAGAATCCTTTTAAGAATACCTGCTGAGCCAGAGATGATGCAGAAAGAAGGGAGAGGCTGATAATGAATACTGGGCACTGTGCTTATCGGGGATGGGTGGGAAGGAGCCCATGCAGGTAACGGAGAGGACAGGCAGACAGAAAGACCAGAGGAATACAATAAACATTATATAAGATGATTATATAGGAGGTATTGTAACTCCTTCTTAGATTCTTACTCTCATGCACAGCCCCCCAGACTGGCTGTAAAGCAAATCCTCAGAGTGCTTATTAAATATCCAGATTCCTGGGCTCTACTCCCACTCAGAAGGGAAGACACCTGGGAATTAGTGCTTTTAACAAGCCGCACAGGGGATACTGCTGTGAGGGATCCTCTGGCCAGTATTTGGGGACTGTTGCATGGCACCTTTAGGGCCTGGTAGCATTTCCAAGTCTTTTTAGAAGAGTGTTTCCCAATCTTGCTCTAGGAAGCACTAGTTCTGAAAAATACTAACAGATATTAAACAAAGAGTTCCATACTTAAAAAAATGGTAAGAATGACTGCAAGGTATTTCTCTTTCTTGTAGAATCACAATGCACATGGACATAGTAAAGGCTCTAAAAAGTCCTTCAGTAGAGAAACCACATTAGGTGTGCTAAACCCCAGCATTCCTAAACTCTTCTATTCTGGAAGCAGTGTTCCACCAACCAAAGTCGGGAGACCCTGCCGTAGGAAATTCTGCAGATGACCTGCTGGAATCTGCACGCCCACCGCTGCATGGTGCTTCTGCTTATTTGCATGAGAGCATTATGCATTTTGCCCTTGACACCAGGGCAGCTCATACTGTGAAATCACAGCCAACAAGGTTTTCTCGAACACCAGGAAATTACAACACTTCCTGGCTTACACATCTAGGCTTACAAATTAAGAGGATAATCCAAACCAACTTTAAATTCCCTTAAAAATAGGTTTCCTCTTTTGAGTGAACCATTGAGTAATTCTGCTATAAATAAAGTCTTAGTCTCTTTGTTCAAGTTTTATAATGGCATATTTTACATTCAAAAAGGCTAAGGCTTTTAAAAGAAACCCAGCAGCACTCATCAGTTTATCCCTGTGTGACCCTGACTATAATCCATGTCATTAGAACAAGTCACAAGGGTAGGTAAACTTCTTTGGGGCAAAAAATCCCAAATTAGCAGAGCAATTTACAGGGGGTGGTGGCAGATTGTCTAATCTGAACTTCAACCTCAGAAGTGTCATCCCAACCAGGCAGGCCTTAAATTCCTTATCTGTGCCCAGAGGGTTGGACTCAAGTCCTCTGCAGCTGTGACCACCCCTACCCCCTTCAGTTCTCACAGAATCCCTGACATCTCATTCTCCTACAGACAAGAGGATCAGCACCCACCTGCAGGGGTCGAGAAGAGTGCCTTGCCATGGTCTGGGCCTTCCATCTGGGGTGGAGATCTGAGCAGTTTGCTGTGATGATGCCTGTGTTGTAAACATATGGGCTCAGGGTATGTCTGTCCTCCAGCCCTCAAAGCCACCCAGGGATTTTCAGATTTTGTCTCAGCCTGCTTTTATCTACTTTAGTTCACTCATTCCACAAATATCTGTTGAGGGCCTACTCTGTGGCAGGCATTGCCAGGAGCTGGGACAGAAAGCCATGTGGGTCTTCATGGAGAGTCCTGTCCAAGACAGTCCACTACTTTCCATGTGACATGGGTGAAGGCAGGGAAATTAGTACATTTCTATTCTTTTAACATTTTCTTCAATATTTCTCAAAAAAAAAAGGAGGCACTGCTGAGTAGGGGTTAAGGACATGGGCTATTAGAATCAGACAGACTTGAATTCAAGACACATTTTCATTTGAGAAGCAGGGATAACAACACCTACTTTTAGGCTCTTGTGAAGGTGAATGAGCCATGCACATGAAGCACTGGCACAGTGCATGGCCCACAGCTAGCTCCCAGAAAAGCTGCCTGCTCTCATTAGAAACTAGTACTTTAGAAGGCAATAGGGTGATGGCCAAGAGCCAGGGCTTGCAGCCAGATGGCCTGGGTTGAATCTCAGCTCCTCCACCAGCTGGCTGTGTGACCCTGGGTGGGTGATTTCAAGTCTCTATGTGGATGGTGCTGCATCTGCCAGTGAGGAATTATGACAGTGCCCACCTCTGATGGGTGGTTATGAAGATTAAAGGGGTTAATACACACAAAGTGCACTGGGCATTTCAAATATGATTAGACTTTCACAAATTTGGCATGCCTGCCTTCTTTAGCAATCTATCTTCTGCAAATCATGAGATACTTATATATGCTTTTGTCAAACACAGGCAACCATTATACACCCCTTCTTGTATCAATTTGATCTTCCAACTTCCACTTCCTGTATTATGCATTTACTAGAACTGTATTTAGGGGGCAGTAGTGCCTGGTGGGAAAAGCATATGCTTTTCAGCCAGAGTGGGTGGGTTTAAGTTCAGGCTTTTTTGCTGAATGACCCTGACACCCTGTAGCATTGATACTCTCAGAGCCACGTGGACCTCATCTGTAAATTGGTCATGAAAGTTAATGCTGGGCTTATCTACACTGAGTATCAAAAGATCATGAATGAAAAATTGCTTCCACCTTGCCAAATGCTGGGGAAGTGGCCTGCTGCTGATTATAATTGGGAGGCAGCTCAGTGTTAAGTTCTAGAATTAGACTGGGTTGGAATTCTGGCTCTAACTGGTAGCTCTGGAGTCTTGGTGTCTCTAGTTTCCTCATCTAGAGAATGAGGGATAACGGCAGAACCTGCCCCAGAGAGCTGGTGTGAGGATTAATTGAAACGCTTAGCACCAGCCCATATACAGAAAGAGCCCAATAAGTGTTAGCTGTTATTATCATTACTCTTAGTCTATCTTCCCACCAGATTGTGAAAAGGGACCCCACGGAATTCATCTTTATATTCCTAGCACCCATGAAAATGCTCCTTAAGTCTGCTGAATTCAGGAATGTTGGAAGGAGTGGATGAATGAATACATTTAACCTGGTTCAAAGCCCTTCTAGATCATCTCAGAGACTCAGCAGAGTCTTCTTAGAGCCTGGCTGGACTCAGTGTTTTCATTATCGTTTTACTGCTTTGATTTTGGTAAACTTTATTTCTGAGGATTCACCCTTGGATTGGCATGGGCTCTCACATCAGACTGAAGTAGATTGAGTCTCACCTCCACTTTCTAACTGTAGGACTTGAAGTATTTTACAACCCTTTCTGAATCTCCATGTCCTTATATATAAAATAGGGCTAAACCCACCTACCTCTTGGAGTTGCTGAGCTTACTAGATATACATGAAAGAGCTTGGCACACATAGAGGGTGATTAGTAAAAGGTGGTGGTGATTCTCATTTTACTTACCTTGAAGGTCCTAGTTCAGGTTGACCCTACTTTGAATATTAGCTGGATCTCTGAACTTTGTTGTGGAAATAATTACTTCCAATACAACATGCATTTGCCAGGGACTTCCACTGCGCCTCTATGGGGCATGACCATTAACTGCTTCTTGCTGCCTGCCTGAGTGGTACCTTGGGCCTGTGGATTGACCCTGGGGGCATGTTCTTGGTGTCCTCAGCAGTCCCACTGGTCTTCAGGAAAGATTGGAGGGCAACTGTGGGAGGTGTAAAGCCAGCCACATCATGTTCCCAGCCTGCAGATCCCTGTTTTGAAGATGGCCATAAGCATGGCTTCAGAGCTCCACAGATGGGAGCTCCACGTCCTATTTGTGTGTGACCGTGATTAACGTAGCCTCTCTGAGCCTCAGTTTCTTTATCTGTAAAATGAGGACAACACAAGATCATGTCTGCAAAGAACAAACTATCTTATAGGGAAAGAAGGAATCCTCAGTAAGCTCTACAGTGAATTTACATCATAGAGATGTTTGTTACTATGTCACTATGATGCAGATTCACTACGGACTTTATCAAGAGGACACTAAATGGAGCAAAAGATGGGGTGGATTTCTACCATGCTTCTAAAACCACCTGACTTTACAATTATAACTGGATTTTCAGTCTTAAAAAACTTTGATTTTGATAATTTTCGGAAAGTGTTAGTAATCAAACACAAATGCAGTTGGTACATTTTGGAGATGAAACTTACTCCAAATAATAATTTTAAAAATCTTAATCAGCATTTGATAAAACTGTGTTGACTGTAACAGTGATTCTCAATTTTGGTTGCACAAAATACATATGGGAACCTTTATGAAAATAGCAATGTTTAGAGCCCACCCCTGACAAATCAAAATCTCTGGGGTGGGTGGGAGGAGGTGAGCATTTAAAAAAGCTTATTAAGTGATTTCTGCAGCCAGAGTTGAGACCACTGGTTTGGATGCATCTTGGTACTGATCATAAGCTTAATTCATATACTTGGCAGCTGAAGCTGTGAGCTAGCCATATATTAGAATCACCAGGTAGCTTTTAAAAATCCTGATGCCCCAACCCAGACCAATGACATGGGTACTTTTAAAAGCTCCCTGGGTGATTCCCGTGTGCAAACTAACACTGAGCAACACAAGAATAAAGGAGTTATTTAAAAAAAATTAAAAAGAGGCCTGGTGTGGTGACTCATGCCTGTAATCCCAGCACTTTGGGAGGCTGAGGTAGGTGGATCGCCTGAGGTCGGAGTTGGAGACCAGCCTGGCCAACATGGTGAACCCCCGTCTCTACTAAAAATACAAAAAATTAGCTGGGCATGGTGGTGTGTGCCTGTAATCCCAGCTACTTGGGAGGCTGAGGCAGGAGAATTGCTTGAACCCAGGAGGTGGAGGTTGCAGTGAGCCGAGATCATGCCACTGCACTCCAGCCTGGGCAACAGAGCTTAATTAATAAACTTGGCAGCTGAAGTGGTGGGCTAGCCATGTATTGGAATCACCATGGAGCTTTTTTTGAGACCCTATCTCAAAAAAAAAAAATTAAAAAGAAAATGAATGCGTTCAGTACAATCTTAGCTCACTCCTGTATTTTGCAGCAGAAGCACAAGTAATCGTAAATAGTACTATGGTCAACTCCTATTTATCCATGAATGGCTTATCTGTTTTGAGGACAAATTATGGGCCAGCATTAGGGATTCAGGGAAGGTAGCTAACATTATTAAGTACCTACCATAAACCAGGTGTTTTGCCTACATCATCTCATTTAATTCACACGGAATCCTAGTGAAGTGGGTGATGTCATTTCCATTTTATTAGGTGAGAAATTGAGACTCAGGGAGGCTAAATCACTTATATCAAGTAATTCAGCTAGTAAATTTTGCTCTAAAACCTGTGTCCTAGGCTACAGTGCTTCTCACTGGGTGGAGGAGCAAGCGTCTGTTTCTGCCTACATATTAAAGCTAAATTACTTGTTGGATGATCTATTCTCTTGCTTCTATTCCCCCTCTCTTAGCCTAGATAAATGAGAAATGACTGCATGACTCATTCTAAAAGGATGATCTAGGTGTCAATTTATTCCTTATATAATTTTCAATATAAGGGTCTTTGTTTATACTAATGGGTCATTAAAAAATAAAGAAGAGCATGTGTCATAACAATTATTTTATAATGGCTTTCCTTTTAATTTGGCAACAGGTTCTGAAGCAACACTGTAACTGCTGAATGCTTCTGGCTGCTTCTTTCCACAGTAAAAGGTAAGTAATAAGAACCAGGATATAAAAACTAAATGATTACCTCTACTAAAAAGGTAAATCTTTTTCTCCCAAGTGATTTTGAAGATAAGTTAAAAATGAAAACTAAAACACATTATGAACAGGCCTGTCAGTCATTCCACCTTGTCCCTTTGCCTCCCATTTCCTGCCAATCCTAGTGGTTCTAAATAGACAAAAGACACAGCAATTTGCAATCCCTTCCAGCAGAGCTGGTTGTCATTAGTGATGAGGCAGGCCATACTCACAATCCCAACAGCCAGGAGAGGTGGGACTTCCTGCTTCTCTGGCAATTCCCCCTTAAAGTCTGCAGACACAAGCTAGTGACCCACTGCCCTAACATGCAGGGCTGGCTTGGGGTTTTAAACAGTTTTATTACTTATGCTGAATACAAATAGAAATTCCAGAAGAAAAAATAATCCAGAGTAACTGTTTCTAGATTTATAGTCTTTTTTTTCTATTTCACATAAAAGTCTGGGTTTACAGAACCCAGGAATTGTACAATTAAAAAAGACAGCTTATTCTATAGATGTAGTTTTCAACTTAGACAATGATAAAAATAACAAAAGGTCCCACCTACTGAATATTATTATGTAGTTCTGGGTCAGGAAAGTTATTTACATATAAAAAATCCTCATTCGGTTTTGTTGTCTCCATTTTGCAAGTGAGAAATATGTCTCAGAGGCTTCAGATCACTTGCTCAAAGTCACACAGCTACTAAGTGGTGGCACTAGACCCCAGTGCTACCGTCATCTGAAATAAGGTTGGGTGTTTCCACAAAGTGCATTTGAAAGTACAGTGTTTTGTAATTTTTCTGCTCAGGGACCTCTCTGAGAATGTGAATCTGTTGATCTCTCTCCTGCTAAGTAGAAACTGCTTCTTGGATATTTGCTGAGAAGGTCTGGCAGAAACCCAGCCCCACAATCTGCCCTACCTTTTACCCTGTAAGCTCTGCAGACATCTCCCGTGGCCCCTGGTCATCACACAGGAGAGTGACTACCATTACCTCAGCACCTTCACTGTCTCCATCCACTGTGCCTGCTCACTCTCCCAAGGGTCCACCCGGATCCAGTCGGATGTCTGCAGGGCCAGCCGGGCCATGGCCACTCGGTGATGAGAAGCTGCGAGGTCTTTCTTCCCATAGGTGTCGTTGACAGGAGAGATGATACCCTGGATGACCTGGTACATTCCTAGGTAAGAGAGAGCAGTGGTGTTGCACATACAGACAGATGCTCACCACCTGGCAGCCTGAATTCAGGCAGGTGCTAAATGTCTCCAGTGCCTCATCCTGAGTGGTAGTAGACTCTGGCATTCTCTCATGGGGGAGAAAGGGTAGCTCCCTTAGGCAAGGGTAAAGGCACTACCTTAGTGAACATGTGCTTCTCCTCTAGAGCCTTCTACAACCCGGGTAGCACTGAGAGAAAGGCTTCTCTGCTGAGACAAAGGCTGTGAGGGTGGCGCTCAGGCAAGGGTCCCATACAGCAGTGAGGACAGTTAGGATCAGGATATAGTTGAGGAACAGCATGACTTCCCCTTCTATAGGAATTAACAGGGGCACTATTTTTGCCCTCTATGTGAGGATGAAAATTATATATAGTTTCTTAGCCCAAATGGGGATTTTGAGGATGAAGGACAAAGGGATGGGATTTTAGCGTGAACCAGGGTTGGTGGGTATTGGCTGTAGATGGACTAGTCGCACAGGCCACCACTGACCTGGGAGGAATGTGCTGCTGATGGAGTGGGAAAGCGTACTTTGAAATAGCCATGGACTGTGCTCACTAACCATGATAACTGCCCTGTAGATCGTCTAAACCACATGGGATTCATCTGGGGAGAGAGAAATTTTTGTGTGTTAAGCTTCTAAAACTGGAGGATTTATTATTGCAGCTAGCCTAGTCTATCTTGACAAATATGTTATTTTGAGACATTCCCTGTTATTCCTAGTTTAAGAGTGCCTGCCATAAATGAACATTGAATTTTATTAAATGATTTTTCTGCAACTCTTGATTGTGTGATTTTTTTTCTCCTTTACTTAGTTAATATGGTAAATTGCATTGATTAATTTTCTAATCCTAAACTAACACTGCATTCCTGAGATAAGCCCTATTTGGCCAAGATATATTACCTTTCTTGTGTACTGGTGGGTTCACTTTGCTAATTTGTTTTTTAGGTAGTAAGACAGGTCTATAATTTTCCTTTCTCTCACTGTCCTAATCAGATTTTGGTATCAAGGTTGTGCTAGCCTCATAAAAAGCGTTGGAGAGTTCTCTCTTTCTATGCTGTAAGAGATCTTGTGTGTTAGGACTGAAATAACTTTCTTTTTGAGACAGAGTCTTGCTCTGTCACCCAGGCTGGAGTGCAGTGGTGCAATCTCAGCCTCCCGAGTAGCTGAGACTACAGGCATGCACCACCATGCCCGACCAATTTTTAAATTTTTAGTAGAGACAGGGTTTTGCCATGTTGGCTAGGCTGGTCTCCAACCCCTGACCTCAAGTGATCCACCCATCTCGGCCTCCCAAAGTGCTGGGATTACAGCCATGAGCCACCGTGCCCAGCCTGAAATAACATTTTTTTCTGAGTGTTTTGTAGAACTCACCAGTGAAGTTTTGTGAGGCTAGAGTTTAATTTGTGTTGTCACTGACAGGAGAGATGATACCCTGGATGACCTGGTACATTCCTACATAAGAGAGAGCAGTGGTGTTGCACATACAGACAGACGCTCGCCACCTGGCAGCCCGAATTCAGGCAGGTGCTAAATATCTCCAGTGCCTCATCCTGAGTGGGAGTAGACTCAGTAGTCAAATTTTTGACTACTGATTTAATTTCCTTAATGATTATAATTCAGAATTTCACTTCTTCATTATGATTTTGGCAACTTACATTTTCCAGGATTTTATTCATCATATCTAAAATTTGAAATTTACTGGCATAAAGTTAGTTGTGATATTCTTTTTTTTTTGGCAATCACCGCTTTAATCAAGCAATGAAAGTTATCACAAATAATAGAACAATTTGCATTGTGTGCATCCTAATTTGATACAACAATAAAGTATGAATTCACCTATGAATTGGTTAACCATACAATTTATCAGCTAAAAGGTTCATTTCTGAGAGTGAAATTACATGTTATTAATAATTATACCCAAACAATAGATATAAACTAGACATAGACAACTCTGGATTTATCCTTACCTGTAAGTATCCTAGCCAACATATTTAGACTGGAACTAATCACAATGAAACATTCAGACAATTGACCTGTCCTCTTCACAAAAGTCTAAGTCATGAAAAACAAAAACAGGACTACTCTAGATTAAAAGAGACTAAAGATACAGAATAACCAAATTGTGATGAGTTTAAATGCTATATGGGGGGAAGCTACAAGAGGTATTTTTGGGTCAATTAGGGAAATTTGAATATGGACAGTATATTAGATGATATGTAATTTTCATTAATTTTCTTAGGAGTGATAATGGTACTGTATTTATTATACAGGAGAACATCTTTTTTTTTTTTTTACACAAGTGTCATAGCAACTTTATTTGAAATAGTAGAAAATGGGAAACAAGTAGTGTAAATGTCCATCAACAGATAAACAGATAACACTAATTGTAGCATATCCATACAACGAAATACTACTTGGCAATAAATGTATGACCTATGGATACATGCTACAACAAAAATGAGTGTCAAGTTATTTATTTTGTGTGAGAAAGCCAAACCAAAAAAAGGAAAAGAGTACATACTATATGATTCAATTTATATAATATTCCAGAAAATGTACCTAATCTATAATAAGTAGATATAGATCATTGATTAGAGATGGGGTTGGAGAGCGTGGAAGTGTGCTGTGGGGAAAGCTGGATGAGAAAGATGATAAAAGTCAGGCAGAAACTTTGGCAGGGGTTGGATATGTTCATTTTCTAACTTGTAGTGATGGTCTCACGGCTGTACACATATGAGACAACTTTAATACTCTTGAAACATACGTAGTTTATTATATGTTAATTCTTCCTCAATAAAGTTATTTTTAAAAACTGTAAGGCAGGCTGGGTGCGGTGGCTCATGCCTGTAATCCCAGCACTTTGGGAGGCCGGGGTGGGGGGATCACCTGAGGTCAGGAGTTTGAAACCAGCTTGGCCAACATGGTGAAACCTGTCTCTATGAAAATACAAAAAAATTAGCTGGGCATAATGGTGTGTGCCTGTAATCCCAGCTGCTAGCAAGGCTGAGGCAGGAGAATCGCCTGAGCCCAGGAGGCAGAGGTTGCAGTGAGCCGAGATTACGCCACTGTGAGCCTAGGCAACAGAGCAAGACTCCCTCTCAAAAAAAAAAAAAAAAAAAAAAAAGAAAAAAAAACCACATGTAAGGCAAAAAACAAAAGAGAAGATCTAACTTCTTAGTAAATGTGTTCACCATTGGGGTGTTTATAAAAGAGATGTCATTCTTTATTAATATAAGAGAATATTCTTATTCTTAGAAAATGTACACTTAGGCCGGACATGATAGCTCATGCCTGTAATCCCAGCACTTTGGGAGGCCAAGGCAGGAGGATCACCTGAGGTCAGGAATTTGAGAGCAGCCTGGCCAACGTGGCAAATCCCTGTCTCTGCTAAAAATACAAAATTTAGGCAGGTGTGGTGGTGGGCACCTGTAATCCCAGCTACTTGGGAGGCTGAGGTGGGTGGATCACTTGAACCCAGGAGGAGGAGGTTGCAGTGAGTCAAGATTGCACCATTGCACTCCAGCCTGGGCAACAGAGTGGGACTGTCTCAAAAAAAAAAAAAAAAAAAAAAAAAGAAAAGAAAATGTACACTTAATATTTAAGGGTGAAGTGTTACAAAGCCTGAAACTTACTTTCAATTGGTCAACAAAAAATATATATAATATATAAATACAAGCTCACATATATAATAAAGAGAAATAGAGAAATAAAGTAAATGTGGCAAAATATATAGGTATTCAATGCAACTCTTCTTTCAAATTATCTGTAAGTTTGAAGTTTTTTCAAAATAAGTTGGAGGGAGGAGCAGTCCAAAAAAATATATATATATTTTTTACCTTGAAGTCGCTCATCAGTGAATATTTTGTTTGTTTGGTTCCAGGTGCTATCTATAAATATAATTTTTTTCAGTGTTGTGCCTTTGCACTTGCTGTCATTCAAATCACAGAACGCTTGTTCTTCAGTTCTTTTGCGTTTAAAAGATGACTTGTCAGGGTCATCATTTTTGCTGCTAACATTATTTTGAATCCTTTTTTGCAGATGAAAAGAAATATCTTTTATTGAGATAGACTGAGGTCCAGGAAAAACAAGTGCAACTTCATGGTCCTTTTCTTCATATTCTGGAATACAAGAAAACGTGTAAATGTTTGCAAATTCAGGTGCTAAGAGTTTTGCATGTATAGCAGTACTTTTACCATCTGTTTCATTTGGATGTTTAATGATGTCAATCTTCAATGGAAGTTTCACAAGTGGAATCTGTTCAATAGGTACATTTTCAACTGGAATGTAACATGTAGAGCAGTAGAACATTCTGGAACCACCACATTTGAGACATTTTGATCTCCCACTTTGCTGAGCTTTTTGAAGAACTTCTTGAGATGCTAAACATAAGTTTTGAAGGGGATCTTCTGAAGCTATGGAAGTAGTTTGTGACTGTTTTGTTTCCACAAAGTTTGAATTATTTTCTTCACTTCATTTGAGAAATATAGGTGGATTGAGAGACATTCTTCATTCAAACAAAAGTTTAACAGCTATTTCTAAAACACATATCATCTGAAGCTATGGAAGTAGTTTGTGACTGTTTTGTTTCCACAAAGTTTGAATTATTTTCTTCACTTCATTTGAGAAATATAGGTGGATTGAGAGACATTCTTCATTCAAACAAAAGTTTAACAGCTATTTCTAAAACACATATCATATGTGCACTGCGAGTCCTCGAACAGCTCCACGCGTCTCCAGCTCTGCCCAAGCCCGAGCCACGCGACGGGCTGTGATCGCGCACGGACCAGACGGTATGATATTCTTTTATCTGTTTAATGTCTTTTATCTGCACCATCTGCAGTGATGCCCATTTTCATTCCTAATGTTGGTTGTGACTTCTTTCTTTTTCCTTGGGCAATATTGCTAGAGGCTTGTCATTTCATTAGTTGGTTCTTTTCAAAGAACCAACTTCTGGCATATTAGTTTTCTCTACTGAAGCTTTGCTTTCTGTTTCACTAATTTCTGGTCTTATTTTAAATAATTCTATCCTTCTACTCTATTGGTGTTATTTTGCTATTCTTTTTCTAACTTCTTGTGATGTATGCCTAACTAATTAATTTGCAGTCTGCCTTCTTTCCTTGAGAACTTGTTTGGAGGTTCTAGCAGAGGAGTGCAGCTACTTGTATACCCTTGACTGAAGACCGGTCCTCCTCTATCGGGGATGGTCATCCTCTTCAGCCGAGCACGCAGCTTTGGGAGGGATGCACATGGAGCGGTGAGGGAGGAAGGGGAACCCGTCTAGGCAGCCAGATCAGCCGAATCAACTCTGGCAATCAGTGGGGTGACAGATGTCTCAGCCAGATCACCCTCACATCCTTATTTCCTACTATATACAGTTCAGGCTATAAAATTGCCCTCTAAACAATCCCACAAATTTTGATATGTAGTGTTTTCATGATCATTCAGTTCAAAGCATTTTCTAATTTCCATTATGATGTCTGTTTTGATCCATGACTTATTTAGAAGTATTTTTCTTAATTACCAAACATATTGTGATTTTTGGTTATCTTTTGTTATTGATTTCTAGCTTAGTTGCACTGCAGTCAGAGAATATACTCTATATTGATTCAATCTTGTGAAATGTGTTGATATTTGATGTCCTAGTATATGGTGAGTTTTGGTAAATGTCCTACGTGTGCTTAAAAAGAATGCATATTCTATGGTTGTCAAATGTAATGTTCTGTCCATTCAGTCAAGATTACTAATTGTTTTGCTTAAATCTATGTTCTGATTTTTTTGTCTGCCTCTTTTATTAGTTATAAACAGAGGCATGTTAAAATCTCTCACTATGATTGTGGATTTTCCGTTTTTCTTTTTAGTACTTTCAACTTTTGTTTCATACATTTTCAGGATTGTTTTATAGCTCAGAATATGACCTATCTTAGTGAATATTCCATAGGTGCTTGAAAAAAATATATATTCTGCTGTTGTTGGATGATGGAGAGTTCTGTTACACATCAATTTGATGCTGTTGTTGAGTGTCTTTATTTCTATATCCTTGCTGATTTTCTGTCCAGTAGTTCTGTCTAGCAGTAGTAATTGGCAATTGTGGGGTGTTGAAATCTCTACCTATAATTGCGAATTTGTCTATTTTGCCTTTCAGCTCTATCAGTTTCTACTCCATGTATTTTGGGATCCTGTTTTTGGTGTGCACACATTTAATGAGCTTTCAATGAACTTTTAATTTTGTTTATTTTGGTCATAATTTCTAGAAATTCTGATGAGTTTTTCATCAAATCTGGTGACTTTCTATAGTTTCTTTTTTCTTTAGATATAAATACTACTTTTAAAATCTGTATCATACAATGCCAGTTTCAAAGTCTGTACAGGTTATTTCTGTTGTCTGTTTTTTCTGATAGTTCTTAGTCATATTGTTTTCTTTTGTGCCTAGTTATTTTTCAATGTTTTCTGGTGAATGCTCCTGAGCAGTTATTTGTGAAAGATCCTCCAGATCTAAGATAGATATTCCAGAGACACTTCATATTTGCTTTTGCCAGGCACCTAAAACTCATGAATAACCTGAAATCAAATTCCTGGCTTGAGTTTTTTTGGCTAATCCAGGATGGGAGTTTCAAATCTGAGCAAGGACTCATGTGTGGCTGCTTCTTCCTAGGGATATTTTATTCTTTCACTTTTCCTCTTTTGCCTCAGCACTAAAGCACTAAGGCTTCTCAGAAGTTCTCTAGGATTAGGGGGAAAAGGTGAATTAAGATCTAGTTTACCTTACCCCGGAGGGTATAGCTCCTTGTGGGTTCAGCTGAATGTAGGGGAAGTCAACTCTGAGGCTTCTCAGCTTGGAAGGGATCCAGTCTCTGAATTCTGTTCTTCCCGACTTGCATGGCTGCTGATTCAAAGCTTAAGTGAGCCGTTCTGGCAAGTGCTCAACAGGGCACCAGTGGCTCTGGTGCTCCCATAGCCTGCTAACCTCTCTGGTTCCAGGTGTTTATCTCTCAGCTTTTTAGCTTTAATAGTGAAGTTTGCTAAAGAGAAGCAGAACAGAAAACCAATACCGCATGTTCTCACTTCTAAGTGGAAGCTAATGATGAGAACTCATGATCACAAAGAAGGGACCAATACACACTGGGGTCTACTTGAGGGTGGAGGGTGGAGAGTGAGAGAAGCAGAGAAAATAACTAATGGGCACCAAGCTTAATACCTGGGTGATGAAATAATCTGTGCAATAGACCCCTGAGACATGAGTTTATCTACATAACAAACCTTCACATGTACCCTCGAACCCAAAATAAAAGTTTAAAAAAGGTGAAGTGTGGAAAACGTGCTACCCACCACTTTTTGTTGTTTTAATGGAAAAGTTGATCCTAAGAGTGTAGGCTGCCCCCCTGGAAACTGGAAGCATTTTCCTTCCATGGTAATCCTGGCAGGCCCAGGCTCTCCTTCCTGAGGGCTGAGGTACCCCCTCCTTCAAGGGGATGGCAGAACCCAGCTGAGAGCAAGGAGGTCATATTCAGTTTTTGACTCCCACAACTGGCTCTTGAAACTCATTTCAGAGGTAATGCTTGTGAAGGTTAAAGCTTTCATTTAAAAGAGCCAGGCTATATTGAGAGAGAAAAGGTTTATTTAAGTTCCAAAAGTTACTCTTAAAATAATCAAGAACCAGAAAACCCGGGGAATCAGAGTGCACAGTTTCACTAAAGCCCACAGAGCAGTAAAAAGAAAAGAAAGTGAAAATGAAAACAAAAGGCCCTTTTTGGCCTGAGGGTGAGGTGAGGTGGAAGAATGGGCAGAAGGGCAGAGAAAAGCCTGATAGACAATGTCTGTGGTGACAGTTTAGACAGGTATTAGGCCTGCTCCCTATACTCTCATACCCTGCAGAGATAAACCTAATTTGTATTGGGGTTTGGGAGGGCATAGTTAAGATGCCCAGTTAAATCTGACAATGTTAGAGCAGTGGAGTTTATATTTTGCTTCCCATCTGGAATTCTGGAAGACCACCTTGCATTGCCCTGTGCCAATACACAACGGCACTGACAGAATAGAAATGGCATGTGGCGTGTATAGCAGAGAGAGCTTCAGAACAGCCTCCTTCAGCTTTGGCAAGGTATGGCACAGATCCACAGCAATTCTAAGTCTCCTTGAGAGGAATAGTGAAGGAGGCTGAGAATTAGCAGTCAGCAGGTGCCTGGGCTACTAGCGGGTAGATACAGGGTATAGGGAGTACAGTCCAAAGCCAGGGACTATGGCATTGACAGTACCATGGGGAGCCAAGGCACAGGTCCAGACAACAGGGATATAATGCCTGAGACAAGAGAAGCTGAGGAGGCTTCAATAGTGGAGCGAGAGTGGATAGATGCCAGTGCCTAAGATTAAGGACAGATCCCTCGGCTAGAAAGTAGTGAGGGCAGCTGCCCTGTTTTGGAAGCCAGGATGCTAAGCCATCCAGGATGCTTAATGCACTCTTGGGGAGGTAGGCAGGAAAAAATGCACTTGATTAATAACTAACCTGTAAAAGACTAAGCTGAAAATTAAAAAGTTTACCACTTCAGGAATCCCTTGAAGTGACATATTTTTTCACAATTCATGGAAATGGTGGCTTAAGATCAAGTTGAATGTTATAGAAAGCAAAGTAAGTTATCTTTCTGCGCATCTGAGCTCATGTTATACATGGGACATACATGCTCCTTCTTTTTCTCTTCCTGTTTAAAAGAAATGGGGGTTGGGAGGACTAACTCCTGCTGGGTGCTGACTTTCTTGAGCAATTTACATACATTTAACCTTCACATTAATTTCTGTTTTATAGAAGAAAATGGTGGAAGGACAGGGCTCTCTCCAGGCAGCTCTGCTGGGCATGTTGGATACCCAGGTGTCACCTGTGATGGTTTAGCTCATCTTGATAGGACAGGCCCTGCATTGAGAAATCAATGCTTTTTTATAGCACCCAGGAGAGGAGAGTCAATAAAAATAACAATTTGATCTAAAACTCCTTCTTGCCCTCCAAATGGTCATAAGTCCAAGCCTTTTCCCTTCCCCACTGCTCTAGGTCACAATCCCAGTGACCCTCTCAGGCCCTCCCCCACTAGATGCAGATACTTCTCCTGTGACCCTCTGCTGCTCAGACACATCTCCATTACAGCACCTGTATGAAAATGATTCATCTGCCTGTGCCTTTCCCATGACACTGAGCGCTCCTTAAGGACGTGAACTTGTCTTTTCGTTCTGGGTAACACGACGAGCACATTAGTTAGAATGAAGATATACCATCCCTACAGACAGAATTCCTTGTTTATCTCTACCCTCTCTGAAAACTAAGAAAATGATAATAAAGGAATAAATAAAGTATGAAATCATAAGGGCAAAGAGAGTGCAAAAGGAGACAATAGTTGGGAAAATGCAAAACATTTTGGACACTGGAGAGCTGATAAAAATTGATAATAAACCAAGCAGAGTCTTCTGCATGCAGGGAAGGCAGTAAGAGGCAAGCTGTGCAGTAGCAGAGGCCCAGAGTGGCTCAGGAATCGGAGGAGCCAAGAACCTCTCCAGGTGGGGGTGCCAGAGGGCCTGAAAACAGGAGGGCCAGTTGAGAGTTTGTATGAAGAGTCCTTGGATCCACCCCAGCCTCTAATCGCCTACGTTATCCTCCCATTGTGGCAGAAGGGCGCATATCTACTTTCTGCCTGGGTTGGACCAGAGAGAACCTTTATTCTCAAATATAGGCACAGCTGAGGGAGGGGAAGTAACATCTTTAAGACAGAAGGATTAAGTATGTTTCCCAGAATGTCTCTCTGGGGAACAGACCTACCTAGGAAAAGACACCAACACCTACACACATTTGGGGGTCTTGAACCTAGGGCCTGACCATATAACCATGAGGTCTATCAGCTTTACATTCACATCCAGAGCTTCTAGCCTGCATTTAGGGCCTGATCTGCAAACATGAGTGGACAGTCTAGGAAGAGACAAATTTTGGAAAGGTGCTCACCATGAAAGACAGAGACTAAAACAGCCACCAGGAGCAAAGGAACTTGGAGGATACAAAGGCAATGCAGAAATTGTATGCAGGATTTGCAGGAATTGTATGCAGGAATTGTAAAATAGAAGAAAAGACTAGAGGTTTAATATAGGAGGTACACAGTGAACTAATAGAAATTTCTGAAAGAGAACAGGAAAACAGAAGAAATTATCAAATAAATAAGACATTCTATTTTCCCAGACTAGAAGGACATACATTTTCAGAATCAATGGTCCTCTGAGAATCAACATTTGGCATAAAAGAAGATTCACACAATGGCAAAACATTATAAGATTTTAGATGAGTAGGTTTAAAGAGAAGGTCCTGAAAGTTTCAAAAGAGAAAACCAGAGGTTTAACATACAGAACTGGAAAGCAGGATAGCATTGGATTTCTCAACAGCAAGTCTTGAATCCAGGAGACAGTGGAGTGAAGTCTTCAAAATGTTAAAGGAAAATCATTTCCAACCTTAATTCTACATTTGGCCAAACTACCAATCAATTAGAACAGGTGTCAGCAGGCTTTTTCCATTATTGGACAGATAGTAAATAGTTTAGGCTTTGCAGGCCACATACAGTTTTTATGGGCCACATACAAGCTTTGTTGCATAATTTTAAAAGCCATTTAAAAAATGTAAGCAAACCATCCCATAGCTCACAACATGAATGAAAATAGGCTATGGATCAGATTTGGCCCATGGGCTGTAGTTTACTGCCCTCTGAAGTATGGCATGAAGTTGTGTTCATACATGCTAGGTCTCAGAAAATTTACCTCCTCTATACCCTTTCTCACAAAGATGCCAGAAGACGAACTCCACCACCCAAATAAGAGAGTAAACCCAAAAGCAGAAGGCATGGGATCCAAGAAACAGGGGTTTTGAATCAGGAAACAGGCACAGAGAATCCCCAGGGAGACAGTGAAAGGCAATCCCAGGATGACAGTATAGTGGGTACAGAGAGCTGGATGTCCAGCTAGGACCTGGAGGGCTTCAGGAGGGATATGGGCAGACACAAAACGGAACAGACAGATCATCTGATGAATTTGTCTGTACTAAGAAGAGTTTTAGAGATCTTTTGGTAAAATTGGGACTGAATTAATGATAGGCATAGGAAACTAAGGCAACAAATACATGAACAATTACTAACTCTAGGAAAAAACCCAAAGTTTATATGGGAGGCAGTGGAATCATAGTGCACTGCATGGTTTTCTTGACACTATTTACATAGACATAAATGTGAACAATAATATGAATCAAACCCAAAGTTATGAGCTAATCAATTTGGGAGCATGTGGTGGAGGCGAGGTGTGAATGGGAGGGTGGAGGTGTGAGAGAGTGAAATCTTCATTTTTCCTGAAGGAAGCCAAGATATATTATCTAAATCTGAAAAAACAAGATATAACAGTATAAGCTTGTTATTTAGAAATGGGGAGTCAAGTACCAGAGAAAACATCTGAAAGAGTCATAAGTGATTGCTCTGGGAACCAGGAATCAGAAATGAGGATGGAACAAATAACACTATAAGCCTTAGAGTAACAACTTTTATTATCTAATAAATTTATAAATATGATATATAAAATAAGCTTAAAAATTAATGCGTGCTGTAGAAATATTACAGTCTACTGAAAAGTGTGAAGGATAAAAAGTTAATAAAACGTATCTAAGATGTTAATATGGTTTATATTATAGTTCATTTTGTATTTTTTTATACTTTTCTTCAAACCACGTAAATTCACTTTTAATTCTTCTTTATTTAGATTATATCATAAGGGTTTTTCTTGGTCATTAGCACTCTTGAAAACATCACTTTTAATAGCTGCATAATGATATAGATTAAAAATATATAAAAAAAGAATTTACTCAGAGGAGGAGCCAAGATGGCCGAATAGGAACAGCTCCGGTCTACAGCTCCCAGTGAGAGCGACACAGAAGACGGGTGATTTCTGCATTTCCATCTGAGGTACCGGGTTCATCTCACTAGGGAGTGCCAGACAGTGGGCGCAGGCCAGTGTGTGTGCGCACCGTGCGCGAGCCGAAGCAGGGCGAGGCATTGCCTCACCTGGGAAGCGCAAGGGGTCAGGGAGTTCCCTTTCCGAGTCAAAGAAAGGGGTGACGGACGCACCTGGAAAATCGGGTCACTCCCACCCGAATATTGCGCTTTTCAGACCGGCTTAAGAAACGGCGCACGACGAGACTATATCCCACACCTGGCTCAGAGGGTCCTACGCCCACGGAATCGCGCTGATTGCTAGCACAGCAGTCTGAGATCAAACTGCAAGGCGGCAACGAGGCTCGGGAAGGGGCGCCCGCCATTGCCCAGGCTTGCTTAGGTAAACAAAGCAGCCGGGAAGCTCGAACTGGGTGGAGCCCACCACAGCTCAAGGAGGCCTGCCTGCCTCTGTAGGCTCCACCTCTGGGGGCAGGGTACAGACAAACAAAAAGACAGCAGTAACCTCTGCAGACTTAAATGTCCCTGTCTGACAGCTTTGAAGAGAGCAGTGGTTCTCCCACCACGCAGCTGGAGATCTGAGAACGGGCAGACTGCCTCCTTAAGTGGGTCCCTGACCCCTGACCCCCGAGCAGCCTAACTGGGAGGCACCCCCCAGCAGGGGCAGACTGACACCTCACAAGGCCGGGTACTCCAACAGACCTGCAGCTGAGGGTCCTGTCTGTTAGAAGGAAAACTAACAAACAGAAAGGACATCCACACCAAAAACCCATCTGTACTTCACCATCATCAAAGACCAAAAGTAGATAAAACCACAAAGATGGGGAAAAAACAGAGCAGAAAAACTGGAAACTCTAAAAATCAGAGCGCCTCTCCTCCTCCAAAGGAACGCAGTTCCTCACCAGCAATGGAACAAAGCTGGATGGAGAATGACTTTGACGAGCTGAGAGAAGAAGGCTTCAGACAATCAAATTACTCCAAGCTACGGGAGGAAATTCAAACCAAAGGCAAAGAAGTTGAAAACTTTGAAAAAAATTTAGAAGAATGTATAACTAGACTAACCAATACAGAGAAGTGCTTAAAGGAGCTGATGGAGCTGAAAACCAAGGCTCGAGAACTATGTGAAGAATGCAGAAGCCTCAGGAGCCGATGCGATCAAGTGGAAGAAAGGGTATCAGCGATGGAAGATGAAATGAATGAAATGAAGTGAGAAGGGAAGTTTAGAGAAAAAAGAATAAAAAGAAATGAGCAAAGTGTCCAAGAAATATGGGACTATGTGAAAAGACCAAATCTACGTCTGATTGGTGTACCTGAAAGTGACGGGGAGAATGGAACCAAGTTGGAAAACACTCTGCAGGATATTATCCAGGAGAACTTCCCCAATCTAGCAAGGCAGGCCAACATTCAAATTCAGGAAATACAGAGAACTCCACAAAGATACTCCTCGAGAAGAGCAACTCCAAGACACATAATTGTCAGATTCACCAAAGTTGAAATGAAGGAAAAAATGTTAAGGGCAGCCAGAGAGAAAGGTTGGGTTACCCTCAAAGGGAAGCCCATCAGACTAACAGCAGATCTCTCAGCAGAAACTCTACAAGCCAGAAGAGAGTGGGGGCCAATATTCAACATTCTTAAAGAAAAGAATTTTCAACCCAGAATTTCATATCCAGCCAAACTAAGCTTCATAAGTGAAGGAGAAATAAAATCCTTTACAGACAAGCAAATGCTGAGAGATTTTGTCACTACCAGGCCTGCCCTAAAAGAGCTCCTGAAGGAAGCACTAAACATGGAAAGGAACAACGGGTACCAGCCACTGCAAAATCATGCCAAAATATAAAGACCATTGAGACTAGGAGGAAACTGCATCAACTAACGAGCAAAATAACCAGCTAACATCATAATGACAGGATCAAATTCACACATAACAATATTAACTTTAAATGTAAATGGACTAAATGCTCCAATTAAAAGACACAGACTGGCAAATTGGATAAAGAGTCAAGACCCATCAATGTGCTGTATTCAGGAAACCCATCTCATGTGCAGAGACACACATAGGCTCAAAATAAAAGGATGGAGGAAGATCTACCAAGCAAATGGAAAACAAAAAAAGGCAGGGGTTGCAATCCTAGTCTCTGACAAAACAGACTTTAAACCAACAAAGATCAAAAGAGACAAAGAAGGCCATTACATCATGGTAAAGGGATCAACAAGAAGAGCTAACTATCCTAAATATGTATGCACCCAATACAGGAGCACCCAGATTCATAAAGTCCTTAGTGACCTACAAAGAGACTTAGACTCCCACACAATAATAATGGGAGACTTTAACACCCCACTGTCAACATTAGACAGATCAACGAGACAGAAAGTTAACAAGGATACCCAGGAATTGAACTCAGCTCTGCACCAAGCGGACCTAATAGACATCTACAGAAGTCTCTACCCCAAATCAACAGAATATACATTTTTTTCAGCACCACACCCCACCTATTCCAACATTGACCACATAGTTGGAAGTAAAGCACTCCTCAGCAAATGTAAAATAACAGAAATTATAACAAACTATCTCTCAGACCACAGTGCAATCAAACTAGAACTCAGGATTAAGAATCTCACTCAAAACCGCTCAACTACATGGAAACTGAACAACCTGCTCCTGAATGACTACTGGGTACATAACGAAATGAAGGCAGAAATAAAGATGTTCTTTGAAACCAATGAGAACAAAGACACAACATACCAGAATCTCTGGGACACATTCAAAGCAGTGTGTAGAGGGAAATTTATAGCACTAAATGCCCACAAGAGAAAGCAGGAAAGATCCAAAATTGACACCCTAACATCACAATTAAAAGAACTAGAAAAGCAAGAGCAAACACATTCAAAAGCTAGCAGAAGGCAAGAAATAACTAAAATCAGAGCAGAACTGAAGGAAATAGAGACACAAAAAACCCTTCAAAAAATTAACGAATCCAGGAGCTGGTTTTTTGAAAAGATCAACAAAATTGATAGATCACTAGCAAGACTAATAAAGAAAAAAAGAGAGAATAATCAAATAGACGCAATAAAAAATGATAAAGGGGATATCACCACCGATCCTACAGAAATACAAACTACCATCAGAGAATACTACAAACAACTCTATGCAAATAAACTAGAAAATCTAGAAGAAATGGATAAATTCCTCGACACATACACTCTCCCAAGACTAAACAAGGAAGAAGTTGAATCTCTGAATAGACCAATAACAGGAGCTGAAAATGTGGCAATAATCAATAGCTTACCAACCGAAAAGAGTCCAGGACCTGATGGATTCACACCTGAATTCTACCAGAGGTACAAGGAGGAACTCGTACCATTCCTTCTGAAACTATTCCAATCAATAGAAAAAGAGGGAATCCTCCCTAACTCAGTTTATGAGGCCAGCATCATCCTGATACCAAAGCCTGACAGAGACACAACAAAAAAAGAGAATTTTAGACCAGTATCCTTGATGAACATTGATGCAAAAATCCTCAATAAAATACTGGCAAACCGAATCCAGCAGCACATCAAAAAGCTTATCCACCATGATCAAGTGGGCTTCATCCCTGGGATGCAAGACTGGTTCAATATACGCAAATCAGTAAATGTAATCCAGCATATAAACAGAACCAAAGACAAAAACCACATGATTATCTCAATAGATGCAGAAAAGGCCTTTGAAAAATTCAACAACCCTTCATGCTAAAAACTCTCAATAAATTAGGTATTGATGAGACGTATCTCAAAATAATAAGAGCTATCTATGACAAACCCACAGCCGATATCATACTGAATGGGCAAAAACTGGAAGCATTTCCTTTGAAAACGGGCACAAGACAGGGATGCCCTCTCTCACCACTCCTATTCAACATAGTGTTGGAAGTTCTGGCCAGGGCAATTAGGCAGGAGAAGGAAATAAAGGGTATTCAATTAGGAAAAGAGGAAGTCAAATTGTCCCTGTTTGCAGACGACATGATTGTGTATCTAGAAAACCCCATTGTTTCAGCCCAAAATCTCCTTAAGCTGATAAACAACTTCAGCAAGTCTCAGGATACAAAATCAATGTACAAAAATAACAAGCATTCTTATACACCAGCAACAGACAAACAGAGAGCCAAATCATGAGTGAATTCCCATTCACAATTGCTTCAAAGAGAATAAAATACCTAGGAATCCAACTTACAAGGGATGTGAAGGACCTCTTCAAGGAGAACTACAAACCACTGCTCAAGGAAATGAAAGAGGATACAAACAAATGGAAGAACATTCCATGCTCATGGGTAGGAAGAATCAATATCGCGAAAATGGCCATACTGCCCAAGGTAATTTACAGATTCAATGCCATCCCCATCAAGCTACCAATGACTTTCTTCACAGAATTGGAAAAACTACTTTAAAGTTCATATGGAACCAAAAAAGAGCCCGCATTGCGAAGTCAATCCTAAGCCAAAAGAAGAAATCTGGAGGCATCATGCTACCTGACTTCAAACTATACTATAAGGCTACAGTAACCAAAACAGCATGGTACTGGTACCAAAACAGAGATATAGATCAATGGAACGGAAGAGAGCCCTCAGAAATAACGCCGCATATCTACAACTATCTGATCTTTGACAAACCTGAGAAAAACAAGCAATGGGGAAAGGATTCCCTATTTAATAAATGGTGCTGGGAAAACTGGCTAGCCATATGTAGAAAGCTGAAACTGGATCCCTTCCTTACACCTTATACAAATATCAATTCAAGATGGATTAAAGAGTTAAACGTTAGAGCTAAAACCATAAAAACCCTAGAAGAAAACCTAGGCATTACCATTCAGGACATAGGCATGGGCAAGGACTTCATGTCCAAAACACCAAAAGCAATGGCAACAAAAGCCAAAATTGACAAATGGGATCTAATTAAATTAAAAAGCTTCTGCACAGCAAAAGAAACTACCATCAGACTGAACAGGCAACCTACAAAATTTTATATTCTTAAATGGAGAGCCACTTGCCCTGAATCTGCCACCTGGTCCCTACTTTGGAACTGCAGTCCCTTTTCGTATGACCTATGGTTTTTCTCTGACGAGTCAGCCTTTTCCAGAAAGGTCTATCTGTCCCTTATGGGCTGCTGGGTGGCCCTGTCAGAGCCTGGGGAGGTTCTGTTTAATTACTTTGCTCACGGAGAAAGGATAAAGGCAACATTTAGGCCTACCATAATTTTTTTCTCTACCCCTGGAAATATACTGCCTGTGTAGTTCCAGGAGGTAGGTGCAGGTCAAAGGAAACAGCCATTGACAGGGAATTCTCCACATTTAGGTTTTATGTTTAGTATTTTACTAAGTGAAATATATGTGGTAGGAAATCAAACTGCTTTTTTTTCCCTTCCAAATACTTAAGTGACTATGTTGTTTTCTTTTACTAAATAACCTCCCTGACTCCCACTTATTTTTTGTTTTTACCTTATATTATCTTTTTATATAGAGTCATGTTCCATTATGCTGTCTGGAGTCAGTATCACACTCATTTAATCACTTTCAAAAACAATTACCTTTTGATATCTCTGAAAGCTTTCTGAGCACCTGGTTAGTCTTCTGGGAGAGCCTCTGGATACTTTTCTCAAGTTAACAAATAAAGAAAAATATCCACCCATTGGCATTTTCACCGGAAAGCCAATCAATAAATGACTGTTTTTGTGAGGAGCTGGTCATGTTTCCATTTAGTCCAGCCTCAGAGCAGGCCGAGCTGCTGCCTGCTGCCCTTGGTGCCCTTCATGTATATGGTTCAGGTTAGTCCTAGTAACAAATGTCCTTGGCTGTTCATCTTGTGAATGGGATCTTTTTTCCACTATATTTTTGTCATGTGTGTATATATATATATATATATATATATATATATATATATATATATATATATTTTTATTACATTGCATTACAACCATTATATAGGAAATCCCATACTTTGATTGGTTTATTTTGAATCTGGGCTACCTTACTGAACTTATTAGTTCTAATAGTTTTTCAAATGCTTCTCCTGGACTTTCTAAGGACACAGTAACACCACCTGCAAGTAATGAAAACTGAATCTCCTTTCTATAACTATATTTCTTATTTTTGACTGATACCATTGGAAAATAATGGTGGTGAGTAGGCATTCTTTTCTATTCCCTTGCTTCTGTGGGGATGCTTTTGAAGTGTTATGCCATTATGCATCATGCTAAGGAAGGATCCTTACAGTTCTAATTTACTGAGAGCATAAAAAAAATCCCCAAGTAGGTGCTGGATTTTATTGAATGACTCAAGTGTGTATTGAGATGATGATTTAAGTTTCATAAAAATATATTGTCTTAGTAATGTGGTATATTAATAGATATCTTTATGGTATATTGTCCTTGAATACCTAGGATAAATGCTACCTGGTCTTGTTGAATTATTCTTTTATTAGCAATTTGATAACCTACTACTTTATATGGGTATTTTGCACCTAAGATTATATTGTTAAACACTAGCTGTAACGCCACAATATCCTTATTCAATTTTCTTTGTGCTAGAAAATAGCTATGGTAGATTGAATTATTGCTCCCAATTCCTCACTCTGCCATTATAGTATTATACACCCACATCTCTGCCACAGCCTCACAAAGGCCAGAATGTATTTCCCTGCCCCTTGACTTTGGAATTGGCTATGAGACTTGCTTTGACCAATGGGATAGTAGCAGATGGGACATAAACAGAAACTTAAAGCTTGCTTGCTTGGTGGGGCTTGCAATCCTCTGCCTGTGCTATCTACATGAGAAGAATACATAAGGCAGCCACTTCCTCTGCTAACTCTCTTAAACCTCAGAATAGGAGAGGAGGAACACATCTGTCTCAGCTGACTCAAGATCTGTGATCAAGAAATAAACTGCTTATTCTTGTATGCCGTTGATAATTTGTAGTTTTTATGCAGCTGAAGCTGACCAATATAATGTCTTATCTGAAAACAAACAAAAAAGTGTGGATACTATTTTAAGACTTAAATAAATAGAATTAGATAACAGATGAACAGCTCATGGCACTTAGCTTGTGCTTGGCAATCATCACTCCCTCCATTCTCTGGCCTGGTAGGCTCACTAGAGGAGAGAATTGTGACAGATGGTCTTTTCAAAACATGGCCACAGGATCATCTCATCTCCTGGTTTACATGCTCTTCTAGAACCTGGCCACTCTTCCATTGAGAGGTGAAGTCTGTGTTCCTCCTAGGGGGCTGGGGTAGGTATTTGTGACTGCTTTACTCAATGGCAGAAGTGATACTTTGTGACTTCTGAGGTTAGGTCATAAAAATGCCATGCACTTACATCTTATGGTCTTGGGGCACTTGGTTTTAGAACCCAGCTGCCATGAATGGGTTCTAAAAAACGCCCAAACTAGCCTACTCAGAAAGACCCCACAGTGTGGCCACATGCATGTGCTGTAGTCAATGTCCAACACCCAGCACCAACTGCCAGACACATGAATGAAGAGTCCCTGGATGACTGCAGGGACTCCACTCGGTCACAGTCTTCAAGACTTCTCAGCTGAGTCCCCAGGTATCATGGAGCAGGGACAAGCCACCCAGTTGTGCTCTGGTGAAATTCCTGACCCACTGAATCTATGAGCATAACAGAATGGTCAATTTACACCAGTAAGTTTGGGGTGGTTTGTTATATACTGATAACTGGAACAGGAATGGAGATTCAAAAAGTTTATGTGATTTTTCCCATGGTTATACTACCTGAAAATGGTAGGCTTGAGATTCAAACCCAGGTTTGCCCATATTTTTTTTTCTACTGCACTGTACTGATGATGGACAGTGAATTTTGGAGAGGTAGTAGCTAAGCCAGGCAGGGCTAAGAAGGGTACCACTAAGTAGCTCCACCTCCATCTATGTGTAGCCCCAAACCAGGTCACTCTAAGGTGTGATGGAAAAACTGCCCCTTCTAGAGCTGACCATCCCCCTCAGCAAGACTGGGCCTCAATAAAATGTTATTGCTGCTTAAAATGCTAGCAGCCTCACAAACCGTGAAGCAAAGACTTAATAGCATTCCAAACTGTAAAGACTTCATTATTTCCACAGAGAATGGCTTGGCACACTTATCAGCATTTTATTAAAAATTACCATACATATTTAAAACAAAACTACATGTGTCAAAACAATTGAGAAAAGCATTAGGTAATGCTCAGACGTGGCTGCTCTGTAGCACAGAATGATTACTAATTTGCCTCTTCCCTTTTGCAGACTTCAGTTCTGGGGCTTTTGCTGGGAGAAGCTTGGTGTTTCTGTGGGCACAAGCACAGTCTGGCCCCTACCACCTCATGCACACTTTTGCCCATTTTCTTCTTCCCTTGGTTGTGTTGGCTGAAGTGCACCCTGGGAAACAAAGGCCTTGAAAGACAAAAATCTAAGAGATCAGGAGCAACTGTCACAAGTGGTGTTAAGAATCAAGTAACAAAGAAGCTTGGGGTAATGTAGCATGTTAAGAAAAAACATAAAAAAGACCAGAATCTCAACTAAATGGTTATGCATGCCTTTACAAACAGACTGTTGTGATTAAACCTCGCCTCTAAGTGAAGCTTGGAAAATATGATCTGGCTGTGGCTACTGAGACTTTGAGGCCATTTTAGCACCATTGTCTTTATTTTCCTTATCAGTCTTCAAGCTTATTTAATGTTTTGCATCTTTTTTTGTTTCTCCAGAGAGCTCTTCAACTGTGTGATCCAAATGAATTTGAGAACACCTATTTACTGCTCCGCCCTGTGTCCTGCTGGCCAGAAGTGCCCATCAATTTCAAAGGCCTCTGTGTGACTGGATTGAGGAAGCCAAGAGCAGGGAGAAGAATAGATCCAGGTCTTCCCATTACTCCAAAATGGAGCCTAGCCCTCTGGCAGCACAGTCGGCCAGCTGGGACCACGGTGGCCATTACTGGAAGTGTGATCATCTGCCCTCTCTCCTCAGTGCCCTTGGAATATGTGCTCTTCTGTCTGGCTTCAATTTCTCTTACTTCTTTGTGTGTGAAGAGTCTTCCTTTCAATCAGCAAACTCTTCCTGCACACTATAAAGCCCACTTTGGTCTTCAGAATCTTTCAGTGCCTGAGCTTGTCAGTATGAGGTTTCTCTTTCTTTATTTCCAAATGTCCTGCTTTCTTTGTGTGCAACTTCTTAAGAATTTGGCAAAGTAAACAACAAAGCAGCAATATTTCATAGGGTTTAAACTTCCCTTTGGTCCTGGATAGAAAGGATTTTTTTTTTTTTTTTGAGACGGAGTTTTGCTCTTGTAGCACTGGCTAGAGTGCAATGGCGCAATCTTGGCTCACTGCAACCTCTGCCTCCTGGGTTCAAGGGATTCTCCTGCCTCAGCCTTCCGAGTAGCTGGGATTACAGGCACCCACCACCACGCTGGCTATTTTTTTTGTATTTCTCAGGAGAGACAGCATTTCACCATGTTGGTCAGGCTGGTCTCGAACTCCTGACCTCAGGTGATCCACCCACCTTGGCTTCCCAAAGTGCTGGGATTATAGGCCTGCCACCTGGATCTATTCTTCTCCCTGCTCCTGGCTTTTTCAATCCAGTCACAAAGAGGCCTTTGAAATTGATGCCTGCCACCACACCTGGCAGAAAGGATGTTTTTGTTTCTTCTTTTTCCTGTTCCTTTCTCTGCAATCATCTCTCTGAGTCTCAGACATGTGGCACTGGTTGGCTGGCAGCACCTTCTGTGTGTCTGAGCCCTTACATAGCTTCCAGAGGAAGGGGTGCTCCGTTGGGGTCCTGCCTGCTTTTGGAGCATTAGAATCTCCTTTTTTGCAAGCCTCTGTCTCCCATCATTTAACACCCAGCTGTGTCTCTCTGCCCACTGACCAGAATCTTTTCGCAGTAGGTGGGTTTTAAAAAGCACTCACCAGAACTCCCAAATGCTAGGGTCTCATGGCCCCTCAAAAACTCATTACCTTCTCTTTGGGATCCTCAGACCTGGCAGGAACCTCACATAGGAAGAAAGGCAGCCAGGGAGCAGGCAGTGAGGACAGGTTGTAATCAGGCAGTTCTGGCTGGGCATAAAGTCTGCTCCTGCTGAAGGCAAGCTGCTCAACACTGCACTGGACATCCTCCATGTGTGGAATCTAGGCAAAGCAGCTCTGTCCTCTATTAACAAATAACTGAGCCTGGGCAATCTGTTACTTCAACTGTCCTTTCAAGCCAGGCTTTGCAGTAACAGGAATTTGAGGTCCAGCATGCAGAGACAGACCTAAGTGTGAGCCTCTGCTACTTATGAGCTGTGTGACCTGGGGCAAATTACTTAACCTCTCTATACCCTATTCCCTTCACTTGTGCAATAAGAATAAATAATACCACACACTTCGGAGGCATGGCGTAAGACTCAAATGACTAATATAGGGATAGTTCAGGGGCAGATACACGGTTGGAAAGCACACTAGAAATATCAGTAGAATCTGAATTTTCCCCTACCTGCCTCCTTGTTTTCACTACAAATAACATTTCCTTTCCTGCTTTTAAGTCAAGAGGGGAACACACTGATTCTTTAGCAGACAGTTTAGCACACACTTCAAGCCAGAGAGTGTACCAGCAATGTGGATTCAGAAATAAATATGATGGGAGCCCTGCTCTCACAGGATGGGGTTGGGGGTGGGGGATAAAGTCCCAAGGGAGTTGGACAGTCTCCAGATGGGTAGTCACTGCTGGGCAGAAACACATGAGGGAAGTGTCAGGAGCCCGAAAGAAGCTCTGAACAGGTTGGAACACGTTTTCTGGAGGATGGGACATTGAAACTGAATCACCTACAATGTTGAAGGCAGATGGTAACCTAAGAAAGGTAAAGCCTTGTTAATCAAATCAATTCTTTTCACTTTAACTGTATTGGAAAGATACTTTAAAAAATCTTCATAACAACTGAAGCTCGATGATGCCTTGATTCTGCATTAACATCCTTGCCCATTTCTTGATACATTTTCAATTTACCTTCATGGTAATTTACACTCAAGGAAGCTGTCCAAGATATGCGGGGGATTCAATAAAATAGGTCATGGAGTTAAATGCTGTGGTGAAACACAGGGCTTAATTTTATGGATAAAATTTAAACTGCTTAGCTGCCTTTTTTGCATTATTCATGTTAAGACTAATGATTACTCACTAAATGGGAAGGAATCACTGTAGAAATCAGGAAGCCATTTTCTTAATTCTTTAAGCACATCTGATGGAGCTGTGGACTCTGCCCTTGAGGTTAACAGCATTGTATTAGGGAAGAGACCTGCTTGGCCCACCAGTCAACCTCCCTTGCCTGGGCTGCTCCTGAAACTGCTACAGGAACAGGAAACTTGAAACAAGATTTTTTCCTAAAATTGACATTGGGTAGAATGAACAGGATAGAAGACAATATATTAATGTCAGTTCCTTCTGGTATTTTTCAAAGTGAAGTCTGCATTGATGTCATTGACAAAAATGCAAATTCCAGATTGTAACCAAATCTGCTTACTGGCAGTGAGGTTTAGGCACTTTAATTATTCACAAGCATCCCAGGCAATTCTTATGTGCTAGTGGAGAACCACAGATTGGCATTGGCTATAGAGAGACCACTTCCTTTCAGTCATCCAAGGTTATTTTATTAACTTAGCACTGGGCTCCAACGTAAACAAGGGCTACTTTTCTATAATGATCAAATTACTAATTTTATAAGTATAGAATAAAAGGATATGGGTTTCTTAGATTGTAAATGTTTGATGTAGTTAATGCAATTTCATTTTTGAGGTTTGTTTCTAATAATACTCTTAATTTACATGTCTAATGGATTCCTTGTACACAATTCTGATCATGTAAATTTAAGATGATCTTTTCCACTTTGCAATACAAGACATTTAAAATAACCTAAAGTTGCCCATTCTCACTAAGCACCTGAAAATTAGTCCCTGTGGGGAAACTTTTTTCAAGTTTTATTTTTCTTTTTATTTCAAGTGTTGTTTATATTGTTTCTCTAACTGTTCTACCTAATGATTGATAGGCACCTACCTTCCCCAAAGAAAAAGGGTTAAGTGATCAAATATGTTTGGGAAACACGAGGGCAAACAAAGTGAAACAGACTTTTACTGCAGATTGCGGATCCTTTGAGAGCCCTTAATGTGCACAGTAATTCTCCAAGAAGGGGACAGAAGTCCCTGGGCTTCCCATGCTTGTTTAGTTTTTATGGATCCCTCTGCTGGATGAGTGTTCACAGGACCACACTTTGTGAAATACTCAGTCAGCTCTATCAGCAAATTATATCACGGGAATTGGTTACTTTCATTTGGATGCTTTGCCCATGTTACCCAGACTTAGGAAAATATTTTACAATTTGGGGTGTATATGAGATATTTGGGGGCATTTTCTCCAATATCAACTTCCTGCTTCTGAAATTCAGGTTAAAACACTGACCTAAATTACGGAAATCACAATCTCCTTCACCATCACCAACAGTGCCACCATCATCAAATCATGATCAGCATCGACCAACACGATGATTCCCACTACCACTATCACATTAATAGCACCACTACCATCCTACCGTGCCCAGCGAGACAACTGCCATCACGGTCACTATGACCAACACCATATTACCACCGCTGCCACTAATATGCCTCATTGCTATGCCAATAATCACTAACAGCATTACCACCACACTCCAACTAACCAATGCTGCTGCCATCATTACTGCCATGATCTGTACTACCACCACTGCCACTAGTGCAAACATCACCACTACTGCTGTTAAAGCAGCCACCACCACTGCACCCACTGTCGCCACTGTCCTTTCCACATCCAGATGAAGAAAGAAGAAGAGATAGAAAGCATAGTTTCATTATTCTAGGTCATATTCAAAGGTTGGTCACTAGATATAATTGCACATATGTTCCCCTAGTTACTATGGCATCCCAATAGCCATCAAGTGGAACCAGACATGGTATCATAGCAGAATCCTGAGGTCTAAGGTCTAGTTTAAATAAGACTTCTGATCCAAGGTAGGGGTCCCTCAATTACCTCTATGACAGGAGGCAAAGATGTCACACACGACTGCATGTCAGCTAAACTCATTGGAAGATTCATTTCTGCCTTCATAAATGTAGACACTGGGCTTCAGCTAGTTGTAAGGGAGCAGCCCCTGGTGCAAGCCACGTAGCAACTAGAGGGGCTTTAAAATCAGCACAAAATTAAGTTTTATTGCTGCTTTGAGGAATGTTCAGGTTGGTGGGAGGGGATTACAGCAGACAAGTGTTTAATTTACTCAACTATATGCTCAAGTTTATGTAACTGAGCTATTTTAAAATTACATTTTATGTATGCATTGCTGTATATATTGCACATATATAAATGTACAATAATAATAAAGAGTGGCATATATGAGTCTCAGGAATTGTGCCAAAGGCTTTACATATACTCTCTTTAATCCTTTTAACTCCTGTATGAAAGGAGTGTGACTGTCATTCTCATTTTCCTAATGAACAAACTGTGGCATGAAGAGGTTAAATAATTAGCCTAAGCTTACAAAGCTAATTAATTGTAAGACTAAGATCTAAACCCAGGTAGTCTGGTTCCAGGGCCCATGATCTTAACCAACACTCTACATTTTAACACACTGTCTGCACATTGTCTACACACAGATGCAGTGTGTGTACATCAGTTGTATAAATATATCATCTTGCATGAAGTAATTTAAGGGATGTTCAAGGATATTGTTGATTATATGCAATTTATCTCATGTGCTGATTTTTAAGCCTAGTCCCAGAGGAAATGCAAGTTCACTGAAATCTAAGGGGGGAAAAAAGACACGAAAAACCAACAAGTGCAAAGCAGTGTGGTGCAGAATGTGGTGGCAGAGCAACAACCACTCTCAGCAAAATCCTCATTAATTCATGCCAGTAAGTATGCAATGAGGAACTGCAGTATGCAGGGCACTGGGTGGGGCGATGCCAGCCCTCCTGATCCTTATCCCATAACTTATCAGGTGTGTTCAAGTTCTTAGTGCGTCTCAAGAAAAAATATCTCAGGTTCGAATTGCTGCAAAGTTTTTCAAGCACATCCACCGATAGCAAGACCCACTGGAGGCAGATCAGCGATGAGTCTGAGGGCGGCACAAAGGGTGCTACCAGGTGATCACCAGTCCTTCCTCCTCATCCTTATTCATTCCTTAGACATCTTGATATTAGAAATTATTGGTTTGTGAATGCACCTATTGTTAACTCTTTCAATATACAAATACATGCAAACATATGTATATTCTACATATATGGACAGGCACAGATTTTTTTTTATGTTGGGCTCCCTCAAACAGAATTAATCTGTGAGGGTATAAACCCACTTCACAATGTCCACAGTGGGGCCAAAACCGCTTTTGAGGTGATCAACTCTATGCTGGGAGCAGGGGAGTTCTGGGCTGAACTCAAAGATGCTTTTCAGCTCTAAAGTACCATCATCATCTTCATCCTCATCTTCCTTTTCTCTTAAGTGCCCAGAATGTGCCAGGCTCTGTGCTGTTTACAGGGTTTATATTCTCACAAAAATCTCAAAAGCCAATTGCCAGAATTTCTCTAAAGTTTCTTAATTGGTTTGGCACAAGCTGGAAATGGTAGTGCTTGGATTTGAAAGCAGGCCCATTTGCCTGGCTTTGAAGTTTTTTTTTTATGTTTTTGGTGCTTGTTTTTACCATACTACGCATCTCTTAAATTCTTTGTCCCTAAAATGGGGGAGGGGGCAATAATGCCAACCTCATGGGATTGTTTTGGCAATTAAATAACAATGTAAAATTCTTTTTGTAAAATTTAAAGAGCCATGCACATATAACATTACTATTATTTTGGCTTCATGTGATTTTTTTTTTTTTCTGTAACAAATTTACTTAAATATCTAGATAATGACTTCAAGAAAATTGTCTTCCTTTGTAATTCTACATATTTTATTTTTAAATAATTTTAGACTTATGAGTGTTTTAAAGATAGTACAAAGAGTTCCCATATATCCTTTATTCAGCTTCTACTAATGTTAATAACTTAAATAACCATGGTACAGTGATCTGAACCAGGAAACTAACATTAATTCAACACTGATCTAGAGACATCATTTCTATTTCCCTATTGTTCCACAGTTCAATCGAGGATCTCACATTGCACATAGTTGTCCTGTATCTACAGTCTCTGCTAATCAAGGACAGCTCCTCAGTCTTCAGCACCTGGGCTTTTACAAAGAGCACTGGTCAGTTATTTTGTAGAACATCCCTCAGTTTGGTTGGTGTTTTCTCATGATTAGATTAAGCTTATTCACCTTAGGCAAGAATACCTCAGAACTGATGCTGTGCTCTTCTCAATACATCCTACATCAGAGGGTACATGATGTTGATTTGTCTTCATTTTGGTCATATTAACTTTGATACTTGGTTGAGTGGTATATTCTAGATTTCTCCACATAAGTTAGTATTTCCCCCTGCGTATCTGTAAATAATATGTGTCCTGTAAGAAAACACTTTGAGATTATGTAAATATCCTGATTCCCATCATATTTCACCTACTAATTTTAGCATCATTGATGATTCTGCTCTGTAACAATTATTACTGTTAAATTAGTTTGTAAAATAGTTATTTTCTATTTCTGACATTCTTTCTACAATATTAATTAGTATTCTACCGTAAGGAAGGATTGACCTTTCTCCTGCATTTCTGTATTCATCTAATCATTTATTTTTGTCAATATGGATTCATGGGTACTTATTTTATTCTGTGGGGTGTAATCCCTTCTCATTATGTATTTTGTTCCTCAAATTATCCCAGATTTGCCCAATGAAAGCTCCTTTAAGTTGGCTCCTGTGGCTTTTTTACATTCTCCCATCATTTAAGCATTTCCTTGCTTTCAGAACTGCAAGATGTTCAGGCTTATCTTGTAAGCTCCCTGCCCCAGCCCTGGAATCAACCATTTCTCCAAGGAGCCCTGGTTTCTTTTATTGAAGAATGGCATTTAGAAACCAAGGGGACTAGCTGTACTCATTGCTACTGGGGTTTCATGGTTTCTAGGCCCTCTTAGAAGGCAAAGCTAGAAAATTTTATATAAATATATAATTATATTAATTATATCTGCAACTATCTATATCTATCCTCAAATGTGTACACACACCACTCTGTACTTATTTCTAAAACTATCCATCTGTATACATATTGAAAACTGTTCATACTGAAACCTCCAATTCCAATACAACACCAAAGAGTTTATTTTAGCCTCCACTCCTTTATTCATAATTCCTTTCTTCAACTTAAGAAACCTGGCTCCATTATCTACAATCATTTACTCAATCTTAGTACTTACATAAAATAGTTTCAAAATTGCTCATCCACACCCCTGTGGAAAACAAATTACTAACTAGTGAACAGGACTTGTGTACACCTTTTCTTGTCCTTAGCCTTGCAGTATCCAATCACAATGCTGCTTTCCATATTACTGAGGTTATTTTCTTTCCTACTGCCCTCAGTGTGGCTATGTATTCATTTGTAATAGAGCCAGGCTCATTTGTTACTATTTGCATTTCATCTTGGGTTCCCCTTGCCTCCTGATTGGCTTTCATTGTATATTTAGTTTTCTGGCATGTGATCCCATTGTTCCAATAGTCAGAGCTATATAAAGAGGAACACTCAGAGAAGGGTCTCTCTGCCCTCATCCTATCTTCTACCCCTTTGCCATTTCCCCATTCTTTCTATTCTGTTCCCATCTACCCGTTGTAAGCCACCAATTTCATTAGTTTATAAAATCTATTCTTAAATGATTTTGTCCTTTTAAGATTTATTTTCCCTATAATTATCAGTAACTCATAAATTTCCCCAAGGCCTAACTCCGTCTTGACAACCCCATCTTTAGGAATATTTATACAGACACATCTATTCAATTCACTTTAATTAATGTCTTTGTGCTGCTGGGAATTTTACCTCACTCTGTTTTATCTGAGGCATCCTGGGTTTTCTGAATGCTCTTTGCATGGTTTCTCTTTATGGTCTGTTTAGCAAAGAAGCCAACTGCTGGTTCTCCACTCTGAATGATCATCGCTTCCCATTTGGAAGACAAAGATGGTTACTGGCCTTGGCATATTAACCCTGGAGCTGCCTCCTCAGGAAGTGAAGAGTTGGGCTTGGCTGGCTGGTATAGCAGCAGCGACAGCAGCAGAGACAGCATGGCCTGCTCAGAAGGGGCGCCCTAGTTGCCAAGGATGAGGGCACTGGCTTTGCACTCTTTGAGACTGGGGCTTTACCTAACAAACACTTGCAAAACTTATTACCCCTCCAGTCCTCAAGTTTCCTTGTACCTATAGAATAGGAATGTTAAAACTTACTTCACACAACTGTTTTGAGGATGAATTGGCTATTTGAAAACTTGGGCACTGGAAGAAGTCCAGTGAAGGACAGTGTCACTTCCGCTGTTCACCCTTTCATGCTTAATTAACATTTAATTAATCAAATATGTTGTTTCTTTTTGTATTTTTTTAACTGAGATAAATGTAGATTTACATATAGTTGTAGAAATAATACAGAATTATCCCGTGTACCCCTTACCTAGTTACCCCCAATGGTAACATCTTGCAATATTATACCACAATGTCACAACCAGGATATTCAGATAGATGTCATCCACTGATCTTACTCAAAATTCACTCATTTTCCATACAGTCCTTTGATTGTGTGGTAGTTCTGTGAAATTTCATCCCATCTGTAGTTTTCATGTAATCATCGCCACAGTCAAGGCACAGAATGCTTCACTTCCATCACTATAAGGAACCCTTGTGTTGCCCTTTTATAACCACACCCACTTCTCTCCTGTCTCCCAAACTCCATCTCTAATCCCTGTTAACCACTGATATGTTCCTTACTTACACAATTTTATCATTTCAAGAAAGTTACAGATATTGAATCACATAGTATGTAACCTTTTAGGATTGGTGTTTTTCACTCAGCATTATTCCCTGGAGATCATCCAAGTTGTTGCACGAATGATTTGTTTCTTTTATTGCTGGGGAGTAGTCTATGGTATGGATGTATCACAGTTTAATTATTCGCCCCTTGAAGGACATTTGGGTGGTTTCTAGTTTCTGGCTATTGTAAATGAAACTGTGATGAACGTTTGTGTACAGGTTTCTGTGTGAACACAAGTTTTCATTTCTCTGGGATAAATGCCTGTGAGTGCAACTGCTGGGTCATATGGCAATTGCATGTTTAGTTTTACAAGAAACTGCCAAACTGCTTTCCAGAGTGGCTGTGCCATTTTAAATTCCCTCCAGCAATTATAAGAGGTGCAGTTTCTCGGCATTCCTTCCAAAATTTGATGGTGTTGCCATTTTTTATCTTAGCCATTTTGGCAGGTGTGTAGTAATATCTTATTGTGGGTTTTACGTTGCATTTCCCTAATTGTTAATGTTGTTAAATATTTTCTCATGTGCTTATCCGCTATCTGTGTATCCTCTTCGTGAAATGGTTCTTCATGTATTTTGTTCATTTCCTGATTGTGTTTTGTTAAATTTTTAAAGTTCTTTAGATATTCTAAACACTAGTCCCTTGTCGGATATGTGGTTTGCAACTTACTTGTTTTTTTTTTAAGAGACAAAATCTTGCTATGTTGCCCAGGCTGAAGTGCAGTGGCTATTCACAAGTGCTATCCCACTATTAATCAGCCCAGGAGTTTTCACCTGCTCTGTTTCTAACCAGGACCTGTTCACCACTCCTTAGGCAACCTGGTGGTCCCCCACTCCCAGGAGGTCACCATACTGATGCAGAACTTAGTGGATCAGCACAGTGCACTACAGCCCAGAACTCCTGGGCTCAAGCGATCCTCCTGCCTAAACCTCCAGAGTAGCTGAGACTACAGGTGCACACATTAAGGAATAAGACAGTAAAACTAAATAAGCAAAAAATAAAACAAATATATGTATTTGTTTTAGTTTTTTATTTGGTTGGGGGAAAAGAGAAGAGGATGGGAAAAGAGGGGAAGAGGTGAGAGGTATCATAATTAGCAAATATATGAGTAATGGTTCCCCATTTTTCATAGCATTGTGTATATCAGCAGTAGTGAGGCAGTGAATTCCAGAATACAGGGGTCTCATGAAGTGTCTGAGGGCCTCAAAATAAAGCACACTCATCTGCAAAGTGCTGTTTATCCCCTGACCTGGTGCAGTCAAGTCTGGTGCTAGAGGACATGCCATGAAAATTTCCTTCTCAGAGACCCTTTCAAGATCTGTTTCATTTAAACCATATCTCAAGATAGACATATTAAAAAGAAGGAAAATGCTGTTTGTTATTAAATCAGGAAAGCATTTTAAAAGAATTTGGAATCTAACATGTGTAGCCTCAAATCCTTGAAGCCTCACATGATATGAAAAAAAATTATCTTGGTTCAAAACAATTGTTGGAGTAATTCAACATTCTTAAAACTATCTTCTCCAGAAAAATCTTTTAAGTTAGAAATGTGAAAATGAATAGTTTTTCAGACCAGGCTGGAGAATTTTCCATGAATATATATTAAAATCACTATATTTGATTAATAAACATCCGTGTGAGCCCAAGATTAAAGCAACATGCTGAGCTTATATAATATTTACTCATGCTCTTGTGGTATCTCCTAAAGCCCAGAAGACCCAGAACTGGGGCTGTCACTGCCTTAAATAGAATTATCATAGCTTAATTTCCCCCTTATCTCAGATTGTACTGCACCACCTTATCATATGCATTTAATTCTCTCCATATTCACTGTGCAATAGAGAATTCAAATTAAAATCACCAAGGTAGCAAAAGTGATATACATCACATTGGACACTGATAAGACATTTTTATTTAACACAGAAAATTGCTGGTGTAAATGATATTACAATAAATATACTTCAATTTAAAATGCAAGTCACTGAGAGGAAAAACTGGGAGCCATAAAATACCTTTCCTCTCCTCAAGGTTGTCCAAAGTTGGTGAGGATGGGGGGGGTGGTGGTGTTAAGAAAAGGACAAGGCTTTGGACTGGGTTGTTATCTTTACGATGCAATTTAATCTGGGATGCCACAAGCACGTGGGGCAGGATCGTTAGGAAATAACATCATAAAGAATCAAGAAAGGTCTAAAAGAAAACAGGAGAAACTGTCTTGAGGCTTTCTTTCTTCCATGCATAGTTATAAGAGTATTATGTTAACCTGTCTGGTCATGGCCACAGGAATAGGAGATGCTTTAACGAAGTGTTGAGTTGGGGCCCACTCAGGATGCAAGAAAAGAGACCAAACATATATTGCATGGGCTAGACAGTTTATGTAGATCATCATATTTAATCCTTAAAATAAATAACCCTGTATGATGAGGATATATTATTCCTAATTCACAATTGAGGAAACACAAGCTAGAGAGATGGGGTAAATTGTTCAAGGTCATACAGCAAGTGAGTTTGACACCAAAATTTGACTCCAAACCTAGTGATCTCTTTCTGTGACACCATGGTCACAAGGAGGGGAGCATGCGCCCTCTGAAGTTCACCAAAATTCTGCAGTTCTTTCTTTTGTGGGTTGTGGCATCTAAGGGAAAGCAGAGATAGAGAAGAGAATCCCAAGACCCAGGAGCAACCAAGTGAGAGCTAAGCTTAGCTGGGCAGTGAGCCAGGGCTGGGTGGGGGGCTTTGTGTTGGCAGGCTGCCAGGCATGGCCTCCTGTATCCTGCCCGTGACAGGACAGAGATTTGGCTGACAGCACATCTGTGCCCATTTCTGCTCCACAAATCAAGAGAACTAGTACTCTTCTTTCTGGGGGTATCTGTTGAGTCGATCATAAAAAAACAATAGAGGGGGGCTGGACGTGGTTGCTTACGCCTGTAATCCCAGCACTTTGTGGGGCTGAGGCGGGCGGATCACCGGAGGTCGGGAGTTCGAGACCAGCCTGACCAACATGCAGAAACCCTGTCTCTACTAAAAATACAAAATTAGCCAGGTGTGGTGGCGCATGCCTGTAATCCCATCTACTTGGGAGGCTGAGGCAGGAGGATTGCTTGAATCCGGAAGGCAGAAGTTGCGGTGAGCCGAGACTGTGCCATTGCACTCCAGCTTGGGCAACAAGAGCAAAACTCCGTCTCAAAAAAAAAAAAAAAATGCATAGAGGATACATTCTGGAGACCATAGTTTGGGACTCTGAACGTGAACTAGAGCAAAATCAGGGAACCGAGTCTAAAACTGATAGTTTCTGATTGCTTCGAAAAAGAGAGGACTGCTCATGGCTAGCAAGAGTTCACTCAGAATAAGTCATTTTCCTACTCGGTAGAGTTTCCAGATGAGCAGGCAAGCAACAGCCATGAATACAGAACCTTATCCAGGCATTTGACAAGGTGTCACAAGATCACCTTGGCAATGAGGTGGGAAATGTATGCTGGACCAGGCTGCAGGCAAATGGAGTTGTATTCTCCCTGTATTCTGCATGCATTCCAGTATGCATTTGGACCAGGTTGCAGGCAGGTAGTCTAAATGCATGCATCCCTCTTCTGGTGAAGTGGGCCTGAATGCTCAGAGTCAGCAAGTCCTATCACTGGATGAGGATCTGGGCTGAGAATCAGGTTGCTGAGAGATTCTAGCAGTTGCTTTTCCACAGGGTGTCTGAAGATTCCTTGCTAAGGCTCCTCCCATGGCCTAGTAAGCACATGGTGAGCGAGTTGGTTAAAGACTTTCCAAAACAGCATGGTACTGGTACCAAAACAGAGATATAGACCAATGGAACAGAACAGAGCCCTCAGAAATAATGCCACATATCTACAACTATCTGATCTTTGACAAACCTGACAAAAACAAGAAATGGGGAAAGGATTCCCTATTTAATAAATGGTGCTGGGAAAACTGGCTTGCCATATGTAGAAAGCTGAAACTGGATCTCTTCCTTACACCTTATACAAAAATCAATTCAAGATGGATTAAAGACCTAAATGTTAGATCTAAAACCATAAAAACCCTAGAAGAAAACCTAGGCAATACCATACAGGACATAGGCATGGGCAAGGACTTCATGTCTAAAACACCAAAAGCAATGGCAACAAAAGCAAAAATTGACAAATGGGATCTAATTAAACTAAAGAGCTTCCGCACAGCAAAAGAAACTACCATCAGAGTGAACGGGCAACCTACAGAATGGGATAAAATTTTTGCAATCTACTCATCTGACAAAGGGCTAATACCCGGAATCTACAATGAACTCAAACAAATTTACAAGAAAAAATCAAACAACCCCATCACAAAGTGGGTGAAGGATATGAACAGACACTTCTCAAAAGAAGATATTTATGCAGCCAAAAGACACATGAAAAAATGCTCATCATCACTGGCCATCAGAGAAATGCAAATCAAAACCACAATGAGATACCATCTCATACCAGTTAGGATGGCAATCATTAAAAAGTCAGGGAACAACAGGTGCTGGAGAGGATGTGGAGAAATACGTACACTTTTACACTGTTGGTGGGACTGTAAACTAGTTCAACCATTGTGGAAGTCAGTGTGGTGATTCCTCAGGGATCTAGAACTAGAAATACCATTTGACCCAGCCATCCCATTACTGGGTATATACCCAAAGGATTATAAATCATGCTGCTATAAAGACACATGCACACGTATGTTTATTGCGGCACTATTCACAATAGCAAAGACTTGGAACCAACCCAAATGTCCAACAATGATAGACTAGATTAAGAAAATGTGGCACATATACACCATGGAATACTATGCAGCCATAAAAAATGATGAGTTCATGTCCTTTGTAGGGACATGGATGAAGCTGGAAACCATCATTCTCAGCAAAGTATCGCAAGGACAAAAAAACCAAACACCCGCATGTTCTCACTCATAGGTGGGAATTGAACAATGAGAACACATGGACACAGGAAGGGGAACATCACACACCAGGGCCTGTTGTGGGGTGGGGGAAGGGGGGAGGGATAGCATTAGGAGATATACCTAATGTAAATGACGAGTTAATGGGTGCAGCATACCAACATGGCACATGTATACATATGTAACTAACCTGCAGGTTGTGCACATGTACCCTAAATCTTAAAGTATAATAATAATAATAAAAAGAGATGCTAGAATAGCAACTGTAAAGACTGATGAAATTTAAAATATCAATTTGCCTTTAGATGTGTATGTATACATTTATGATATTTTACTAAAAAAAAAAAAAACTTTCAATGTGTCCCTTTCACCTAAAGTCCCCATTCCTTATCAGGCATTTCAGACTCCACGATCAAACCCTGACTACTTCCCTACTTTCTGCTAGTCTACCAGACTCTCTGCTCTCACCAAATCTGTGTTTGGGACTTGCCCATTGAGGAGGCCTCATAGAAACCTACTGTTGCCTCTCTGAGCACAAGGCAGTGAGAGAGACACTGGCCTTGGGCCCACAGACCTGGGTTCTCTTTAGCTTGCTTTCTTCTGGAATAGCTCTTTAGTTTGTCTTTCATGACACTGACATTTTGTATAGGCCAATTATTTTGCAGAATGTCCCTCACTTTAGGCTTGTCTGATGTTTCCTCAGGAGGAGGTACAGGGTACGCCCTTCTGGCAGAACCAGCACAGAAGTTGGGGTGGACCCTCCTCGGTGCATCATATCACAACATACATGAGGTCATTATGTCCCATATTGGTGGTGTTAGCTTTGATCACTTGGTTAAGGTTGTATCTGCTACATTTCTCAGCTGTAAAGATATTTTTTCCTGTGGAATTAATCAGTCTATTGTCAGGAGTTACTTGGTGACCGTGTACATATCTTGTTATTTCAACCTGCTAGTATTAAGATTCATTAGTGATTCTTGCATAAATCAATTATTTGGATGGTTGCTAAATGGTGGTTTTCTGATTACACTATTCCTCCTGCATTGGCATTCTACTGTAAGAAAGAGCCTTCCCCTTTTTTGCATTTGTTTGTTCATTTAATTAACCAATATATTTATTGGTTTTAAATCAGTTTAGACTCATAGACTGTAAATGTATTAAATGAGTTATAATCCCTTATTATTTGTTTTTATGTTCAAGTTGTCCTCAGATTTTATTGGTGGGAGACCTTACATTGGCTGTAGTGTCCCTTTGACATGTGCCATTCTTTGAACACTTCCTTACTTTTTGGTACCACAAAATGTTCCAAGTTTATCTTGTATTTTCCATCCCCAGCCCCAGATTCAACCATTTTTCTAAGGAGCTCTTTTAGTATAAAATGGTACTTAGAAACCAAAATTAGGATGCTGGTTTATATTATGGCTACTGGGGTACAACTATTTCTAGGCTCTCTCAGCAGACAGGGCTAAGATAGCGTTGTATGTGTATCTATATAAATATCCACACACATTTTCTATCTATCTATCTATCTATCTATCTATCTATCTATCTATCTATCCATCCACCCACCCATCCATCCATTTATCCATCTACCCACCCACCGACCCACCCACTGTATCTATCCTTTTTATCTTATCTATTCATGAGTTCACCCTGATACCTTTAATTCCAATCCCATATCACAGGACATTTGTAACTTCTCTCTGTCCACATTTGTAGCTTCTTTCTCCAACAGTGAGATGCGTGACTTCCATTATCTATAAGATATGTACTTATTGCTCAATGCTAGTATACACAGAAAGTAGTTTCAGAATGCTAGCGTGTGTATCAGGAAAAAGAAATCTACTTATTAGAGTAGAATATTTGTTTAGAGTTTAATATTTTGTTTTCCATATTTTGCAGTTGCAAGCAATGCAGCCATCAACAATCTTTCAAACATGAAAATTCCTATTTCTAGCTTCTTGTGTGGGAAATTAGAAGGCATGGCCACTCTCCCTTCTGGACAGGGCATGTATGCTCCCCCAGGGCTGCTTGTCTCAATTGTCTCCCCTTGTTATTATGACAAATAATCTCTCCTTGTTCTTATACATTCAACCTCACTTTACCTGGGTCCTTGCCATTCACAAGAGGACTGTTGCTACTAGCCACCTCTATCTCCTCTTCTCCTAGTCTCTCCTGAATGCATAGCCAATCCAGTTGTCAATACCACTGCTTCAACAAAGCCATTCTCCTAGATATCACCAACAAAGCCATTCTCCCAGATATCACCAACAAAGCCATTCTCCCAGACATCTACATTGCTGAACTGCACAGATGTGATTTTTCAGTCTTCATCTAACTCCAATACTAAATTCTTAACACTTAATGCTGGGGATCCTTCATCTTTTCTGTCTTCTGTGACAGAAACTACTCTGGTTCCTCCTATTTCTTGGGTCTTCTTGAACTTCTTTGTAAGCCGATTCTCCTTTGTAAGGCTGTCAAAGCCTGGGGCTCCTCAGGGCTCGTCTCTCCTTACAGGTCTCTCTCACTCTCTCTGTGATCTCATTTACCCCTAAGGATACCTTCATTTATTACCTACAGGTCACTCATAAATGTCTCTCTCCAGTCTTGTATTCTGATAGGTCTCTCAAACTCAGCAAGTGTGAAGGTAAACTTGTCTGTTCCCCAGATCTGGCCCTCCTTCAGGACTCTCTCTTTCTAGTGGGTAGCACTCTCTCTTCCTCACATTCAATCCATTACCAGGTCAATTTTACCTTCTAATTATACCTTCACTGTCAACTTCTGTTTATTGCCATTGTCACCCTCTCATCAAAAATATTGCTTCAACTCCCTCTGAACTGGTTTCTCTTCATCCACTCTTCTCTCTCTCTGTGTGTGTGTGTATGTGCTGCAGGGTGGACGCATATATTCTCATCCTCTCACAGCTCTAGGATTAAAAAGCACATTTTTCACAAATGGCCTGCAAGGCTGTCATGGTTTGCCTCTTTCTGTGTCTCTTGCTTTACCTACTGCAACATGTCCTTTTGCTCTGTGCCTCCTGGTCACTCCTCAGTGGCCACGTTCTCTTCCAATACAGAGTCTTTGCATATGCACTTTCTTAAGCCAAGAATGTTCTTTTTCTGAATCCCCTGACTCCAGCGAACTTCACCTTTAACTTAAGAAGTACCTCATCATTCTCCTCCAGCTCAGTCCTTAACATTCTCAGAAAAACCTTCTCTGGACCCTCTGTCTGCATTAGAATGTCACACTGTTCACACTGATGGCACTGGGAGCGTCCCCCTGAGTGGCATATGTCACCTTGGTAATTTTTGTCTCTGTGGGATTCAGTTAGTGTTTGTCTATTCCAGAACCACAGAGGCTACTTCTGCTCCCATGTATCCTTGCATCGAGTACAACACCCAACACAGGTGGACACGCAATAAAAGATAAGGTGAATGAATGGAGGCTGCATGGCATGGTGGTTATGTGCATGGATTCTGAGGCAAACTGGCTCTAGTACTTTCTGGCTGTGTGATCTCAGGCAAGTTATTCAATCTCTCTGAGCCTTAGCCTCAGCTTCCTCATCTGTAAAATAGGGAGAATAGCAGTACCCACCTGGTAGGGCTGTTATGAAAATTAAATGAGTTCATGTAATGCACTTAGAGCACTACGTGGCAAACAGAAAGGATGACATAAGTGTTTGTTAAATACAGAAAATAAACAAGTGCTAAATAGTTGTTAACTAAATAAGTATTAACTGACAAAGTTCGATTTAAAATAAACACACGTGGATTATTGCTGAAATACAGGCCAATAATTAAGTTATATTGATTAGAAGTAACTAACTGTCTCAATAACAGTAAACAGAATTTAAATGTAATTCAATCTCTATTAGTAAGTTTGTTGGGAAACTTACTTACACGTTGGGAAAACAAGCATTTACAACTGGGAATACATCCAACATCTTAAGAGAAATGCAGGCTTAAATTCTTAAATATTCAATGAATGCTTTAGGTATGTCCAAAGCTACTGACTAGTCATATGTTGTGCTGAATCATTTTCTGTCAAAAATCAGCAAAATAGGAATAAAAATTCCAAATGAACTTTTTAAAACCACCCACATCCACTACACAAATTCATCCATCAAGCCTTTGAGAATCTTCTCTGTGACAACTTGCATAGCACGTGACACAAGGCAAAGATGTACCCATGATTAAAGAACCACACTGTAAAGTAGAGAAAATCCACAGATAACACACAATTGTACCAGCCTATATCTAATTCCCAAACATTCTTTCAAGTAAAGGAGTGTGAAAAAAACAGCTGGGTTCAACATTTTGTCTCTTGAGCACGGATGACTTTGGCAGTGTATTATTAACAATGAAATCTACAGACGTAAGTTCCTTTTTATATAATGCACACTTTTTTCCTCATAAAGAGGTGTGTTATCACAGGACTAAAGATAGTTAAAAGTTTTGATATATTATAGTGTCTCTGTCAGCTTTTAAGGTTATGTTGTTATTTCAGGAGAAAAAGGAAGAAATCAACAAAGGAAGGACAATTGTAGTTTGAAGAAGGAATGCTTGTGAAAGGGGAAAGAGTGCAAGGCCCAAAAGTAGTTAGTGCTACTGCAGCAAACCAGGAAGATACTATTAATTTCTATTTAAAGTTACTAAACAAACTGTTTCAGCTTAATTTGATTTATATGCAAGTAATATTGAATGAAAATTGTGAATTGTTTTAGTGAAAATACACCCACGGAAGAAAGATTTACTTTTCTTAATGAAAAAAGAAAGCTTGGGACCAAAGTTTCATTCAGACTTAATCATGAGTTGATTCAGATGGAGAATAAAGGCACTGTTTAAATTATCTGTCCTTGGAAAGAAGATGGTTCGGGTTATGGCTCGGTGCACAGATCAGCTGGCTGTGGGTAGCAGTGGGTGATGCCTGGCTGTGCAGAGAAGGAAAATTCACTCCACATACTCTCATGGTGGCAAGTGGGTCCATTCTCCTTTATCAACCTCATCTCTATGCCTGAGTCCTCCCCATCTTGTCAGCCTTATGTTTCTCCCGTGCACTGGAACGTGATTCTCCTCCACTGCCGGGTTTTACCCATGCTGCTTTCTGTGCATATATGCTGCCTAAACTGTGCCTGGCTAAACCTCCTCCAGGGAATTTTCCCTAACTCCAGGTGGAAGATGCCCTTCCTTTGCACCTAGCGCCACAATCACCTGCTACCATGTGGTAGGTCTGTCACCACCTATGCTGTGTAATCCTTTTGGGTAGGGGATGCAATTTAACCAACTCTATTTTCAGCAATAGTGCTTGGAAGATGCAGTAAATATCTGTGGAATGTTGAAAGGTGGCAACCCAATGTACAACACTAACATAGGTAGAAGAGTCCATTCTGAACTCTCAAAAATGACCAAGTACTTTCCAGGGAGGGAGGACTGAAAATAAAGGCAAGAGGGTGATTGAGGTCATATGTGACCAAAACCCCTCTACCTACTAGTATTCCAAATGACAGAAATTATATATAATATAAACATATAATGTATCCAGTGTGATCAATTATCTATGTACGCTGTGGTTATCATGGCCTTTGGGGACCAGGAGTACTCTCTGAAATCTCACTGGGCCATGCCAAAGCTTCTCCTGAGGCTAAAGGAGAGCCTGCAAGTCCATCAAGTGTCTTAATACAGTGTGTAGGTAGACCTGTCTGAGAAGCAGCTCATTCTACAAAGTAGAGTACAAGCCCTGCCCCCTGGTAAATCTCACAACAAAGACAACACCCAAGATGCCAGGGGCCTTTCTGACAAGTGAAGGTTGGCAGGAAAAGGCACTCAGTGGCTAACAGTCAAGCCTATGTTTTATCAAGCCAAGAGGAAGTTATATACCCTCAAAATAACTTTAACGTTATTCTGCTCACTATTTTCAGCTATACAGGGAATACATCCTTTCTCCCCCTGCTAGACTAAGGGTACAAAATTTTTTCCTAAGAGATAAGGACACATTTTATTTTAACACAGCAGCAATAACATTATTGGCCTGAAAACATTTAAACAATAATTTTTAAATACCATCTAATATCCAGCCAGTCTTCAAATTTCTCCAACTCCCTCATGAATATCATTTGATATTTGATTTGTTTGAATCAGGATTCAGATAAGGTCCATATATGGTATTTAGTTTATACGTCTTCTAAATCTCTGTGGAATTTTATAGTTTCCAATTTCTCTTACTATTTATTTGTTGTGTCTTTTGCCCTAAAGAATGTATTGTATCTTATGTATAACTGAAGCAACCTTGTGGAGTCTTTTTTTTTTTTTTTTAAAGTTTGATGTTTTTTACTGAGGTATAACTGACACACAATAAAGTGCATATCTTTAAAGGGTATATTTGATAGGTTTTGACATACGTATATACCCCTGAAACCCACACCACAAGTAAGATAATGAACATAACCATTATCCTCTCTTTTTGCACTTACTGTAGATTAATTTATATTTTCTAGAATTTTATGTAAACAGAATTCATATACTATATACTCTTTTTGGTCTGACTTTTTTCACTTAGCATAATTATTTCAAAATTCATGTCTACTGCTGGTTCATTCCTTTTTATTGCTGAATACTATTCCGTTGTATGCATAAACCACAATCTGTTTAACTATTCACATGTTGATGGATATTTGGCTTATTTCCAGTTTGAGGCTACTATAATTAAAGCTGCTCTGAACATTCATGCACAAGTATTTGCATTTGCTTTCATTTCTCTTGTGTAAATAGAAATAGAATGGCTGAATCATACAGTAATATAGTAAACACACATTTAACTTTTTTTTTTTGAGACAGGATGTCACTCTGTTGTCCTGATATCACCGTCTTATAACTCCACATCTTGTCCCACTAGAAGGTCTGTAGGGGCAGAAATACGCATGGAGCTGTCATCTATGACATTGTGCAGTGGTGCAATCATAGCTCACTATGGTTTTGAACTCTTAGACTCATGTAATCCTCTTGCCTCAGCATCCTGAGTAGCTAGGACCACAGGCATGTACTGCAATGCTTGGCTATTTTTTTTTCCAATTTTTGTAGAGATAGGATCTTGCTATGTCGCCCAGGTTGGGCTCAAGCCATCCTCTCACCTCAGACTCCCAAAGTGTTGAGATTACAGGCATGAGCCATGCAATTGGCCATATTTAACTTTTAAGAAACTGCGAAGTTATTTTCCACAGCCATTCCACTATTTACATCCCCACCAACAGTGTATGAAAATTCCAATTGCTTCAGGTCCTTAGCCATACTTGGTATAATCAATTTTTAATTTTAGTCATTCTAATAGGGGTCCAGTGGTATCTCACCGTGATCTTCATCTGCATTTCCCTAATGCTATTGAGCATCTTTCCATATACTAATATTTCATCCATATGTCTTCTTTGGTGAAGTGTCTGTTCAAATATTTGGCCCAGTTTTTCACTGGGTTATTATTTTGTTTTATTTTGTTTGTCGAGACAGGGCTTTGCTCTGTTGCCTGGACTGAAGTGCAGTGACATGATCTCGGCTCACTGCAAGCCACCCAGGTTCAACTGATTCTCATGCCTCTGCCTCCCGAGTAGCTGTGATTACAGGTGTGTACCACCATGTCCAGCTAATTTTTGTATTTTTAGTAGAGACAGGGTTTTGCCATGTTGGCCAGGTTGGTCTTCAACTCCTGGCCTCAAGTGATCCACCCACCTTGGCCTCCCAAAGTGCTGGGATTACAGGCATGAGTCACCATGCCTGGCCAGAATTTTTTCCTTCTGTCTTACTGCATGTTTGTACCTTTTAACCTAGTTCTCTTCATCCTTCTGCTTCTTCCCTAACTCACCCTTCCCAGTCTCCGTTAACTATCTTTCCACTCTCCACCTCCATGTGTTCAAATTTTTTAGCTTCCACATATAAGTGAGATCCATCTTTTTGTGTCTGGCTTATTTCACTTAAGATAATGATCTCCAGTTCCATCCATGTTGCTGTAAATGACATGATTTCATTCTTTTTTGTGGCAGAATAGTATTCCATTATGTATATATACCACATTTTCATTATCTCTTCATCCATTGATGGACACTTAGGTTGATTCCATATCTTTGCTATTGTGAATAGTGCTGCAATAAACATGTGAGTACTGGTATCCCTTTTATATATTGATTTCTTTTCCTTTGGGTAGATACCTTGTAGTGGGATTGCTGAATCAAATAGTAGTTATATTTTTAGTTTTTTGAGATATCTCCATACTGTTTTTCATAATGGCTGTTCTAGTTTACATTCTCACCAATAGTTTACAAGAGTTCCCTTTTCTCTGCATCATCACCAACATTGGCTATTTTTTGTTATTTTAATAATAGCCATTCTGACCGGGTAAGATGATATTTCTTGTTGGTTTTGATTTGCATTTCTCTGATGATTAGTAATGTTTAGCAGTTTTTCATATACCTGATGGACGATTGTATATTTTTTTTGGGAAGTGTTCTAAACATATCTAAACACAGAAAAGGTACAGTAAAAAACATGGTATAAAAGATAAACACGCCAGGCACGGTGGCTCACACCTTTAATCCCAGCACTTTGGGAGGCCGAGGCAGGCTGACCACAAGGTCAGGAGTTCAAGACCAGCCTGACCAATATGATGAAACCCCATCTTTACTAAAAATACAAAAAAATCAGCCAGGCATGGTGATGCATGCCTGTAGTCTCAGCTACTCGGGAGACTGAGACAGGAGAATCGCTTGAACATGGGAGGTGGAGGTTGCTGTGAGCTGAGATCATGGCACTGCACTCCAGCCTGGGTGACAGAGCAAGACTCTGTCTCAAAAAAAAAGTGTGTGTGTATATATATCATATATATCATATATATGATATATATATGATATATATGATATATATATAAAATGTATATATGATATATAATATATATTATATATATTATATATATATATATATAAACAGTATACTTTTATAGGGCACTTACCATGAATGGAGCTGCAGGACTGGAAGTTGCTCTGGGTGAATCAAGGCGTGAGTAAATGTGAAGGACTACAGTATTACTGTAGACTCCTATAGACTTTATAAACACTGTTTATTTAAACTACGCTAAATTTTTAAAAATATTTTTCTTTCTTCAATAATAAATTAACTTTAGCTTACTATAACTTTTTTACTTTATAAACTTGACAACTTTTTAAACTTTTGGATTCTTTTGTAATTATACTTAGCTTAAAACACAAACATTGTACAGATGTATAAAAATATTTTTCTTCATATCCTTATCCTGTAAGTTTTATTTTTAAATGTTTACTTTGTAAATTTTGTTAGAAATTAAGATACAAACACACAGATTAGCCAAGGCCTACACATGATCAGGATCATCAATATCACCATCTTCTACTTCCACATCTTGTCCCACTAGAAGGTCTGCAGGGGCAGAAACATGCATGGAGCTGTCATCTATGATAACAATGCCTTCTTCTGGAATTCTTTCTGAAGGAGCTGCCTGAGGCTCTTTTACAGTTAACTTTTTTTTTAAATAAACAGAAGAAATAGACTCTAAAATAAGGATAAAAGTATAGTATAGTAAATACATAAATCAGTAACTTAGTCATTTATTACCATTATCAATTATTATGTACTGTATATAATAGTATATGCTAGACTTAATTGGTCGATTGATTGATTGATTGAGACAGAGTCTCACTCTGTCGCCCAGGCTGGAGTGCAGTAGCTCAATCTCAGCTCACTGCAACCTCTGCCTCCCAGGTTCAAGCAATTCCCTGCCTGAGCCTCCCAAGTAGCTGGGATTACAGGTGCGTGCCACCAGGCCTGGCTAATTTTTGTATTTTTAGTAGAGATGGGATTTCACCATCTTGGCCAGGCTGGTCTTGAACTCTTGACCTCCTGATCTGCCTGCATTGGCCTCCCAAAGTGCTGGACAGGTGTGAACCACCATGCCCGGCCTATGCTAGACTTTTTAGACTTTTATATGATTAGTTATGCAGTAGGTTTGTTTACACCAGCGTCACCACAAACACAAGTAATGCCTTGAGCCACGATGCTATAACGTCACTGGTCAATAGGAATTTTTCAACTCCATTACAATCTTATCAGACCACTGTCATACATATGGTCTGTTATTTGCTAAAATGTCATAGTGTGGCAAATTATTGTATTTGTTTTCTTCTGCTTATTTTGTTTTTCATCTGTTCATTTGTTTATTAAAGTGGAAGTTGAAATCATTGATTTGAGACCTTTTTTTCCTAATATAATATTTCGTGCTATAAAACTCTTCTTAAGTACTATTTCAGTGGCATCCTAAATTTTTTATATATTGTTTTCACTTTCATTGAGTTCAAAATGTTTTCTAATTTCCATTTTGATTTCTTCTGTGACCCATGAGTTTTTCAAAGTATGTTATTTTATTTCCATATTTGGGGATCTTTCGGAGATCTTTCTGTTATTGATTTCTAATGTAATTCCACTGTGGTCAGAGAATACACTTTGTATTACTTCAGTTCTTTTACATTTATTGAGACTTTTTTTTTTTTTTGAGACAGAGTCTCGCTGCACTCCCCAGGCTGGAGTGCAGTGGCACGATCTCGGCTCACTGCAACCTCTGCCTCTCGGATTCAAGCCGATTATCCTGCCTCAGCCTTCTGAGTAGCTGGGATTACAGGTGTGTGCCACCACACCTGGCTGATTTTTGTATTCTTAGTAGAGACGGGGTTTCACCATGTTGGCCAGGCTGGTCTCAAACTCCTGACCTCAGGTGATCCACCCACCTTGGCCTCCCAAAGTGTTGGGATTACGGGCATGAGCCACCGCGCCATGCGGAGACTTCTTTTATGGTTCAGAATATGGCTTATTTTGGTAAATGTTCTGTGTGCCCTTGGGAAGGATGTGTATTCTGTGATGTAGGATGCAGTGGTCTATAAATGTCAATTAGGTCAAATTGTTTAATAGTGTTGTTCAAGTCTTCTATTAATTTTCTGTGTGCTTATTCTATTAATTACTGAGAAGAGCATTAAAATAGCTGACTCTAAATGTGGGTTTGTCTATTTCTCCTTGCAATTCTATAAGTTTTTGCTTCTTATGTATTTTGAAGTTATATTACTAAGTGCAAAAAGCGTATTACTTCTGCTTAAAGAATTAACCCCTTTGTGATTATGAAATGACCTTATTTATCCCACGTAATATTCATTCCTCTGAAATCTACTTTCTCTGTATTACTATAGCCACTTCAGCTTTCTTTTAATTAGTGTTAGCATAGGACAGTTTTCTGTTCTCTTACTTTTAACCTATTTGGGTTACTATGGTTAAAGTATGCTTCTTATTTATAGTTGGGTCTTGCTTATTTTATTGAATCTGGCAGTCTGCCTCTTTGCAGAAGTTGTTAGGCTACTTATATTTAATGTGATTATTGATATAGTTAGGTTTAAATCTCTTATGTTGTTTTCTATTTGTCTCATCTGTTTTTTGTTCCCTGTTTCTTCTTTTTCTTCTTTTGAATTAACTGAGTATATTCCAATTCTATTTTACTTCCTCTGTATGCTTATTAACTATAACTGCTTCATTTTAGCAGTTGCATTAGAGTTTAAAACATACCTTTAACTTCTTACAGTCTATCTTTAAGTGATGTTATACCACTTTATGTATACTTCCCTTTTACCCCCTCAGCTTTATTCTAGTGTTATCATATATTTTACTTCTACATAGGTTATAAATCCCACAATGTATTGTTATTTTTATTTAAACTGTTAATTACCTTTTAAAGAAAATCAATAAGAAATCTTATATAATTGCCCTATGTTGTTACCATTTCCAGTGCTCTGTATTCCTGTGTTGGTCCATGCTTCTGTTTGGTATTATTTTCCTTCTGCCTGAAGAATTTAGCATTTTTTGTAGTGCAGGTTTGCTGGTGGTGAGTTCTTTCAGCTTTTGAATATCTGAAAATGCCTTTACTTTGCTTTCGTTTTTGAAAGATATTTTTGCCAGATATGGAATGGATATAGAATTCTAGGTCGACAGTATTTTCTTTCAGTTCTCTAACAATGCTATTACACTAAATTCTCTTTTGGTAAATTCAGTAACAAGATGTCTGCTGTCATCTTTATTTTTGTTCTGTGGTTGCTTTTGACTATTACTGCTTTTGAGAGATTTGATTATTATATTTTTCAGTGTTGTTTTCTTAACGTTTCTTGTGTTTGGAGTTTGTTCAGATAGTTGGATCTGTGGGTTTTCATCAAATTTGGAGAAATTTCAGTTATTATTTCTTCAAATATTTTTTCTAGTTCTTCCTTTGTTTTCCCCTTCTGGGATTCCAATTCCAAGTATATTAAGCTGCTTCAAGTTTTCCCGTATCTCATTGTTATTCTTTCTTTTTTAAAATTTTTTCTTCCTGTATTTTTAGATAGTTCCTATTATTACATCTTCAAGTTCACTAATCTTTTCTTCTGTAATGTCTAATCTGTTTTTTATTCTTTATAGTGTATTTTTCATCTAACAGGTTGTAGTATTTAATTCTAGATGTTTGACTTGGGTCCTTTTATATTGTCCATATCTCTACTTAACTTGAATATATAGCACATAATTATAATAATTGTTTTCAAGTCTTTGTCTGCTAATTCTAATATCTGCATCAAATCTGGTTTGGTTTCCATTGGTTCATTTTTCTCTTTGTTCTGAGTATGGGTAGAGACTTTAAATCTTTTGTCACAGAACACCAAATTGTCCTCAAAATTTATCCTATTACTACCAGTACAGTCCTACTGGTAGTAATAGGATATCACTTTTACTTTTTCAATAAAAATATGTTTCTAAAATAAAGACATTTCCTTTAAAATGAACTAATACTTGTGCATTATTTCTTTGAAGAAATAATTTCCATGTTACTCAAATACTTTTTGCTATGTTAAAAGTAAATAGGGATGGATTCTGGTATAAAAACAATGTCCTTAAAGGCAAACTTTTTACAAACAATATAGAAACACAAAATACATATATGAATACATAATACATTCATAAATATACAAGTAAATAATTTCATATATACTCGATAGCAACAGATACATTATTTATATTCTTTAGAAACAATCATGCAGATTACAAATGTCACTTTACTCCTTTAATAATGAAATAGAAAGTCAAGCAGGTGAAATATCCTCAGATTATATATTTCCAGCTGATTAAATATTCCTGTCAAAGTCATGCCATCTGTATTGGAAATGCCCTATATACAAGATTATTAATTTGTAATAATCTAAGATCTATTCTTTAAAATGAGAAAATGTCAAAATGCCCATTATCAAGCATTTTCTTACCCTCTGAAGAGTATCAGGAGCTTTCTAAGGCACATGCTACCTATTCATCTGGCTGTGTAGGTAGATGTTGGGAGTACCAGGAAGGATGCCCTGATTGTGGCACAGGTTCTGTAGAGGGCCTGTTGTCGTTCATTGCCAATGTGAGGTGGGCAGGGAGGGGAGACCTTGAGATGTGTTCAGCTCTATGGCAAGGGGTATGACTTGTACATATGTCACAAGACTATAAGCATCAACCCTTTGAATATGATGAAAAAAATATGCCACTAGTTATGCTGTGAATAAATTGAGCTGTTTTAATAATAGTGATGCCAGCAGCCAGAAAAGCCCCATGAAGCCTAACCCACCAGTTCTTCTGTTGGACTCAGGGCCCCCTGACTGACCTGTTTGGTGTAGGTGATCTCTGGCCACCTCAAACATGCGCAGGTGCATGTTGGTGATGGGGTTAAAGGAGCCACAGGCCAGGAGCACCACAGGTATTCGGCTCTTCATCTTGTCAGGCACATCCACACCTGTTGCAGTGGCCACCCTGCTTTTATGGGGACAAAAGCTCATGTCAGGGAGTTAGCACTGAGACAATTATCCAGATCAGTCTCTCTAAACCACACACAGACCATTACTTCTCACTTGTAAGATGACTGAGGAGGCCATTAAAACAACGTTTAAGGAGGGTTGGCCATGGGCCATGAAGTATGCCAAGTGCTATGCCAAGGCGTATCCTTCTCTTGCCAAGTCCTTTTTAACGACCCTGAGTGGTTACTCATACAGCTCAGGGACCTTAGAAGCTACTGGGCCAGGACTGGAACCAAGGCAGCCTGATCCCAGAACCCATGTTCTATTCTGAACCTCTATATCCTCCTTGAGCTCTGACAGATCACCACGGGGTCAGAAGGAGGGCTAGAAGACTCCCGTAGTGCCATCTCTGGTAGTCCTAATAGATCTCACAAGGTCCTAGAGTAGATTAGCACTTTTAAAACACTTTTTATTTTGAAACAATTTCAGACTTATTGGAAAAAAGTTACAAAATTTATACAAAATGTTTTATACTCTTTATCCAGATTCCCCAATGTTAACATTTTACCACACTTGCTTTATCACTCTCTTTCCACACACATACATACCTGTTTATAAATATTTTTTCTGAAATGTTTGAGAGTAAGTCATAGACATAAAATCTCTTTACTTCTAAATACTTCAGTATGTGTTTTCTCAGAATGAATACACTTTGTTACATAACTGCAGAACAATGATTAAAATCAGGAAACCAACATTGTTACTGGACTATTATCTAATGTGCAGACTGTATTCTGATCTCACCTATTGTCCTTTATCTGGGGCCCAAGCATTTTGAGAGGGTGCAGCCCACCCTCTGGTCTCACCCTGTTGAGGTTAAAGGTGAGAAGGAAACAGCCCAGGCTCCAGGGCAGGCTGGCAGACACGGCTCTCTTGCCTCTGAGATGCTGCCTCCTCGAGGTGGGACTTGGTTGACCCCTAGTTCTACCTCTCACTGGCTGTGAGGCCTAGGGCAAATCACAGACCCTCTCTGAGCCTCAGGTTTCTAACCTGCAAGATGGGGATAATGTTACTTACTCTTACAAGGTTATAGTGAGGATAGTTACATATGGAAAGTGCCTGATACGTAAGAAGCATTTAATAAATAATCACTGTGGCTGTGGTGATGATGATGACAATGGTGAGAAAGGTGCTGCTACTGCTGACCCTAATGGAGCAGGAGGAGAAAGGAGATGGTGGTGTGTCTGTGGTAGGCAGTGTTTAAGATGGCTCCCAATGATCCTTTTAGTATTCACTGGTAATCTCATCCCTTAAGTATAGGCTGAAACTTGCTTACAACAAACAGAATACAGCAGTAGTGGTTACCACTTCTGAGATAAGGTTACCAAAGGCCCCTGGCTTCCCTCTTGCTCACCTCTTTTGCTTTCTTACTTGCTCACCCTGATGCAGCCAGCAGGCAGGTTGTGAGCTGCCCCGTGGAGATGCCCATGGGCCCAGGAAGTGAGAGAGACCTCTGGTGGCCAACAGCCAGTGAGGAACTGGATCTGCCAAAAACTATGTGCATGAGTGTGGGTGTGATCTTTCCCCAGTCAAGTTTTCAGATGTGATTGCAGCCCTGCGAACACTGACTGAAGCTTTATAAGATAGGCTTTATAAGTTAAATTATATCTGAATTCACGACCCACAGAAACTGTGAGATAATAAATAAAAATAATAAATAAATGTGTTATCTTAAGCTGCTACATTTTGATGTAATTGGTTATGCAGTAATAGATAATACAGAAACCAATGGGAGGAATGCATTTATTGCCTTTATTATTCATCTTGCTGTGATGGTCTTAGCTGTAATCCTGCAGTTCTGGGGGCAACATGTAGAGTGCTCAGTCACAGGAACCTGGGACCCTGCTTATATCAAAGGAAACTGTTTCAATTTGGCCCATGTTATCTCCTTCTCCAGGCTTTCATCCAGTTTCCTACTTTATATTCTAGCAACAATGAACTACCTATTAGGACTTCTTTGTGAGATCTTCATGGCTTCCTGCTTCAACCTTCTGTACAGGCTATTTTGGTTTCCTCCAACCAGAAAACCCCCCGGCACATCCCAATATGTTAAGATCCAATTCATATGATCACATTATTTATTACTTCATCACTATTTATCAATTACCTGCTAGGTACCTATATCAGTTAGGGATATATTAGCTGCAAATACCAGAAGCCTAACCTCAGTGGTCTAAACAAAGAGAGGTTCATTTGTTTCTAACATGACAAAAAGTCTGGAAGTAGGCACCTAATGACATGAAATCATGGGCTCAACAATGACCTACAATTCTTTCAGTTTCTGTCTCATGGTCACATCATAACCTCAATAAAGGCAAGAAGGAGGAGCAAGAAGCTGTACTAGATTGGCTATTCCTCTTAATCAAGAACACAAGAGCTTTTTTAGAACCTCCTGTAGATTTTGCTTCTGTCTCATTGGCCAGAACTAGGTTACATGGCCACTGTAGCTACAACAGAGGCCAGAAAAGGCATCTATTTAGCTTGACAGCCTCTCCAGTGAGAACAGTAAGGGAAAGGGGATTGGAAACTGGATTAACTAATTCACTGTGGCTGCCACAGAGTTGGGGATACAAGTGTCTGGGACTTGGGAGGGTGGAAGGCTGCTGAGATGGCTTCTTTGACATCTAGCTTAGGTTAACTCATCTCTGACTTACCTTTAATAAACCACAAGCGACATTTTATTGAAAAAGCCTGCTTATGTGTCTTTCCTATCCACTGGACAGTAAACCCTTTAGGAAGGGAAGTGGTGTTTTCTCCTTCTTGGGATTTCAGCTCGAAGCACAGAGCCTGGCCCAGAGTAGGGATCAGTGAAGACTGAAACAGGGCACTGGCAGGCTGGAGGGCATGTACTCTGAGCTACAGTGTGAAGATGAAAAGCTCTCAGCCTAGGCGGGCCGTGGTCTCTCCATACTTCCTTTGAGGCAGCAGGAATACCCCCAACTGTGTGGGAAGAAAGCAGTCAACAAGCTGCTGCTAGCTTTTTCCCAGGGAGGTTGGATGGTTTAATGAGATATTTGCAAAGTGTGCCAAGCTATTCACAAGAGCAGCCTCGTGATGACTGTATCTGAAAAGGTGGCTGTTTTTTTTTTACAACTGTTATGAAGTCTTTCAAAATCCTGTTTCATTTTGACAAAATATACATTGTTAGCACCATTAAAATATGTAACAGCATCTCAGGTAACCTGGGGCTCTCATCCATTTTTCCAAAAGTTCCCAGAAACTATAAATTAGAACAATTTGTTTGAATGGTGGCATCAACAGCAATGAAGTGTGATGCTGAGAAGGAGAATAAATGACCTTTAATAAGTGCCTCTCTTTCTTTTTTTGCTGTGGGCATACTGAGCCACACTGTTCTAGTGGTGACTGTGCTATGTCTGGGCCATATCGCAGGCTGAAGGACACAGGAGTGCACATTCCCAGGATCAGTAACAGGGTCAGTGCACCTGTACCATGTGTACACTCAAATTTGCTTCAACTAAGTACCCTCCCAAGCCAAACCCAGCGAAATACAGTGATAGGGCTAAAATGGAATCACTCCAGGGATCCACCAGGACAATAAACTGGCTCTAATTTGAGTGCAAATCTCATCAGACACAAGGCAAGATGCATGCTATAAAAGTGTCCCATCTGCCCTTATCATCTAATAATATCTAGTGAGACGGAGCAAGTGAGGGAGACTTCTGCTATTGGGGAAGGCTTCTCATCAATAAGCATTTAATGGAGGCCAGAGAGTGATAATTGCAGCTGAAGGATTTAACAAGTTGAGAATGTGGTGTACAGGCTTGTTGGAATTTATCATTAAACTGGAGACAAGGCAAACAGGTTCTACCTTTGGCTCCCGCCCCCTCCCCAGCTTACTGCCTCCCACTCCATAGTCATCTAGACAGCATTTCATCCCACTCCTCAAGCACAACATGCTGCTTCTGCAAAAGCAGTCATGACCACCTGAAACGCCATCCTGATGATCTGCCTTCAAGGTTTTCTCCCTGGAATATTTACCTCCCCCCTACTGCCCTCACCACCATGCTAACTCTGTACTTGTTACATATTTTATCACCTTTTTGTTTCTTCACCAGAGAACTGTCATTTTTTTAATGCATGTTGCTCTTCTCCAAGTGGAAGATAATATCTTAGAGGTTTTTTATTTTTTATTTGTTTTTTTAAGAGACAGGGTCCCACTTTGTTGTCCAGTTTGGAGTGCAGTGGCATAATCATAGCTCACTGCAGCCTCAGACTCCTGGGCTCAAGTGATTAGAGAGTGGTTTTTAAATTCATCTTGGTCCTTTCAACTCCTAGCACTGTGCCTGGCACCAATAGGTACTCAGGAAATGTGTGTGGAAAGAACAACAGAGTCAGTGTCTATCCCTGACCAAGTATTTTTGTCAGATGTCTACCTCCTCTCTTTGGTTCTGTCCCAGTCAATGGAATGAGCCTTCCAGAGATATAAAGTGAACTTTCTGGCTCCCTGAAGGCACACAAGATCCCTCCCCAAAGCCCCACTTCACCCGACTCAATCTGAAACTTAAAAAAGACATCCTTGCCTATTGGGCCCTCTTTACCACCATGATCCTGTCAACAGGGATATGCTGGCCTCCTGCACATTGACACCAAGGTCATCCCTCTGCCCTACAGAACTGGAGGTTGATGGCTGTCCATTTGCCAAGACAGTCCAGACAATTCCTTCCAGATTTTACTGCCTAGACATTGCTCACTGCACTGGTTTTCAGAGTCCGTCCAGTTTCTCTACAACAGCCTGGTCTCTGGCACTGCCCTGACTGCCATCTACTCAGTGGACAACTGCTTATTAAGCATCTACTAGTGGCCAGGCCCTCTACTGGACAGTAGGATGCAATAGGAGGCAATGCAGATGCAGCCCTCACCCTCAAAGAGCTTCCAGTCATCTATGGGAAGGACAATTCAATAGGCAATAACCCCCAGGGTAAGGGATCAGGGCTCAGGGCTTAACACCTCACTGCAAGAGGCTGAATAATTGGCTCCTGAAAATGACCGTGTCCTAATCCTTGGAACCTGTGAATATGTTATATTACATGGCAAAAGGGACTTTACAGATGTGATTACATAAAGAATCTTGAAATGAGGAGGGTAGCCTGGATTACTCAGTTTTATCATGAAGGCCCCCATAAAGAGGGCAGCAACGGGGCTAAACAGAGAAAGAAGATGTGTGAAAGAAGCAGTCGTCAGAGAAGAGAGAGGTGCTAGGAAGGGGCCATGAACCAAGCAATGCAAACGGCCCCTAGCTGCTGGAGAAGGCGAGGAAATGACTGTCCCCAGGACCTCTAGAAGGAACGCGGACCCCTTCATTTTAAACTTCTGACCTACAAAACTTGAAGGGAATACATTTGTGTTTTTGTTTGATTTTTTTTTTTTTTTTGAGATAGCGTTTTGCTCTTGTTGCCCAGGCTGGAGTGCAATGGCACGATCTCAACTCACCGCAGCCTCTGCCTCCCAGGTTCAAGTGATTCTCCTGCCTCTTCCTCCTGAGTAACTGGGATTACAGGCACGTCCCACTGTGCCCTGCTAATTTTGTATTTTTAGTAGAGACGGGGTTTCTCCATGTTGGTCAGGCTGGTCTCAAACTCCCAACCTCAGGTGATCTGCCTGCCTCAGCCTCCCAAAGTGCTGGGATTACAGGCGTGAGCCACTGTGCCCAGCCAAATTTGTGTTGTTTTAAGCCACACATTAGTTTCCTATGGCTGCAGTGATTTGTTACAGCAGCCATAGGAAGTTAAAACACCCATCTTTTTAGCGGCAGGCTGTCAGAAGGGACCTTCCAGCTAAAGCAAGAATGGAGAGGGAATTGAGATGCTGGGGAAGATAGTGAATACTGTGTCAGGCACAAGGCACAGCGCTGCGAAGGCCTAGACACAGCAGCTGAAGGTGGGAGGTGAGCTGAAAGATGTCAGTATGGCTCACGTGTAGGCAGGAGCTGATGTGTGAGTGGCTCAAGATGAAGCTGCAGAGAGTGGAAGGATCACGAGGGACCCTGGGTGCCTATGGAGTTTAGATTTTATCCTATGGGCAAGGAGGAAGCCTCTGAACGATTTTAAACAGGGATGTGACTTGCTCAGTCTGTGTTTCAGAAAGAGCACTCAAGTGCATCCGCAAGTTTCAGGGACAGTGGGTACATCAGAAAGTCTCAGGACGGCCCCAGCTGCCCTCAGGTCTTTCTGGCTGGAGAAGGTCAGACGGCCTCCATCTTCCTGGAATATGGCCTCTTCCGCCTGCTCACATCTCACTTGGCTCACCACGTAATGTGATGCTGGCCAATACTCCATGTGTATTAAGTTCTAACCTAGTGTGCACCCCTCAGCCCATTTGTCACAGGCCGTCGCGGAGGCACAGTAAGGAAGGCGACCCGGGAAGGTTAAGTGCCGTCACTGCAGATGTAACGTGCAAATGCTCATCGCTTGGGAGGCAGTCAATTTACCTTTCCCTGCGGTGAGCATTTGTAACGGGCCCAGGCCCGGGAAAGTGGCTGAAAACATCCCTGTTTATTATAGACATAAAGCAGATGGCTTCAGGCAGAATGGAAATGGATTCTACAAACATCTTTTATTACACAGACCTCTTGACCAGACTCCTCATCTTAAAGAAAACACAAGTCGTGGTTTGTATGTGGGGCTGACGACCACATTTTTCAGGACTCGGTGAAATCATTTCCATCTGTGTGAGCGTGTCGACTTCTCTAGGGCAATCAACCTTCATGCGATCTCCAGTACTTTTTCTTTTTAACCCGCTGTTGCTACGGGCACACAATGCTGCTAAAAACAAAAGCAAAGCATACCTTCCTTGTCGGTGTAAGGATCCTCTGCCAGCCACCCCTTGGAGGAAACAAACATGTCAATTAAGCATTCATCCTAATTATGAGACTCCCAGGAAAGCAGGCAGCCCACTCTTTAGTTTCGAGAAATTTCAAAAGATTTGAAGGAGCACAAGGCGTGGAATGAGATCTCTTGCAATGCCATACTCATAATTTGGGACTAGTTTCAATTGCCACAATAAAGTACGTCTGAGTAACTACTACTGGGTTTATTGAGTAATAGGCTAGGCACTGTGCTAAAAACTTCACACACATCAATGCTAATTCTTTCAACACACCTGGAAGGGAAGGGTTTGTGCTTGCTTTCTGGTAAAGAGTCCAATCAACCTCCCTAAGGCTCAGTGAGCCACATAGAAAGTGGAGATAATTATATCTACCTCTTAGAACTTTCATGAGGGTTATTGGAGGTGACCTGTCTAGCACAGTACCTGGCCCATAGAGGGTTCTCTAGAAATATTAGCTCCTTTGTCTTTCATTGTGTTTAAAACATAATTTGTCACTCCCTATACCAGCTTCCAGGAGGTTCTTTACCTTGTTTGAAAAAGACCTCCCATTTTTCTAGTTACCTAAGACCTGGCAGCCCTTGGACACACATTCGGCATCCTTCTACCTATTAGGCAGCTTGCTCAGGCCAGCTCAGCCTGGGAGATGTCACCACTGAAGGGTGCTGATGAGGAAGGTCAAGCCCAAGTACCAATGCTGTGTAGTCTTTTGTCTAGCTCCAAGAAAACAACCCTCCTCTAAGCATCTCTTGTCCCTGGAATTCAGAGTCAATATTGAAAAACACATGAACAGACAGTCTAATATCATTCTGGTAGAAGTAAAATTTTCTGATGAAAAATAAATATGCCTAAAATCATAGCTGATCTGTCAACATGGACAAAGAAGGCAGAAGAGGGGGTTAGAAGGTGAGGAGTATTTTGGGTCTGCTGTTAGGAATGCAAATAGCAGAAAATTAAAAACACAACCTACCAGCTACTGTGCTAGTGCCTCGGAGATAGAGGAGTAAATAAAATCTGTTCCTGTCCTCAAGAAGGTTATAATCTAGCAGGAAGAACAAGCATCAAGGACCTCTGGTAGGATAAAGTTTGCTGGCGACTCCTCAATATCCATTCTCCCATCCTCTTTAGTCACAGAATGCGTCTTCAGCTGGGCATATTGCTACCTTTCCCAATGTCTTTGGCAGTAGGCTGAGGCCACATGCCTAAGGTCTGGCCAGTGATCTTTGAATAGAAGTGTTAGGTCAGGCACTGTCCTTAAAAGGGAAAGGCATACCTTTCTCCTCTCCTCTACTCTTGCTACCTGGAATGTGATAGCTGGAGCATGGCAGCTGTATTAGACCCTGAGGACAAGGACCTACTCCAGGTTTGACAAAGAATAGGTCAAGAGAAAACCAGGACTTGATGACCCTGAAGCTGTCATGCCAACCCCGGGCTGCCTACCTCCAGGTTTCTTTTACCTGGGGTAGAAACGATCTTCAAAGCCACCATTATTTTCCATTTTTCTATTATACACAGCTAAACCTAATTCTAACTGCTATGCCAATATTTAATGAATGTTTATTGGGTTAGTATATAAAAATGGAAAAGTATGTAAACTTTTAGAAGTTTCTATTGTCCCAGTTAAGTCTATTTTATATGCAGAAACTCAAATGGACATTGTTTGAAAGGGAAAAAAATACACCTAAGGAAAAAAAAAAACTACCATAACTAAATTTGTTATATGAATTTTTCATGGGAGGAAAAACCCTTACTCAGGACTCTGGATGGCTGAAATGTGCAGCAGCGAATCTTTTCTGTAGATCACAAAAACCAGACGCTGTCCTATGTACTTCTCCCCAAAACAGATTCATTATGGCTCGTTGTTGCACTCTGCTTCTAGTGGGCATTTGCCATATGGCTTGGCAGTTTAATGATTTTCTGATACTTGACAAAAATGAAGCACAATTATTTTGCAAGGAGCTTGCGTTCCTAGATGGGTCTTTTCCAAATAACAGCTGTGCCTCGAAATTGAGTTACTCAATTTGCAATTTGTGGACACAATACTCAAACATTTACAAGTGAGCAAAACCTCAAATCACTTGGGCTATTTCCAGGCATCAGAGTTTATGAAGTTTTTAGCAATGTTATGAGTGTGCAGCTGTCAACAAACTCAAGCCAGCATCTCTGAACCTCCAGACCCTGCAGGCAGCAATGATGTCCTACTTATCAATAGGCCATGTGGAATTGACTACAAACCTGTGGGACAGAAAGAACATGAGGGCAAGAAGCCTCACTCCCAAAGTCCACAGACTAAATCTCTATTACTTTCTTTCCATGTCCTACTACATTTGTGTAGGTGATGTCCAAATCTACAGCTCTAGACTTGACCCTGCTTATGGGCCCCTAAAGGTACACAGACGTCTGCCTGACACTGGCTTGATGACAAGACAGACATGGAATCAAAGCCAACAAGTACTTTCTAACCGAGTTACCTTGATTAAGTGTATGAGTCAGGAGAGGCCAGGTAAGCTGCACTAACAAACAACCTTAATCTTAGTGGCTTAAAACAATAAAGGTTTATTTCATGTTAATAATTCATACCCATTCCACACCAGTTGAGGGCTCTGCTCTGTGTTATCTTTGTCCCTCAATCCATGACTCAAGATGATAGACCAGCCACTACATGGAATGCAGTTAGTAGCAATAGTAGAGAAAAAGAAGGCTCTGGAAAGTCCCTCACCAGCAACTTTACGCTTGGCCCCAAATTGCCACATGTCACCTCTATAGATCCCACACAACTATAGTGAGCTAGAAAGTACAACTGGTCTCTATGTGCTGAAGGTGGAAAGCCAGAAATATCTGGCAAATAGCCTTGTGCTTACTATATGATTTAATTGGTCAGTCTCAGCCTTAGTGAACCATATGGAAAATGGAGATTTTGGCCTCACTCTACCTCTCCTACTTGTCTCCCACCCACCTTCTCTATTCCTTACAAGTACTCCATATCATCGCCAAGCTGGGATCATCTACCATTCTCTAATGTGTCTTCTGCATGTTCCTGCTTCTTGGGCCTCTGTTTATGCCATTTCCTAGTGCTAGAATGTTCTCTTCCATGCCAACTCTCCTGTAGAGCTTCCTGCAAGGCCCACCTGGAAGTCAGAGCTCCCTCCTCTAACCTTGAAAAGGTGACATAGTATAGTTGTCTATATATAAATATTTTTAGTCTATATTTTGTAGCCTCCATTCTTTCCTTGCATAGCACACTGTAAATCCCTGAGGGCAGGGATCCCACTGGGTCTAATGCAGAGTGGAAGGTGACTAAAAGAGATATTTACCTTATTAATTGGGAGACAAGGCAAGAGTGAAAAGCAGATCAGAGTGGGAGCCAGGGAGCAGCAGTCCGCTTCATGGCAGGATCTAGGCTGAAGCAGGTAGCTGTGGAAGAAATATTCCCCAAGTCAAAACAGCAGAGCCCCAGGTTTGTCCACCCTCCCATCCCCATTACTGCCTTCAAAATGTGGTACTTCTCCTTTGCCCAGTTTGCTTTACCTCTTCAGAATTTCTGCATCCTAATCTGGGGTGTCAGTTCCCTTCCAAACTTAAATTTTGTTTTAACCCCATAAGTTGTATCTGCTGCCTTGGCTGAGCCCCATCCAAGGACCCTGATTCCTGATTCCCACCTTAGTGGTAATATTTGATTCCTCTATTCTCTCCCTGCCTCTGCCCATACCCAACCTGGGGTCCATCCCAAGGCCCCCACTCCAGTCTAACAGTGGGCAATATGCCACATTTAGTGTTGGGAAAGCATCCTATGCCATCTGCTACCCTGGGGGCTTCCCTGTGTATCAGGAAAATGCAGGAGCAATTGTTCGTAATGACATCAGGGGACAGCATCATGGCCCTTCTAGTGCCCAAATCACAAAACTGGCAGCCATGTGGCTCATCTCCGTCCCTTGACTTGAGAGTCTGTCAGTCCCACCTCTGTAATATCTTTATTGCTCATCCCTCTCTCAAACTCCATAGTCCCTGCCTTAGATTGGGACTCATTATTTCTCAATTGGATCTGAATGCACTCCTAGCCTGTCTTTTTTCCAGTCTCACCTCTGATCCATCCTCTGCGTAGCTGCCCAAGGGATCTGTCAACACACACATCAACATGCTGATTCCCTGCTTAATCCCTTCCCCACCAGTTTCACTCTGGATAATGTTGAAATTCTTCAGGTGTCATCCAGAGCCCCTAATCTGGTCATGACCTTTTCTCCCAAGCCTTGCTACTTACCCTCCAACCCCCTCCCTATGGCTGCTCTGTCAAACTGCCTTTCATCCTGTCCTGAGTGCTCACTCACTCTCACCTATTTATGCCAGGCTAATAGCTACATCATTTAGACTTTTACCTCCTCTACAAAGCTGTCAATGCCTATTCCTTCCAAGCTAAGTTGGGTCTTCTCCTCTGCCTTCCACATCCCCTTAGAACTTTCTCTCTTACATCTCATCCCATTCTACCTTACTCTCTATTCATCACCTATCCATCTGACTGGAGAGTGAGCTTCTTGAGGGCAAAGAATGTGTTTTATTTTTGTATCCTACACTCCAAGCATAGGGTCTTGCTCAGAGTAGGTGTAAAACGTGTGTGGAATAATCAAATTGAATGTATGGATGAGGTCAAAACAAAGACAACGTTGGGAGGCAGTTCTCCATGGGTTGCTTATGTTTCTGCATGTCTTTCAAGTAAGGCATTGGCTGCTGATTGTTCTGGACTTTCTTTCACAGATATTTGAATAGCTAACAGCAGCCTTGGAAGACTGATATTGTCTCCTGCTGGGACAAAGGCAGGCAGAGTTACTGTCCAGTATAATGAAGATGATGTCCTTCTTTGGAGCAAAAGACAGGCATGTTTATTGTCCCTGATAAAATATCTGGGTTCCTGAAGCCCAGGGATCTTCTCCCATAACACAATCCACTGCAAGTATGGGTATCATGTGGCCATCTTCACATCCTCCTGTGGGAATTGTAGCTCAGAAAATGGCACAAGAAAATGCTGACATCTGGCTACTGCTGTTGCCATGAGTAATAAAGTCTTTTGTCTCCGAGGGAGAAGTCTCATGTCTTCTGCCAGCATCCATGAAACTGTGGCAGGTTAACTTGTTAGCTTGCAAGTAGGGTAAAATTTCAGACCCTTTATGGTTCTTTACAGACAGCAGAGTCAATTCTGGAGTTCCCCTAGTGAACCAGGAAATACCACAGAGGGACAGACAATTGAGAAGAGAAAGATGCTGAGGAGATACTAGAGGTCATGAGGCCCTGACCACACTCCTTCCATATATAATACAATTTATTTCCATCAGAAAGAAACTCAGATAAAAGTGACTGTCTACATGGCCACAGTCCAGCTGTCTTCACATGGAAACAGAATCAGAAGAACCCCTTCCCAGTGAGGTGGGACAGTGCATGGTGGGACTCTGTAGTCCCATGCACCAGCAGGACAGGTTTTCTGAAACTGTGCATGCATAAGGGTCCTAGGAACATGCTAGTAGAAATGGTACCATGACCATCAGTATGGGTGGTGGATTCCAGTCAACAGAAGGAGGTCACACAGAAGGGGCTAGTGTCCCAGTGTCTGCCCTGTGCCTGAGTGGGCAAAAGCAGCCTGATTGGGGGAAAACTCAGGAGATCAGCCAGGCTGCTTTCTGGTTTTAAGAAATGAAGATTCTGGTAAAGGAGAAAGAAAAATTGCTGAGGAATATAGGGTGACAGTTGTCTCCCCTATGCTACTCAGCCTTGTCCTTAAGTTCTCACATCCTCTTAGGACCAGCCCTAAAATGTAATCTAAAAATCCTAATAAAAAAGGCCACTTTGTTTTAGCTTGTTTGTTCATTCATTCACTCAAAAAGAAAACAAGCTGCCATTACTACCAACTTCCTCAAGGTAATAGGATGACAATAGGATCCTGAAATATCTGGGAAGGGTGGAAACTTGGCCAGGCTCTCCATGAAGGCTGAACAGGCCAGTGGATGCTCTATGAATCACAGTTGGGAGGTGCAGGCAAGAGACATGATGCCCAAGAAGAGCTGTTCACCTGATACTTTCACTGGGTACAACATAACCAAGTCCAGAGCCATTCTCTCCAATTTCGTGTAATATAACTTCCTCCTAGAAATTATAAGCCAAGCAGCCCAGCTTCTCTTCTTTACTGAGCTATGAGCAGACTGCCATGGTGATAAGCAGATAACTGCAAATCTAGGCAGGGATCTATGAAGTCAGAGCAGGCCTGAGTCAGATTTGAGGCTGTGATTAATTAAAAATTTTAACTGAGTTCATCCAACATATATTTAATGGTATGCATAATCGCTATTGTGTTGGCTAGAAATTAGGCCAGAACGGTAGGCAGTTCATAAGTAACAACTGTAGTCTCTATGATTCTTAAGCTGACAAACTGTCTTGTTTCTTCCTGCACTTATTGCTTCAGAATCCACAACTACAACTGGCAGAACATGTCCTGTCCATGTTCCCACCAAAGCCTATGCATAGGTTAACAAGTGTCAAGAAGCTTGACACATTTGCCAGCAAGTTATACACAAACCTCCAGCTAACCCCATACCAGGCTCCCTCCCACAAAATGAGGACTTGTTGATTTTCCTTACTGTGTGTGAATTTAAAAATCAGCAAAAGCTTAATTTGCTTCTGTGATTTCCAAAGAACTAACGTATTGATCTGCTATGCTACGTCTTAGCTGATGGCTCTTTTTCTAGGCCATTGTGATACATGTTGATCTACGAGTGTGCATGCCACAAGCACAGCATTTTCTATAGTTGGAACAGAGAGGCTGTCCAGAGGATAGGAAAGCAAGGGCCTGGCCCCAGGGGACCAGTCATATCCCTGGGCCTCAAGGTCAACAGGCAGAGCTAGAATATAGTTAGGCCAGAGGAACTAAAGAACACTCCATTCTCAGAGGTTGGGATAAAGCCCAAGGAGGACATATGAAGGTAACAACCCCAAAATTAAGGCAGTGAAGCTTCAGCCCACAGACATCCAACTCATGAGAATTCACCTGTATGTGCTGGACTCAATAAATAAAATAATAATTTACATATAAAATAAAATGTAGGCTGACATGAAATGATTTACGCTGTCTTCCATGAGCAGATGTTCCAGAGCAAGTGTGATATAGCCCAGGAGAATCTGCTGGTCCTTCTTGCAGCACAGCAATTCCCTTTTCTTCTGGCTAACAAACACCAATTTTATTTTGCTTCAGGGGATAAGAGGCATGAGAACCATAGCACCACACCTACCATGGAAGTCTCAAGCTCTTTGCTAGTGATTGGTTAGGCATGGGCATGTGATCTAGTTCTGGCCAATGAGATGCAAAAGAAAGTACCTGGAGATCAGGAAATATTCTCCCAGATGATGAAAGAGCACTGATGAGAAAGCCCCTTTTCTGTCTCTTCTTTCCCTCCCTCCCCTGGACACTGTGGTGTAGGGATATGATGCTTGGGGCTGCTACAGCCCTCCTAGGACTACAAAGGGAAGGCCTAGAGAACTATATTAACCTTGTGCAGTATTACTTTTCTCCAGACTTATTATTATATAAACTGCTAAAATATCTTTATTGCTAAAGCGCCTGCTGATCAGGTGTTCAGTGGCGTGTGGCCCAAAGCATCCAAAGAGATATACCTCAAGAGGCCTCAGTTCTTGCCTTTCTCTAATGGTGTGTACACTTTCATGGGCCAAATGTGATCCTAGTGTGCAAAGATAAGTATCTTCTGCATAATGTGGTCTCTAAAATCAAGGAAGCAACTTCATGTGGGTTGCAGTTGAAGAGAGACTGCACCTGTGCCTGAGGAGGCCTTGGTGTATGGGGCCTAGGAAAGGATGATATGTTGAGCCCCACTGTGGCGCTGCCCTGGGAACTTTTCAGAAACACTTTTGAATGAACATTATTTTTGGTTGGCACTGTGACCTGAGAACTTAACCTCAGGGTAAGCTGCCTCCAGAACCTCTTAACAGACCCCTCTGGACTGCATCCAGTGTCCCATGGGCACCATGGGGACATTGATGAGGGCAGCCCTGCATCTGGTAGAATGGTCTCCACATTCTTGATGGCTCCACAGTGGGGCTTCCTTCATTGTGGTGTCCTGACTCCCCCTCTTCAGAGGGTGAGGAAGCCCTGCTTTTCCTGCATTAGTGCTGGCTGCTTCCCTCCTGTAATTTATGGTCTGACACAGCCTGGTGACTTAAAAAACCTGAATGTACCCTGCACTCTGACACCTCCATGCCTTTGATCCTGCTGGGCCCTCTGCCTAGAATGTCCTTTCCATCCATTTCTGTCTATTAAATTTTGCCCCCCAACACTCAGCCTATATAAGGCTGTCCATAAAAGGTCTTCTTTACTCAACAACAAAAACAAACAACCCAATTAAAAAGTGGGCAAAGGACTTGAGTAGACATTTCTTTAAAGAAAACATATGAATGGCCAAGAAGCACATGAAAAGATTCTCAACATCCCTAATAACTAGGGAAATAAATTCAAAACCACAATGAGAAACCACGTCCTGTTAGAATGACTGTTAACTGAAAAATAGAAAATACCAAGTGTTGCAAGAATGTGGAGAAATGGGAACCCCCGTGCATTGTTGGTGGGAATGTAAAATGCTGCAGCTGCTATAGAAAACAGTATGGAGGTTCCTTAAAAGATTAAAATAGAATTGCCATATGATCCAGGAATTCCACTTCTAAGTATATACTCAAAAGAATTAAAAACAGTGATACAAACAGATATTTGTACACCCATATTCACAGCAGCATTATTCACAGTAGCCAGAAGGTGGAAGGAAACCAAGTGTCCATTAACGGAAGAATGGATCAACAAAATGAATGGAAAAACAAAATATACGTTGCATGTATATAATAAAATATTATTTAGCCTTACAAGGAAGGCAATTCTGACATATGCTACCATATAGATGAATCTTAAGGACATCATGCTAAGTAAAAATAAGCCAGTCACAAAAGAACAACTATTGAATAATTCCACTTACATGAGGTACCTACAACAGTTAAATTAATAAGATAAAGTAGAATGGCGGTGCCGGGGGTGGGAGGAGAGGGGGAAGGAACACTTATTGTTTAATAGGTATAGACTTTTAGTTTTGCGAGGTAAGTTCTGAAGATTGCTTGCACAACAACATCAATGCATTTATTACACACTTAAAAATGGTGAAGATGGTAAATTTTATATTATGTGTATTTTATCACAATTAAACATTTAAAATTAAAGGTCTCCTTGTTAAGCCTTCTCTGATGCCAGGCTTCAATGCCATTGCATTGCTTGTCAACCTCTGCCTTGATTCCTTGTTTTCTGTTCTATCAGGATTGTCTTGAGATTTACCCAGTTGCCTATACCAAGAGAATCACACATAAATAGTACCAGAGATCTGATAGAACTATATTCCTAACATCAATCCCATCTCATCCCATCTAGGGCATTTCAATTATGTAAGCCAACAAATACCCTTTTTATCATTAAGTCAATTTTAGTTGGTGTGACAGCTGCAACCAACATCAACCTAATTGATAACACATTTGGCCTGAAATAAAAGAACACTAACAATAAGGAAAAGACCTCTGAGATTTCTAGGGAATAGGAAAAAATTCACAAAAGAATGCAAATAAGACTGGCATGCATCTGACCTCTTATTTGCAACACTGCATGCAAAAATACAATGAACAATACCAGCATACTGAGAGAAAACAACTTTAAATCTAGACCATCATTTAAGTACAGGAATAGAATAAATACACTTTAAAATATGAAAGGACCCAAAGTTTACCACTCAGTCACTCTAAGAAGTTCTTTGAGGATGTGTTCCAGCAAAACAAGGAAGAAAAACAACCTAAGTAGAGGTAATTTAACCCTGGAGAAAGGTGAACCTAGAATGATAGTTGTATAGGCTGAGGAGTAAGAGCTGAGGGCAGAGTGTGAAAATGTGGAGCTCTAAGAAAAAAGGACCATAAATAACATGGTCCAAAAATAATGTAAATTAAAATGGGACATAATTTTAACTCCTTGATGGAATATGAGAAAAAAGTTAATTTGACTCCCATATTAGGAATTTCTCTTTGAGTGATCCAGGGACACTTGACCCAGGAGTGAACACATACGTGGTCATAATAATGTAAATCCTATTTAATGGTGTTCAACTTTTAGAGTCAATCTAGTGAAAAGACACAGAAGGCTTGTAATCACAGAATAGAAAGGTAATGTTATCAACATTGGCAATGTAAGAATACAGCTCGCGGCCGGGAGTGGTGGCTCACACCTGTAATCCCAGTACTTTGGGAGGCCGAGGTGGATGGATCATGAGGTCAGGAGTTCGAGACTAGCCTGAACAAAATGGTGAGACCTCATCTCTACTAAAAATACTAAAATTAGCTGGGTGTGGTGGCACACGCCTGTAATCCCAGCTACTCAGGAGGCTGAGGCAGGAGAATCGCTTGAACCTGGGAGGCAGAGTTTGCAGTGAGCTGAGATCATGCCACTGCACTCCAGCCTGGGTGACAGAGTGAGACTCCATCTCAAAAAAGAAAAAAAGAAAAATACAGCTACCAGAAGCAGTAGTTGGAGAATGATGGGAAGGACAGCAAAAGCACCAATAGTTTCCTCTCACCTCGTGGAGAGTCTAGATACTGATTAAAGTTGATGAATGAGAGGCACAGATTTGTTGTGAATAACAAATGTGGGGGAAAATAATGCCTTAGACAAAACAGGGCCTAAACTTGTCTCTCATAAAATGAAGATGAGGAAGATAGGCAGTTTAGGGTTAGGGCAGCAGCTCTGATGTCACCAATTTGCCAGGATCCCTCTAGATTTTTTTCTCTGTTATTCTTAGAACATGACTTCCAGCTACCCTCAAGATTATCTCATGGTCGCATGACCGCTGTTGCAGCTCCAGCCATCATACCTGTGCTCCAGGTAAGAAGAAGAAAGAGAGGAGAAGGGTAAAGGGAACCTACCTGCTGAGTCAGTCCCCTTTATAAGGAGTTTTCCTACCCAACAATTTCTGCTTACATCTCACTGGCCAGAACACTGTAACAAGGCAAACTATCACAAGGAAAACTGAGGAGTATAGTTTTTTTTGATGGCACATTGTTGCTCTCAACAAAATTGGGTTTGTTTTAATAAGGAAGAAGGGAGAAACAGATATTGGATAGGCAAACTGGCCATTTGTGACTCAAGCGATAAAAATGTATTATTCAAGTAAAAATGTATCCAATTAAAGAATAAACATTGTAATAGAATCATCAAAAGTGAGAGGAAAGAGGAAGGGTAGGGTGCAGAGAATATAAATGAGTTAAATCTTTATTTTTTCATAATGGGACTCAGTGGCATACAATTTAAAGTTGCTTTTAACTTCCAAAATAAAGACTCAAAAGGCTAAAGCAACTTGCCTTTGGGATGTAGGTGGGGTGGGGGCAGTAGGGACAGAGCTGCAACTTTTCATTGAATGCTCTTCTATACTACTTGAGTTTTAAAAAACCATGTGCAGATTTGGTTGTGATTTAAAAGTATCAGTGTTTAGTGTTATGTTGAGAAGCCAAGCACCACTATGTTTCCTTTACAATCTGGTTCTGTGGTGGACATTTTGGTATGTTTTTAAACCACCATCACTGGCTTAGAAAGTGACAAAACTTAGCCATGGTCTGGGATTTATTTTACTTCTTTCAATTGATTTGTTATCTTTTAAACTTTAGCCATTCACATTCAATAGTTTTTTATAAGACAGTCTGTGGCAGATGCATTCCCCCTGTTTCAGGTGGGGCAGTCCACGTAGGCCCCATCCTCTGTCTGAAATGAGGCAACCAACATCTCCCCACAATCATTCCCCTGAGCCACTCCCATTTGCCCACAGACCTCTCTGCAGGGAAGTATGTTCTCTACCTGCCTGGTCTGCACTCTCAAATCACTGTCCTAATGTCTCTATAATATATTAACAGGCAATGGCCAAAGGGAGTTCTGCTGAAATAGGCAGCAGTTTGGGCCATTTTGGACTAAATCCTAGAATGCACATGATAATGCTGAGCGATGCAGTTTAATTTATGAGCATGCAGGCCTGCTATGAAATTGGGAAATGGAGGTATTAGACATTAGCATTCACATGGCAAGGGGAGGGCCAAGTCCAAAACCGTAATAGGCTTTTTGCAGGGAGGACTGAAGAGTTTGAAGCAGGAGACATAATGTCAGTTAAATGTACGCTCACGAACCTTATCCTTGTATTTGAATGCTGCTAAATGCCTAAGCAGTGTGCACTTCTCCTGGCCTTATGCCCTTAATATTGCCTAGCACAATTCTTTATTTTGAACAGGAGTGGAACACCTGTATGCACATCTGGGAAGATTTAAAAAATGTATGGCATGGGTTTGGTTTGATCTGCAGGAAAGAAGGTATAATAGATAGCTTCTCAATTTCCTTCTAGCTAGGGCATATAAACTTTCATACAGCTAAATATTTCCAAATTGAAAAATGAAGATGGGCACGTTTGTAATTTCACTCATTACAGTTGTGCATGCAATTCATGCCACACAGTCTCCAATTTAAGAAGCTTGTAAGCCAGAGATTTTCTGTCTGACCTTGACTCTGGCACTTCACCTTTCTAGCTAAGTTTTCAATGTACAGAGCAAAATAACATCTATTTCTGCCTCCCTTATGAATAAAAATACATTCTCCCAAATGGTTCAAAGGAAATATCAAATGTGCCCCAGCAGTAAAATATATTGGAAAGGAGGTCAACAACTCCATCAAACTAGGTTGAATAATGTCCCCCAAAGATGTCAGGTCCTAATCCCTAGAACCTGTAAATGTTACTTTACTTGGAAAAAGGGTCATTGCAGATGTGATTAAGAATCTTGAGAAGAGGGAGTGCTAAATGCAATCACATGTATCCTTATAAAAGGGAGGTAAGGGGAGTTTTGACACACAGAGAGGCCATTTGAAGATGGAAGAGGGAAATTTGAAGATGCTGGCCTTGAAGTTTGGAGGGGTGCAGTGACAAGACAAGGAATGCTGGCAGCCACCAGAACCTGGACTCAGCAAGGAACAAATTTCTCCCTTGAGCCTCTGAACTGAATGCAGCCCTGCTGATGCCTTGGTTTTGGCTCAGGGATACTGATTTCGAACTTTTGGCCTCCAAAATTGTGAGAAAATAAATTTCCTTTGTTTTAAACTACCAAGTTTATGGTAATTTGTTACAGCAGCCACAGAAAACTAATACACTCACAGACACGTTGGAAGGAAGAGTTTCAGTTTGTACAAAAGCTATCCCCCAGATTCTATGGTTCTTTGATGATATTTGGCTGAATTCAACTTCCTGCCTGCAGCAAGTGGAATAGGAGAGGGTTGAATGCAAGTGTAGTGATATGGTTTGGCTGTGGTCCCCACCCACATCTTATCTTGAATTGTAATCACCACATGTTGAGGGAGGGATCTGGTGGGAGGTGAGTGGATCCTGGGGGGGTTTTCCCTACGTTGTCCTTGTGATAGTGGGAGAGTTCTCACAAGATCTGATCATTTAAAAGTGGCTGTTTCCTCTGTGTTCTCTCTCACCTGCTGCCATGTAAGACGTGCCTTGCTTCCCCTTTGCCTTCTGCCATGATTGTAAGTTTCCTGAGGCCTCCTCAGCCATGTGGAGCTGTGAGTCAATTAAACCCCTTTTCTTTATAAATTACCCAGTCTCAGGTATTCTTTATAGCAGTGTGAAAATGGACTGATATATGTAGGTTAAGAAAAGCAGGCAGCCAACTCCCAGTTCTGGGCAGCGTCCCCTCCTGAAGCAGGAGGCTGAAGGCATGAGAAAAAAATGCTTAGTTCTTAAAGCAAACATGTGAACAGATTAAGTATGAAGGGGCAGGTAATTAGAGGGGAACCAAGGATTTAAGAAACTTTCTATAAATTAACCTCATAGTTTCGATAGGGATGTGTAGGCATGTACATGTGTTGGAGAAACATATCTTCAAACAAATAGTTTAATTATTAATAAACATGGCCAGATACCTGCAAACATATGTCATCAGACTGTCCTCTGAAGGTTTATCTGCAATAGTGAAAAATTAGAGACCCCACTGTCTACCAACAAGGGAATGGTTACATTCCATGTAATACTATGCAGCTATTAAAAAGAGTGACGTACTTCTACATATACCGATGTGGGAGATTATTGAGTAAATACTGGTAAAAAAATGTAAGTTGCAGACAATATTATAGTATTTTCTCACATGGTTTAAACAAAGCAATCTGTGTTATAATATACAGAAACTATATATATGTACACCTAGATATGTTTATGAATTTGTTGGATGGGTACACATCAAATAAGAAGTCATTACTTTCAAAGGAAGGAGTAGGGTTGTTGAGGGGGTGGTAAGAAGAGTGGACAGACTTGGGCTTTATTAGTATTACTTTATACTAATGCACTTTTTCCCTAAGCATGTATTCTTTTTTGTAATTTTAGGAATCAAAAAAGATGAAAATGCAATAAAGATACACTATGAGAACCTTGTTTTGAATGATGTCTGGCAAACAGTGGCGACCCTCAGTAATTGTGTGCTCAGTGAAGGGCTATGCAGGAGATGGTCTTTAAAGATTGCCTGTGGTTTCTGGAAGTTTCCTGTAACCCAGCTAATGTTGCAGGATGGCAAGCAAAGAAAACAAACAAACAAACAAACAAACAAAAAAACTGGCTTTTACACCAAACTCCCTGGTGGTCTTCCATGTTTTTATTTAAAAAAAGAAAAAAAAGACACACAGTAAGTAGCCAAAGTCTGAGGCAAGTGCGTCTTTTGTCTCTTCTACAAGAGTGGGGCAAAGTCACCATTCATTGACTCAGTTTCACACAAAAGCCAAGGGAATCTGTCTTTTGAACACTTTCCTTCTGAAAAATTCTATATGATGATGCTTCCAAAGGTTGTTTTACCTCCTGGAAGGGCAGCTTCTCCCCAGTGAGCAGTCAGTTCCTGCACGGTTAGCTATTGTACGCAGCCCTCCTAGTGTTTGTGAGTTGCACACCAGGGAGGGGGGCACTATACCTTTGAAAAGGACACCCCTAGCCTCACTCCTCTGAGTGCACCCCAAAACACACCCAAACCACGCTTCATCACATACAAAAGGAGAACTCTTTGATCAAAAGGGTCCCACCTTACTTGCCAATTTGAAACACTGTTTTGGATTAATGCAGTCAGGCTGACAAACTGCACACCCCAAAGGCATTAATACAGCTAGGAGAAACATGCATTGACTTCACAACATTCAATTTAGGGGCCATGAAGAGATGAATGGGAGTGTGTCTCAAGACCCCAAAGCAAAGATGTGATTTCTGGACAACAAGAAACCAGGAGCCCACTTGCCTTTTGGATAAACAAAAGCAAGGGCATGGGGTAACTTCCATCTCAAACACAGACTGCATAGGGGCAGTGCTTTACAGGTGACAGGTCTCTACAAATACTTCTTAAGCGATGGCTCTTACTGCAATTACTGCTTTTTGCTGAATGAAAGGAACCAATCCCTCTCTCTTCTCCATATAATATGAAATGTTTATTTTTTCAAGACATATTTCTCCAAGATTGGCCACAAATCATAAAAAGTGTTGACATTTTATGACTCCTTATTACAAATTTCAGGAAAGATTTTCATCTTCTGCATTTTAAAGATACTGTTACAAAAATACATAGATTGGGAGTTGGATTTTTCCTTAGGCAGAGGGAATGCTCTATCTGGAAGGCTTATGCTTAACCAAAATATTTAACTTTGTTGGTTTTGTGCTCCCATTTGCAGAATGTTAACATGTGGTCTAAACCCCCTGTGTTATAATTGAAGAAACTCACTTGTAGTTGAGTACTGGAGAGGTGATGTTGCTTATCCAAGGTTATACAGTAAGTTAATAACAGAGCTAGAGTCAGAGCTCTGGACTCAGGGCTGAGATTTCTATCACACTGTGACAGTGCTTTATAAACCAAGCTCTTTGGCTGTGGAGACTTTTAGGTTTTACCTGAGGAATGCATCCTGACATATAACCCTCATCCCTCGGCCTAATGAGATTGACACTCTGGGACAAATGTGGAAGATGCAGGAGATCCCTTCTGTGAAAGCGATAAATTCAGAGAAATCTAAAGCTGAAAAGGACCTGGAGCAATTCTCTACTCCATTTCCCTTCCTCGAGGCAGAAGTTGCTGACATCATGCCAAGGGAGAAGTATTTATCTTTCTAAAACTCTTCAGGGAAGATTCATAACTTCTCTTACAAAAAGGAATATCTGATTTTCTCTGAACAGTAGGATCCAAGAAGTAATCAAAGAAAACCACCACATCATTTATAAAATAAAAAATATAAAATCTTCCTTACTTTGATACCTCAGAAGTGATTATTTAAAATAACTTTCTAATTTAACCCAATATGAACATTTCTATTGTAAAAGGAAAATGTGTTGGAAAATAAGAAGAGCATGGAGTTGGCATGACATGTTAACCATAATTTTTGTAAGAATTGGTAAGAAGTAAGAGACCCACTCAGGCCTGTTTGTGTGAAGAACTTTGGTAGAAAGTATAATATATAAATACCCGCACAGCATAAAAACTCATGGATTAGAGACTAAATAATGGCTTCCATTATATGATTTTCATTTTAAGTTTCCCAAGTCTCCATTTTTTTTTGCAAAGTAGTTTCTGTATTAGGCCTTAGCTCAAGAAGGTACATTTCTAACTAATCTGAATGGAAAAATAACAGACTAAAAACTCCACCAATGATTCCATATATATTCATGCCAAATGATTCAAAAGCTAGAGGTTATTCTGAGAGGGGAAGGCTGCCTAACATCTGTGATACTAAGAGAAGAGAAGCTATGCTTTATCTGCAGACAATACTGCTGACCCACTGCCAATGACTTTGAACTGCCTCTCCATCAGACATGATGAGATTCCAGAATCCTGAAAACCAAAGGGTGTATCTCAAAGGTAGCTGCTGGAATTAAGGTGGCCCACATCTGTGGTACAGCTCAGGCTGTGTGCAGAGCTGGCAGGTCTGAGGGCAGAGCGAATCCCTAGACTCCTGGTCTCAGGGTCCCAGGCTCCGGGCAAGGGTGCAAAATGGCCTCCTTAATTACTTCCCCTACCCTATCCCACCCCCTTAATGGCCTATTAAAGCTTCTCCCAGCCATAACTCAGTGCTCCTGCTCCAACCATTTCCTGCCTTCTCTGCTATTCCAAAGTCAGTGTTCCTCTGAATGCTCCATGCTCCCTGCCCTGGAGGAGGGAAACTGACAGCCTGGGGACCTAAGTCCTCCCTTCCTCACTGAGCAGCATATCTGGAGCCCACTCCTTGATCTGTGTCCAGCCCTCACTGTTCCACCCAGCTTCAGGCCTGCCAGAGAAAATTCTAGGCCCTTGTCTAGAGGCCCCCAAAGCCTAGGCTGGAGGTGATGCTGGGAGGAAGCCATGCCTGGGGAAGACCATCGTGCCCTGAGTCCTACCCTCAGCCAGCCAGTGCCCAGGCCTGGCATGGCATTCCAGAAGATTCACAGCTTCACTGCCCTGCAGCAGCCCGGGGCTGTAATGTCCCCTTACATTTTGTGGGTACCCAGATGATCAACATCACTGTGTGTAAGGGGACTCAGAAGTGAGGTTAAATGGCTCCGGGTGAACAATCCAAGGAAAGATAAAGAATAAGCATTTGCACTGACTAATATTTCCAACCATTTAAGGGGCACACATATTTCAATTAGATGCTATTACTCCACCTTTGCAGATGAGGAAACTGGGACTTAGAGAACTGAACTTGTTTGCCCAAGATTGCACAGCAAGGAGGAGTGAGCTGAGATGAGATTCGACCCCACCCTGCCAGGTGTTCCAGGTGTCTCTGCTGAGCTGTGTAGCATGGCCCCTCAGGACCTGGGTATGAGCAAGAGCAGCCTATGGGGGGCAACAGCACTTCTCAGTGGGCCCAAGAGAGGCCCTTGTGAGGACTTTACTACATTGACTCCCTGGTTCCCAACAGCAATGTTTTTAAGTGAAATTGCAAAATTTTCAAAACCAAATTACATCCACTTTAATTTTGAAAGCAAAAGCAAACAGATGTCCTGCAGCCTCTTCCCCTGGGAGAGGGTATTGAGATCCAATAAACCACGCATCTTCTCTTCCTCGAGAGAAGCTGGGAATCACCACAGAACCAAATGCAGCTCTGCCTCTGTGAGAGCAAACAGTTTTGGCTGTACTTCTAGAAGTCCAGAAGCAAAAGTGACCAGAGAAAAGCAGGTATGCGCCTCACCAGTGAGAGGCACATTCACCTAAGAGAGGATTAAAAAGATTCAAAGTACAAAATGGGTTTCATGATAAGTATTTTACTCTCATTTTATTGAAATAATGGAGTTAAAATGTTAAAGGAAAGGATAGATTGGCAGCGGGGGCAGGGGTGTTGGTGGTGCCATAAGTTGCAGTTTATGGAGTCATTGCTTCATAAATGTCACTGTATTGGTGTTATTCTATCATTTTCTGTGCCTACTCCATTTTATAAAATTACTTATGTTTGGATTAAATGGCTCCTAAGAGGTCATCCTGTAAATAACATGGGACTAAGGTGTGTGTGTGTTTCTTAATTCAAATGCAAAATATCTTACACCTCTCAATGTGCCATGGAATAATGCAAAAGGTGATATTGTTAAAACCCCCATAATTTAAAAAAAAACTGTTCTATTTAAAAATAATGGAAATCAGGAGTTATAAAATGCTTATGTGAGTTGAAGCCATTATTTTCTGAGCAATCAAACAGATCATTTATCAGCAAAACCTACTCTTTCCTTTTATACTCATAGCTCATTAGTTTATATAATATTTAATAAAGTTATTTGACTATATTAGCAAATACAGCCAGCACTGACACTTTTGGAAACAAACAGCTGACTGCTAAGTGTAGTAGCCACGTGTTGGGGTCAGGAGGATGCCCGAGAGGGCTCAGTTTGTTGCCTTCAAGGTCTCTGTGCCTAGCTCTGTCCCAGCTGGGGCATAAGCCAGGTTTACGAAATTCTGGCTGAATGGATAAATGAGCTTCCCCACAGCCCCACCCTATTCCAGCCCCAGAAACTCCTCAAGCAAACCGTAGCTGCCTAGACTTTCTTCCCCTACTTCCATTCACTCACTGCTTGAGTCACAGTCAGCAACACGTTGTAACTCGAACCTGGGGCGTGGCAGCATTTCAGAGCAAGGTAGAAGGGACCAGAGACATTTTCTAGTTTAGCCTCATCATTCCGTAGATCAGCAGGTTGGAGACAAGCTATGAGATCTGGTCAAGGGCAAATAGTGCCCTCTGACCAGCGCTTCTGCTCCCCCCTCTTGTCCCTCAGTGTCCAGGAGCTAGTAGAGTACAGAGCACACACAGTCTTACACTGGGACAGCTCCCAAAACCATCATGCTCACTATGTCTTATGAATGGGATCCTTCAGGCAGGATTCGCACTTAGCTCCCCTTTACTTCCCTGTGGATAGGAGCATGAGAGGTACCTGATTAGCTGAAAAGCTAAGCATTTGGCAATTAATCTGCAGATAAAAATAAAGTCAACTTCAAACCAGGGGTCTGATTTAAATGTAAACAGTGTGTCCCTACTGATCCATGAGCCTGGAACTGACTCAGAATAAGGATGGTGATGAAAAACTAAGCCACTGGCAGACATGCCCATTCACTAGCAGGCCTGTGGGCCCACCAGGGAGAGAGAGAGCCAGACGCTGGGTTACAAAGCAAGGGCAAAAGTAAGAAAACTTGCTTTCTGAGCTCACAACTGATTCATTAATGAAACTGACCTCCTTCAGATGCCGAAAGCATTTGTGTGCCCTTCAGTACTTATAACAATATCACAAAAATAAGATGCAAAGCAGCAAACACATTGCTGTCCTGATTATGGTACAGAGGCAAAACTATTATGTTTCTAGGGCCAATTTTGCCTTTGATGTGAAAAATGGGCAGGACTAACTCATGATCCAACCTAAGCCTATCACAAAAATGAACACAGACACAGAGGACCCAAGCAGCCCAACTGGCTGTGGAATGCATTATAGGATTTATGTTATCAATGACTCTATGTCATAACTGTGCTTTTCAAAGACAAACTTTAAAATGGTTCCAAAGTCCTTGACTGCCATTAATAATCCCTTCATTCAGCAAACATCAAACAGCAGCTATGAGTCAGGCAGTATGCCAGAACAAGGGAGACAAAGACACACCACAGTCATGCTTAGATGCTCACCTGCCTGTGCTGGTGGGAGGTAGAAAGGCTAAGGACGGTCACAGCCCAGGGTGGTAAGAGCTGGCACAAATGGAAACACAGGGAGCCTAGGTGGGCAGAGGAGAGCCCTAGGCTCGGTCAGGTTAAGAGGGGGATGCTAAGAAGAAGTAACAGATGTTTTGAGTTTTGAAGGATGACTACGAGTTAGGCAGGTAAATGAGTTGGGAAGAGAAAACAGCATTTGCAAAGGCCTTGGAATGTGAGAGGCCATGGAGCATGCTGAGGCAGTAGCAGGGTCAACAGAGTGGCTAAGGTGCATGGGAGGCCTGCGCCAGCCTGCCAAGGGCCTTATGCTCTATGTTGACAAGGTCAAACTTGATCCTGACGGTGGTGGCTGGTAAGCCTCTGCGTGGTTTTATGCAAGAGAGTGATCAGTCTATAAGTGATTACCTGAGGGTCCCCTGAACAAGCTGAGCAGCTCTCAGGGATGCTTTCCTTTATTCACTGCTCCTGAGACAACAGCAACGTAAAAGCCTCATTAGCAGGCAGGTCTCCAACTAACAAGTAAGTCTGCCTTCCCTTCCATAATGCCCTCTCTTTGAGGCCACAGCTACTTTCAATTGCATTCTAATTTCAAGAAGTGATAAACATATGCTTATGTTTCCATTTACAAGGTTTTGATTATCAGCCTGGCATTGTAGCTGCAAATTACCCATTTTCTATTATAATTATTTTTACTTCTCTAGATGAAGAAGAAGCATTTCTAAATTACTAAAGTGCCCGAGCCACAGAAGGAGGGAAGTAGTAAGCACTGCTGCATCTTTTGCCAATGGCAATATAATAGCAAGAGTTTGAAAACTAAAATGTAAGCTTATGGGATGTGTTAGACCAGTCCTTCCAGATGGGCACATTTGCTCATTGTGATTATTTACCTAAAACCTGGCTGGATTGCAGCAAACCAGAGGTGAGCTGAGCTGGTAGCAGAATTGCTGCTTTTGAGGGTTTTCCAAGAGTAGCTCCTTGAAAACTGGGCTGCTTTATGTGACTGGCCATCCCCTCACACTCTTCGGCTCTAAATCTTGCTTTTTCTGCTTCTAGCAGGAATTTTAAAAGATTAGAATGTCACTAACTCAGATGCATCCAAGCAACTACAATGTTTGGTAATATGACTGGAATCCAGCCATGCTAACTTGCATCACAATCTCTCCTAAACAAGACTGTCTGGCTGCCTTTCTGCCCTGGTTAGGGATGGCTGGGGATGGAGTTGAGGACAAACCCTGGTAATTAATGAATAGGACGCAATGAATTCAGGTCACTGGCTGAAGTGGAAAGGATTCTATCATGCAGAGTTGCAGACCTATTGGCAGCTTAATGTCCCATTTAATTGGCATGTAGCATTAATTGACAGAGTAGCATGTAAATGAGATCACAACCATGGTTTTGAAGGTCCTATTGGTGGCTTCATTTCTAAAGTGCAGCTTGAATGAGCTTAACAGTTTTGTTATTGTGATGACCATCCAAATTCTTAACATCTTCCATGTGTGACTGCTCAGTCCTGGGGAAAGAGGCATGGAGAATATACTCTGCTCTCACGGAACTCATTTTAACGGGGCAGTCAAATATGGAAAAACAAGCAGCTACTTAAATACTCAAAATGCCAGCACTTTGGGAGGCTGAGGCAGGCAGATTGCTTGAGGTTAGGAGTTTGAGACCAGCCTGGGCAACACAGTAAGACCCCCATATCTACAAAACTGTTTTTTAAAAATAGCTGGATGTAGTGGTGCATGCTTGTAGTCCCAGCTAGTTGGGAGGCTGAAATGGGAGGATCTCTTGAGCCCACGAGGTTGAGGTTGCAGTGAGCCATGGTTGTGCCACTGCACTCCAGTCTGGGTGACAGAGTGAGACCCTGTCTCTAAAAACAAACAAAGACCAAAATGCTATTTGTGGTAGAAAACAGGAATTCCAAATCTTATTATTTTCACATTTTGAACCTTCATGGATGACAATAATAAATCAAGCATAACAAATCACTAGTAACTAAAAGTTAATATACTATTTACTAGGTGATTTTTAGGCCTACTAACTCATATTTTGGCAGTACCTATACTGTACCTGTAACTACACTTTTATCTTTAATATTTGCAGATACTGCAGACATTTGCAGAGAAGTGCTATCATCTTCTTTCTGATGGGGACACAGAAACTCCGGGCTCCATCCCAAGTTGTGGTACTAGGAAATACAGGCAAGTTCAAGCTCCTGTAGTGAAGGGCCGGCCAGGCCATTTCACTTCCCACTGCCTTTAGAGGGGCAGAAACTAACAGGAGCCCTGACTGAGCCCATTCGGTCCCTCCATCCAAGCCACAAGATCTTTGGTATTCAAGATGGGCTCATTCATTTTTGTAGGAAATAAATGTAATCAGCATATTAACTATCCTTTAGACATCAATTATAACTTCTTCCCTCAAGAGTAAATTGTTCTTCTTCCTGTGTATCTCAAGATCTTTGCCCAAGCAAAGGAAGGAAAAACAGGTTAGTGCGCAGGTGTCAGAAATTACTCTTTCTTCTCTAGCGAAGGCAATGGGGCCTCCACTCAAGGTTCAACAGAGGTGCATCTTAGGAGGTGTGTAGTGGGGTGTGTGCTGTGGCTGTTGCTGGTATGTGTTGCAGCGGTTGTCATACAGAAGCATATGCTGTGGTGGGGTGCTGTGGGGTCTTCTGTGGTGGGGAGTCTGCCATGGAGGGGTTTGATGCAGGATAGGCCTATAGGTGTCTCATGGGGAAGTGTGACATGAAGGTTGGGTGAGGGTCGGTGACAGGAGAGCCATGCTGCACAATGTGTTGTGGAAGTCATGTTGTGGGGGATGGATCATAGGGGTATGGTATGGAGGATATAGCATGGGAATGTGCCATGAGGGTACATTGTTGGGGGTTTTGCTGTGGGGGGTATCATGGTGGGTGTGGTGTGGTGGTGCTGTGGGAGTGTGTCATGGGGTGCAATGGGCATGCTGTGGAGATATGTCATGAGTGTGCTCTGGGGCTCCCTAAAGAGCTCCCTCCTACCAGGCCTGAGAATGCCATTCTTGCCCATTGGACCTGCCCAATCCCCAAAATGGTAAGTGCATGCCCCAGGAACCCCAACACACTCTACCCCCAGCCTTAACATTCTCTGGTCTCAGGGTAGCCAGTGGACATCAGGGGTGGCGTGTTTTGGGGTTCTGCTGGTTGAAGGAGCTCGGGAAGCACCCCTCTCTGTGGTAAGGCTCAGGTAGTATTTGCAGGCCACATCTAACCTAGCTTCTACAGCGCTCCTTTCCCAGAGCTCACTGCCCAGCTAACCCACCCTGGGACTCCCCAAGATACAGCACAAGTGAAAGGAAGGAAGTACCCTTGGCATTCTCCCCCTGCAGTGGGGCCCAGCACTGAAGAGTCTAGGCTCAGAGTCCTGTCTCCCAGTGCAGCAGCTTCTCTTAAGGACCCTGCCCTCGCGATCCCAGCTCATTGCTCCAAGCCTTCTGCCCATTTGACTTCTGTGAGGAGCCATCCCCTATCAAGACCCTCTGGGGTGGCAAAAACTCAAAAGTGCAGACATGCAGATGAAGTACTTGTTTGTTTTGAATGTATGCAATTTCTTCCCAAACTTTATTGTGAAAGATTTTCAAACATGCAGCAAAGTCAAAAGAATTTTAAAGTGAACATCTGGATATTCACCACCTAGATTCTACCATTAATTTTTTACTGTTTGTTTTATCATATACCTACTCCTCTATCCATTTGGCAATCTCGCTTACTGTTTTTGATGCCTTTCAAAAGAAGTCGCAGACAGCAGCATACTTATTTCTATACACTTCAGCATGCATGTTATTAACCAGAATTCAGTATTTGTTTAGCATTTTTTTTCGTTTCTTTGAACTTACAATGAAATGCACAAATCTTGAGGGCATCATGTAATAAATTTTAACAAATCATGCACCGTGTAACTCCAACCCCTCTCAACATATAGAACATCTCCCTTACCCTGAACGTCCCCTTGTGTCCCTTCCCTCTCAATCCCCCTGCACCCCTCCCTCAAGCAGCCACTATTCTAAGTTTTTCCACCACAGACACATTTTACCTCTTTTAGAACTTTAAATATAAATAGAATCACACTGTCTGGTCTTCTGTGTCCGTTTTACTCAGCACAATGTTTCTGAGGTTCACTCACATTGTTCTGTGTGTCAGCAGCTTGTTCCTTTTCATTGCTGAATGGTGTTCCATTATTTGGCTATACCACAGTTTATCTGTTCTCCTATTGATGAAGCACCTTTTTTGTGAATAAGGATTATCACTGAATCGAGGCTATTCTGTAACACAGTTGCACTCACTAGCATTAGGACCTGTTTGTCTTGCTGGGGAGATCAGAGGTGCTCAAAGTTAGCATAGCCCTCTGGCCCACGAGAGTGTATGAAGAACATAAATAGTGCATTTTATCACCTTTGTGATAGAAGATCAAAAAGCACAGTTCTAGAGTAGAGACTCCCCAAGTGTGATGGAATGCAAGATGACTTCAGGTGAGAACTTAAAAATGCCAAATGATAATATATTTGTTTTTACAACTATGCCCCATTTATGGCCTGTGAAACTAGTTTTCCTACATGCAAGGGATACATGGTTTGCTTTCTAAATATATCTGTTTACATAACAGAAAAACTGATTTAAAGAAAAATATTAAACAAACATATAGGGGGGAGTAAAGATAAGAAAAACCTCATGAGGCTTGCATGCAGGTGTTTGAGGTGTGGGAAACATTCTTGAGCAATGGTTGTCAATCCTGGATGCACATTAGAACCAGCTGGGGAGCTTTAAAAATCCTCCTGGCCTGGGCCCCACAACCCAAGCCTTTCATGTAATTGGTCAAAGTACATCCAGTCATCGATAGTCTTTAAAACTCCCCAGGTGATTCTAGCGTGCAACGCAGGATGAGAAACGTTTTAGAAAGTGGTAATTTTCAAAGACCAGCAGTATCAGCATCATCTGGGTGCTTCTAGAAATGCACGTTTTTAGATCCCACTCCAGATCTTTGCAATCAGAAATCAGGGCTGGGGCCCAGCAACTTGGGTCTTAACAAGCCCTCTTGGTGGTTCTATTTCTTGAAGTTTGAGACCCATTGCTTTAGAGGTGGATGGGACAATTCCAAAAGGCCACTGCTGCCTCCCAAGACTAAGGTCTCCACTACTGTGGTACCACTCCAGCCAGTGTCAACTAGGTCTGCCTGGTCCAGCTCCTGGGAAGCCCCTCTCCTCCTGAGTACAGACAGGGTGGGTCGGTGCCAAGCGGTGAGCAGCTGCTGGCCAGTGACCAAAGGGATGACATCCTATGGTCCACCGGGAATTAACCTAAATCTACAAACCAGTTAATCAGCCCTCAGAAAATTGAGTGTTCACTACAATTTTATTTTCACTATGATTTTTGATTATCAGTGACCTCCTTCCACTCCATTACTCTTGTTAATTGAGAATTGACTACACAGTTAAAATGAATGTTTCCTCCACTAACAGAGCTGTACCAGATTCATCTTAAAGTCCCTCACAGCTCAAGAAAATGTGATGAGTTTGCAGATACATTGATCTTATACAATTCATTTCACCAAGAATTCATGAAATTACTACTAAGGTCACCTGTTATGCGTTCATATGTTCAAAGGCTTATAGGAAAGAAATGGAGTTTTATCTGAAGGATAACATTGTATTTAGAGAGCTAAACCAGAACTTGGGCAAAACCTGGCCTCCTGATTAGCAGTGATGTCTCTATTAAAGATACTCAACACAGTTCTTCACATTTGGTAAAGTCCTTGGAAATATTGTTACCTTACAGTTAGAAGATAAGGTAACAACAAACACTCCAAGGGCTGCTCCTTTTCACCGGCTGGCTATTTTGATAAGGAAAAATACAAAGTAAGAGGAGGCTAAGGGGAGATAAAAAAAATCTGATTATCTGTTCCAATGCTAAGTTTGAAAAATGAACTTTCATGTAAAACCAAAAAGATTAGAATTTGCTAAAGAAAACGTGCCGGGAAATCTGAAGTGACATATGCGATGCCTATTAAGTAGTATGTACCATGAGATATTTCACAAAACACCATGGTCCTTTTTTTGTATCATAATACAGTAAAGGAATGACGCCACCATGGAGGAAAACCCACCCAGCTGTTTGTGGAAGGACAGTCGCATACCATAAGCAATCTTTCAATGATCAGGTATCATAAAAGACTCAGCCAACTGTTTCTTATTTACTTGATTGCAGATTGACTATAAAGAGCTCAACAAAAGCACCTGTGCAACGGGGCGAACTCAGAATCAAGTCTGGTGATAAGGCTTTCTTGGAGCCTGTTCCCAAGATTTGCCTTACCACGGGCAAGGCACCTAGTGTAGGGCTGCGTCTAGCTCAGCCTAAGACTAAGTACATCCTTGTACTCAGTGACTTTAAAAAAAATTTTGTTATGAAAAATCACAAACATATAGAAAAGTAGAGGGCTAGGTGTGGTGGCTCATACCTGTAATCCCAGCACTTTGGGAGGCTGAAGTGCAAGGATCACTTGTAGCCAGGAGTTTGAGAGCAGTCTGCATAACACAGCAAGACCTATCTCTACAGGAAATTTTAAATAACGTAGCCAGGTGTGTTGGTGTATGCCTGTAGTTTTAGCTACTTGGAAGTCCAGGTGGGAGGATTGGTTGATCCCAGGAGTTCAAGGTGATAGTGAGCTATGACTGTGCCACTGCACTCAGCTGGGCAATAGAGTGAGGCCCTGTCTCTAAAAACAAAAAGAAAAATTGGAAACAATAACAGTATAATAAACTGCCACATAGAGGTCGCCCCCCCAAATTATTGACATACTTCTATATTTACTTCACCTTTTCCCCTCTTAAGTATATGAAGGCACATTATAAACACCATGTTATTTTACCTTTCAATGCTTCAAAAATAAAGTCCACTTTCTAAAATAAGGACACCGTCTTACTTTACCACAATATGATCACACCTGAAATTAACAGTTAACAAAAATTCCTTGATATCATCTAATCCAACATCAGTGTATTTTTTTTTTAGAAAAATAAAACACAGACACAGTCATGGTGACTCAGAATGGTAGGTGTGAATGTCCCCGCAAAATCCTCAAGAAGCAAGTGTGTCCCATCTGAGGGCTCCATCATTCCCACAAGTGCACCAGGATGGGAGGGAGCACTTCCTCTAGCGGGGGACTCCTCTTGGAGATATGGGGGCTCTCATTCCCACAGGTTCACAATATCCAGACACAACTCTCCCAGGCCTCCTTCCAGTAGCCAGTGAATGCCGGTTGTCTCTCTTCTCCTACCTGGTAACCAGCTTTGTCTAAGAGGCTGGATCTGGAGTCAGATGAACCTAATTTGTAATCCTGGTTCTGTCACTGATGGGCTGTTTGACCCATCAGTCAAACAGCTTGACCTCTTGGAGCTTCTATCTGCTCATCTGTAATATGGGGGAGAAAGACCTGCCTCAGAGGGCTGTTATGAAGATTAAATGAGACAGTGTCACAGAGTGCCTGGCCCATAGTAAGCTCATAAAAGTGCAGCTGCTAACACTGGGAGTAGCAGTAATAATCTTTAAGGCCATGAGGGTAGGCAGTAGCATTAGGGTGATGGCCAGGCAGAAGCTCAGGGGTCAAAGAGAGGCCCACATCCTACCAAGTCCTCAAGGTGGGCTCCTAGCTCCTGCTTCCTCTGATGTACAGTGGTGCTGCTGGAGATGGAAGTACTGAAGAATTGGAGGAGGAAGGCCTCGCTGACTCTAGGAGCAGAGAGGTTCTCCAAGGGTGCCTTTGGCCACCCATTGGGCCATCTGGTGTCTTCTATTGGCCTCTTAGTAGTCCTGTGCCTTGCCACAGAGGCACAGACTTTGGTTCTTCAGACACCTGCCCATCAGCTACTCTCCCTTTGCTCTCTTTTAATGACCCCCCAATCAATATTACTCTTTATGAAGCATCTACTGTGTTCCAGGATCTTTTCTGGGTAATTTTCAGACACGATTTCCCTGACTGTAAATGCCAGGCTTTTGAGGGAGGTACGACTATTCCCCTTTACAGGTGTATTCGTTTCCTATTGCTGTTGCAACTACTCCAAGCTTAGTGGTTTAAAACAACACACATTTATTATCTTATAGTTCTGGAAGTCAGAAGTCCAAAAGGGACTACAGTTAAGGTGTCAGCAGGGCTGTGTTCCTTTCTGGAGGCTCTGGGGGAGAATCTATTCTTGTCTTTCCCAGCTTCTAGAGGCTGCCACATTCTGTGGCTCCTGCCTCCCTTCCAGCTTCCAAGCCAGCAATGGGCAGTCCAGTTTTTCTCATGCTACATCTCTCTGACTCTCCTGCCTCCATCTTTCACTGATAAGCATATTTGTGATTAGATTGGGTCCACCTGGATGGTCCAGGATATTCTCCTTATTTTAGGGTCAGATAATCGGCAACTTTAATTTCATCTGCAATCTTAATGCCCCCATGCCACAGAACCAAACACATTCACAGGTTCTGGGAATTAGGATGTAGACATTTGGAAGGCCATTATTCTGCCTGTCTCAAGGTGCTCAGAGAAGCAATGGTGCTTACTCAAAGTCAAACAGCTATTAAGTAGTACTAGACTCCAAAGTTAGATTCTGGGATCTCAAACCTAGCTCTGCTCCTGCTACTTCACTGTGTGAATTTGGGCCACTTAACTCCTCTGGCCTCAGCTTCCTCACCTGTAAAATAAAAAGGCAGTCTAAACACTCTCTAAGAGTCCCTCCAGCAGCTAGTTCATGACCCTCTGAGCATCTGGGCCTCCCTCTAACTATACACATGACCCGAAGTCAGGACCTACTGAGCCCTCAACTGATCTGTCCACACTGACCCCAGCTCAAGTACTGCCCGTGAAAGGGGGAGATGTAGACTTATGGTCACAGCACAGACTTCCTTCTCTCCCTGGCTGGAATTTTCTGAGGCTTTTGTTCTGGGAAGCTTGGAAACATGGATTTAAGGGCACCTGACTGTCTTCACCCCAATGCCCTCCAAGCACACCACACAAATCTGAAGTCAACTACTGTGTTTTTTCCCCTGAATTCCCAGCTTAGAGGGAAGTAAGGATTAAGGTCTCTTTGTGCAATGAAAAGAAAAACAGAAGTTGAGAAAATCAGACAGTAAACATATAGAAATGTGAAGACTTGTTTGTTGAGAGTTCCCAAACCAAGACATTAAACATTTTTTAATGCACTTTTTTAAAGCACTTTATATTACAGAAAATATCAAACATATATGAAAGTAGAGAGATTAACATAGGAACCCTTTCTTAATTTAGGTCTAGCATCCCCAAGTTAGATACTCTTCACAGTCTGAAATTCAAATTTTGAATCACCATCCATGGTAGGCAGCTCCATTGTGTGGTCCTGCAACACCTTCGCTTTCAAAACTGCTAGACTACGATTCCTCATGATTCTGAAAAGTCTGTCAATCAAGATGGCTAGAAAACTTCAACTTTCTGTGAAAAATGAGTGGTCCAGGAGCTATGATTCCTGAAGAACAAATCAGTTCCTCTTTCAATAGGGATACTGGAAAAAAAGAGTATGTTTTGAGATAAGGGGCTATAAACTCCATGTAAGCCTGGAACTCCTATCTTCCCTACCTTAAAGAATGAAGCCAACTCAGTGGTAATAAGAGCTGAAAGACGGAGAAGGTGAGATTCCTAGCACCATCATCTATTTGGTAACCTGGACCCAGCTGTGTTGATTCCCCAAAACATTTCTATTATGTTAGCCATACTCCTAATTTTGCTTAATTTAGCTTCAGTGAAGTTTCTCTTCCTTACAATAGAAAGAATCTTGAATATAAGCTCCCCCAGAAAGCCTTCTTTAAAGCAGTGAGCACAACTATCAATCTTTCTTGTGAAAATTAGAATTTTTCCTCCTTAATTTAACAAAAACAATTTATATTCCTTAAAGAATACATTTCCTAGCAAAAACAATAAGAGTCTGAGATTTAAGAATACTTCCTTGACAACCTAGCAAAAACAATAAGAGTCTGAGATTTAAGAATACTTCCTTGACAAAGGAGAATTCTATTTTGCTGGATTTTTATCAGGACAGCAATTTTTCAATGATATCTTAGTACTATTATGTGATGACCACTACCCACACCCTCCTCCACAATAAACTCCTGCTGGTGCTATTTTTGAACAGGACAAGCTGTCAGGGAGTAGTTCTGGGCTGACCTGGGAGACTCTACAGAAACTAGGCTTCAGGCTGGAGTCTTCTGGGATACACCCTGTACACGAAGCCAGGCCAAACAGGGTAGAACCAGATTCCAGTTTCAGTGACAGATTGAGGAAGAAACCACACAGGCCTTAAGTGGTACCTGCCACTAAGAAATGCAGTTACAGATGCAATAAGAGGAGGCGAAACACAGGCCCCTGAGACACCTGTACTCATTTGCCTCCCTCCCTCCTTCTTCCCTCCTTGGCACAGACGTCTTCGGCAAAGTGTGGACACAGAGGGCCCTGTGCTAGGCAGTATGGAAATAAGTTACAGTAGCCACAGTCCATAATCTCTAGGAGCCATGGTCTGATGAAAGGAGACATGGTAAGTGCCATGATGGAATGAGGTATAAGGCACTGTGGGAAGAGGATGACCATGCTGGCTTGAGCTCTTGAGGAAGGCTTCCTAATTATCTCCCATGAAAGATGGCATATGTTATTCACTGCAGTGTTGTCTGTAACGGTAAAAAATTGGAAACTGCTCAGTGCCTACCCATAGAAAACTAATTTAGTGATCTCAAGTAAAGCCCACAATAGAATACTATTCATTTGTAACAGGAGAGAGAGAGAGAGAGAGAGAGAGAGAGAGAGACCTTTTTGTATTGATAAGTCATCTCCAGAATTATTTTAAGTGAAAAAAAAAGCAAAATGTAGAACAGAGAGTATGAAATATTGTTTTGTATAAAAAGAGTGAAATATCAAAATATCTATAAACTCTGAAAGCATATAAAAAATATAGCAGTGATTGTCTATGGGGAGGCAAAGGTAGAAGCTATGAGATGAGAGGGAATATTTTCATTGAATATATTCATATTTATTTTTCTTAACTTTTGAATCATGTAAATATGTTACCTATCAAAAAATTTAATAAATAAAACAGAAAGCTTCTGTGTCATTCCAGGTGGTTCTCAGAGGAGTAGTCAGACATGTTGGAGACCTGTGGCAGGATGTATTTTCCAACCCACGCACAACAGCATGCGCTGTCCACATGCTCTTCTTACAATGGGACAGTGACATGCCTCCCACAGAGAGGTGGGTCTATTTTGTCCCCCTGAAGATAGGCAGGCCAGAAAATATGGCAAAAGTGATACTATGAGACTTTTGAGGGTAGACCATAAGAGGTGACTCAGCTCCCACCTGGTCCTCCAGGGATACCTGTTCTTAGGACCCAGCTGCCATGCTGTGCAGAAATCTAGGCCACCTGATGTGCCATTCCAGCATCCCAGTGGAGGCCCCAGCTGCCAGCCGCCATCAATTGTCAGCCACTGAGTGAGAAAGCCTTTTAAAAATTATTTTGTTTTGTGTTAATACATAATAATTGTACATATTGATAGGGTAACTTGTGATATTTTGCTACATGCATACAATGTGTAATGATGAAGAAATCCATAACCTCAAATATTTACCATCTTTATGTTGGGAACATTCCAAATCTCCTCTTCCTGCAATTTAAAAATCTACAATAAATTACTGTTAACTATTGTCACCCTACTGTGCTATCAGACACTAGAACTTACTCCTAACTGTATGTTTGTACCTATTAACCAACCTCCCTTTACTGTACCAGCCTCACCCCTCCCCAACCCTTGCTACCCTCTGGTTATGATCATTCTACTCAACCTTCATGAGATCAACTCTTTTAGCTCCCACATGAGTGAGAACATGCAATAATTTTCTTTCTGTGCCTGGCTTATTTCACTTAACATAATGTCCTCCAGTTCCATCCATGTTGCTGCAAATGACAGAATTTCATTCTTTTTTATGGCCAAATAATGTATCATTATGTATATAATACCACATTTTCTTTATTGATTGATAGAATGGTTGGCATGCTGATGGACATTTAGGTTGATTCCAAGTCTTGGCTATTATGAATAGTACCACAATAAACATGTGAGTGCAGATATCTCCTCAATATGCTGATTTCCTTTCTTTTGGGTACATACCCAGCAGTGGGATTGCTGGATCATTTGGTTGATCTACTTTTAGTTTTCTGAGGAACTTCCATACTGCTCTTCATAATGGTTGTACTAAGTTATTTAATACATTCCCATCAATGATGTAGTAGTGTTCCTCTTTTTCTTCATCCTTGCCAGCATTTGTTGTTTTTTGTCTTTTTGATAATAGTCATTTTAAATAGGGTGAGATAACCTCTCATTGTGGTTTTGATTTGCATTTCCCTGATGTTAGTGATGTTGGGGATTTTTCATGTGTCTGTTGGCCATTTGCATGTCTTGTTTTGTGAAATGTCCTTCGGATCATTTGCACATTTAAAAAAATCAAAATATTTGGGCTTTTTTTTGCTATTGAGTTGAGTTCTTCATATAGGCTTGTTATTAATTCCTTGTCAGATGGACAGTTTGCAAATATTTGCTCCCATTCTCTAGGTTTCTCTTTACTGAGGAAGCCTTTGGAGTGGGTCCAGCCTCAGCCCCCTTCTAACTGCCTCTGAATGAGACCCAGAGTGAGAACTGCCTGGTTGAGCCCAGTCAACCCCCAGAATTGTGAGAGACAATAAAATTATAGTTTTGTTTCAAGTTTCTAAATTTTAAGCCCCAGTTCTTGGTTTGTGCTCTTGTCTTACACTTGATTTTCCAAGACAGAAGCTTTCTGACAAGCCCATAATGGTGTATGTATGACTTCAAGGAGGTAGCAGAAACAATCTGAGAGGGGCAAGTATTTAGTCAGCCTTGTGCAAAAGGAAATAGTCTAGAACAAACAAAACATGCTGACTCTAGAGGCCTATAGGAGCCACATGAGAAAGCATTCAACAGGCTGCTGGACACAGATGTCTGGGTTATAGGGAAAGGATGTGATAGAGATAAGGATATGGGAGGTATCCATATAAAGGTGATGGTTACAAACCAGGTGTGTGAATGAAATTATCCAGGTGTAACGTACAGGCAAGAGGAACCCAAGGGAAGAATCTTGGGGATGCCCCACTAAAAATGCCAGCAGAGGAAAGGGAGCAGGTAGAGAAGTCAAAGAAGAAACAATGAGGGAAGAGAGAAGAAAGTCCAAGAAAGAACAGTTCAAAAGGTGGGGCATGGTCTGAGGTGTCACATGTTGCACTGAAAATATGGACAGAGAAAGCCTGTAAGATTTGGTAATGTGAAGGTCGCTGGTGACCTATAGCAGAGCAGTCTTCCTGAGGGGAGGAAAAGAAAATCAAAATCTCAATGCATTTCCATTAATACAAATGACTTCAAACAAACTTTATAAGAGAGAAAATAGCAAATAATTTGGGGCTTCCTGTTTTATCTTCTTAGCAACATTAGAGGAAATGAAGAAAGAAAATCAAAATGCACATGATAGAAGGACAAAAGGAAGGGAGACAGTCAGTCATTGACAAATAGAATACCTACCATCTGCATAACAGAGAGGTGGCTCAAAAGGCACTAGGTGAGCAAACCAGCTGCCTCTTGAATTCATCTTTAAAAAATGTTTTTTGGAAGGGAGACTATGAAAACTTCCTTTGTTGACCATTCACAGAAATGGCAGGGACAAGTACAAAGGTATGTAAGAGCATGGAGAGTCCATAGACTTCATCTAGGGAACTAATTCTGATTAACTGCAGCAGCTGGCTGCGTAGAGAACTTTGCTGAGGAGAAATCAGGCTTGGGTATCAGTCAATGATGTCTGCCATCTGCATAGGGTATGGAAAAATACATAAACACCAGGTATTTGTCATCTCAGTCTTTATGGAATGCATCTTGGACCATAACTTAAAGGGAAATGACTTTATTGATCTAAAACACTAAGATCTTGAATTCTTTCTACACAAATCTAAAATGCCCAGAACTGAAAGCATATGAATTTTAACACTAAACCCTATTGAACTTGCTACGTGATTTACAATTTTAAATCATTTCTTGGAGTATGGCCTTTATTTGTAGTGACAAATATTCCAATAGACTTAATAAAGACATAGAGAGTGTTTCTAGAATCTGCATTATGCCCCAAATTTCTGCTGCTATTCCTCTTCTATGCATGGCGGAGAAAAGCATATAAAATGGACGGGGGCACTGGGCGCAGTGGCTCATGCCTGTAATCTCAGCACTTCGGGAGGCCAAGGCAGGCAGATCACTTGAGCCTTGGAGTTCAAAACCAGCCTGAACAATATGGTGAAACCCCATCTCTACAAGGTACAAAAAAAAATTAGCCAGGTGTGGTGGTGCATGCCTGTAGTCCCAGCTACTCCTGAGGCTGAGATGGGAGGACTGCTTGAACCTGGGAGGCGGAGGTTGAAGTGAGTGCCAAGATCATGCCACTGCATTCCAGCCTGGGCAACAGAGTGAGACCCTGTCTCAGAAAAAAAAAAAAAAAAAAAAAAAAGATTTGGGATCCACAAAACTATAGAGTGAATTAAGTTGAAATGTCAGCACAACCATAGAGTATGCCTCGTTTGTGAATAGATACTTTGATGAAGAGCTACTAAATCTTTAATTGGAGATGAAGTGTTTCTATATAAAGGCAATGACTACAAAATATTTATCATAGCACCTAAAGCCATAACTACAGAAATTTTCTGCCATCCTCTTGTATTAGTGAGTACAGCAAGTAAATCCAATATTAATATTAAAACATGGCACTGGAGATATAATTATGGATTAATACAAATAAAGTTAAATATTTTCTCCTAATGAAGTTTTCTTTTAATATCATCTTAATCTACCAGAAAAATAACAGGAATCATCAAGCTACAAGAGAGGAAAAAACATTGCCATAATAAAGATAAACCTTACACACTCAAGCCTTCCTTTAAAGTGTTGGGTCTTAAACTGTACAGTTGCAGAAAACTAGCATTCTGCCACTAAAATCAAATTTTGGTAGTCTATTCCAATTTACTAGGAAGAAATATGGTAATGTTTTTCTTATTTAAAGTTTTCCATCCATGATTTTTTTCTCAAACTTTTGGGGTTGGTTATACTTAATGCAGTCTTCAATGTAGTGTAACTGGGTCTGATTTAGCAGGGAATTGTGGACTTGGTTATCTTCAGTTTAGTACGCTGATAATGTTCATGGTGTTAAAGGGAAGAACAGTACAGCAGACACTGTCAGTGCCATGCCCTGAGCCCCAGGCCTCATCGTCTTAGAGCAAGCCAGCTTGACTTCCACTGACAGCATCTCTATCTCTTTGTCTCAGCAATGACTGACAGAAATGGTATGTGTATACCCAGCCCCCAGCCCCATGACGGGATAACTCTGAGATGGTTCTGCGCTGGCTCTGGAGATCCCCATCAGGATTAAAGCCCAGATGCCCCTGCTGGACATCTGCTTGATGGTACACTTCCCCGGCTAATTTCCCTACCTTTTGCTAGTGCTTCCTGGGGTCCACTTTCAAATAAACTACTCAGACTCAAGTCCTTGTCTTGTGACATGATTTCCTAATGTTTAGCCAATTGAATGAGTTTAATGCACTAGGCTTTGGCCAGCATTAGGTAGCAAAGAATACACGGATATAACGCCATCACAGTGAGAGTTGGCAGTACACACATAATATCCAGTTCCTGAGGTACTAGAATACAATGCCTGCAAGACAAGATGCCAGAATGATACAGGGCTACCCTAGGCAATTAGTAACTGTGTGTGTTGGGTTGTGGGGAGAGTTTGCTGAAATGTCACCAATAAGGGCTCTGAAGGCTGCAATTCCAAATTCCTCCTTCCTCCCACAGTACTGGGGACCAGGAGAGGCAATGGCCTTCTTTAACTTAAAAACCCTGAGAATTCAAGTCTACAGGGACAGGGTGAACACATCTGCAGGCCATTCAGCCAGGAACCCAGAGTGTATCTCTGGACTGGAAACATGGAAACAGGGAGCCAAACCTGGCTTTAACATTCTTTTTGATTGGATGATTTAATTCAGGATGAGGCCACAAAGGTAGTGGCCTAAAATTACAAACTGAAGAAAGATCATTGTTTAATTTGGCTGATTTTAAGATTTTAAAATAGTTATAGGAATAATAAAATAATATAGAAAGCTTGATATATGAAAAAGGTTATCCATAATTCCCTTTTTCATATGTAACTCTTGTCCCCTTAGAGGGTTCCCTTGAAGACTGTTTTCCTAAATATGTCTGTAATGTAACCGCATTCTGTTCCCAGAGCATGTTAAGGTTTCCCATGTGGCTAATCTTCATATTTCTAAGTACTACATAATACTCCATCAGCCTGTCGTTCTGTAATTTGTTCTCCTCCTATACTGTATATTCAGATCACTTCCAAGTTTTCACCATGGCAAATAATGGTGCAGAGAGCATTTTTATACAGTGGCTCTTTCTAATTTTCAGATTATTTTCTTAAAGCAGAATTTCAGAAGAAGCCAAAAGGTAGCAGCATTTCAGTGACACCTGAAACAGGCAGCTCCTATACTTTTATCATCGACGGTCCTTTGATTACTTACAAAACACAACATGAGTAACAGACAGTGGTATCCTTTCTCTCTCTCTCTCACACACACACACACACAAACATTAAGACAAGAATGATCAACGGCACCATATAAGTTACATAGAAGAAGGCCAGATGGGGAAATTAAAAGCAAAGCAGTCTTTGTTACTAAGTATAAGGTTTGTGCAATAAACCTATTACTGATCTTTAAAATGAAGATTTGAAAGTGAGTAATAATTCCAAGTTAGACTCCTACACACTAATTCATGTAACAGGCATTCTGTTCTAATGATCACTGGCTCACAGAGAAACTTCCAGCCTTCTAAAGGTTTCTCTTGACCTGACCTGGTGTGATTCCCTCATTGACACTGACACTCATTCACTTCCACCTGCCACTTATTGAGCCCAAATTCGGGTTGGTTTGCATCACATGTTTTCATCATTCTTTTCCTTTATGGTTGTAAACCTTTCAGCGAGCAGCCTGGCTGATATCAGGGCTGCTGATGGCAGTGGTTAGGATGCAATTAGGCTGAGCCATGCTTGTCAGCCTTGCTCCGTACTCTCCTCTTTCCAGAACACTGTGACAAGGGGGAAGGACCAGAATCAAGGCTCTAACCCCTACACACCTGCCTTTAATATGCTAACTCTGCTTCTGTAAGGCAGTTCCAACCTCATCCCCGGGCTCTGTCCTGCCTTGACACTTCATTTTTATAAGAGAAAGCAAAGAAAGGGGGGCGTACTGATGGAAGGGGGAAGGCAGGAAGAAGATTGGCTCTAATTTAAAACCATCTTAGGAGCTCTAAAAAGTTCCAGGTTGACTGATGGACACATTTACTCCTCAAAACCCTTTTCATAAATATCCACCACTTAACATGTACTTTCAAGAGGCATAAATACTGTCAGCGTGTCAGCCTTTATGAAAGGGAGATTTCCAGAACCACTTCTTTTCTCCATGGCTAAGAGCCACACAATTACAATCCTATTATAGCTGTACCTTGAGAATATAGCCCTTCCCCACCAGTCTGTGCAAGGCAGGCAAACTCACCCGACTAAGAGTAGCATGGGGGCCTTTTCAATCTCTGTGCAGTGATGCATCCTTCCTTTGCTGCAGAGAAGACGGCAGCTCATCTCTGGTGATAAGGTCTACATCTGAGACTGGTAGGGATTGGAGATGTATTTTGTCAACAGCTCTGGCCAAAGTAACTCTCTAATAATATTCAAGTATGGACAGAGAATGTTTCCTGAGGCTGTTTGGATCACATCTTATTTTGAACAGGTCTTTAGTGTGACTTTCTCCCTGTTCTCAGTGGAAATGAATGGGTTTCGAAGGCAGGCATGGTGCCCCTCTGGAGAACTGCTGGTTCCTCACGAAGGACTGTGCTGGCATGGCATGGCTCTGCATGGGTAGGATCACTGCCAGCTCACCCTGCCACAGCTGCACACAGATTGGTGGGCCCAGCTTTCCGGACAACAGCAGTCAGCAGTGCCCTTCTTTCCTCTCAGACAGCAGACCACTAGCCACAACATGATAAAATCTATGCTGGAGACTCAGCCTGGTGTGCCCAGGAGTATCAGAGAAGGAGGAAACAAATAGGCTCTCAGGTGGACTCTGTCACTCAGAAGGGAAAAGGCTCCAGTGCCCACGCCACTAGATTTACCCTCAGGTGAGCTGGATCCCTGTTTGCTGCTGCTACCCAAGATGAGATGTATGACGCTGAGAACTGGAGCACCCAACCAGACAACATCCGAGGAGGAGCTCTGGAAACTATAAAGGGGTAAGTGAATTGGATCACAGCATTATTCTCCCATTTGGAAGCTGAAGCACAGTTGTTTTTAAAAGTGTACATTCTCAATAGGATGACCTTGGCAGCATACACCACTGCTTACCAGGATTTATAGAAAAATATCATCCAGCGGTCTTCAAGGGTGTATATGAAAAAAGGAACATAAGCCTCCCTCCAACACTTTTGGCCCCTCTGTCTATAGTGATACTGACTATATTTCTCTATCTTTCTCCCTTCCACATGCGGCCCTGACACCAGCCTCCTCCTTCAGGAGAGTTAAGCCAGTTTAAAATGTGTTGCTATGTGTGTATGTGCTTAATTCTATTGTTAAATCTGTCTCATGATGTGTGCAGACTCCATGAGGGTCAGGACTATGTCATTTTGACTCACTGTTTGAATCCCCAGGACACTGCCTGAAGTATGTGTAGAAGAAAGAAAGGGAGGAAGGAATAGAGAGAGAGAGAGAGAAACAACGTGCCAGGCATGGTGCTAAGTACAGGGAACACTTGGTCCAAAGCTGTGGAAGTGCTCACAGCCAAGCAGAGGAGGTAATTCAGCGTGGCCAGAGAAGGGCATGCCGACAGGCACCCGCTGGTACTATGGGAAGGCTGAGGAGGGATTCAGGAAGGCTTCCCTGCAACAGAGTGTGCCTCTGCCGCTGCCCCAGGGATTCTGGATTTAGGGGCAGCTCTGGCCAGAGGCAGGGACAGCAGAGAGGCACAGGGATGAAGACCAGGATTTCACTGGGCAGGAAGGCAGCCCAGACACAGCACTTCTGGGTGGAAAGAGCAGACAGTGCTGACTTCCAGATGCATGGTCACCCTCATCCCAGGCACTTCCACCCAAAACCTATTACAGAGAATCTTAGATTTCCCTGGAGCTGATTTCTCAGATTCTCTCTAGCAATAGATTGCCTTTCTATTCCTAATTCCTAGAGTGGCACATGGGTCTATGTGTATGTGGGAGACACAATGATGAAGGAATCATGAGTCCACTGTGGTTTGTTAAATACCATCATGCAGAACTGCACAGCTAAACCAATGGGGCAGGAGCTGCCATCCTGAGGCCTGCCCCGCAAAATGGGATCTGTCCATCTTTACTGGGGAACCATGATAAACGAGCAAAGACAGACACTGGTGAGGACGAGCCACTTTATTTAAGAGCTTTGACAGCTCAAAGTGGTTTAACATAGATGTATGGAAGATTTATCGAGATGATAAAATACCTGAACTTGAAAGGCACACAAATTATAATTTTGCAGGTTTTTTTCTTTTTAAAATTTCACTTAGTCAAGTGCTTTAAGTAACGAATGAAATGCACATAAAGTTGATTTCATTTCACACAAGCTGTCTGGTTAGTGTCTGCAGAGTGCCTTTGCTTCCAGATGGGACTCAGTTCAGAATCCATGCCACCCTTCTGTGCCTAGGGCCTTCAGTTTCCTTACCACTGTGGAGATCATTGGGAAGATTAATAAATATAATAATAAGGCAGCCATTATTGACCGGGCACTTACCATACTGCATGTTGTATACTGAGGTCAGTGCTTCATATGCTTATCTTGCTTAATGCTCCTAACAGCCCTATGAATTAGCTACAGTGATTCTCATTTTACAGATGCAAAAACAGGTTTAGAGCACTTTGGTGATACATGGGAAAGTCACACGAGCAATTTTATCTGACTACAAGACTATGGTGTTCACCACTAAGCTGCGACATACATGAAAATATTTGGCCCTCAGCAAATGCTTAAATACATTAGTCATCTTTCCTTACCTTCGTATTCCTTTTAAACATACACACACACACACACACACACACACACGTGCACATATACCATGAAAAATCTGCCTCTTGGGTTTATGTTCATTTATTTGTTCATTACTGATTCATGCCTTTTTGGCCTGGTACTCTGCTGGGTGAGAAGTTTGCAAAATTAGACTCCATAGCTCCCAGGTCAAAGAGCCAGAACGGTCTCAGGCAGTTACCATGCTCAAAGGGATGGCAAGGGTCTGCAAGGTGCAGTGGCAGCCCCCTGCAGGGAACCCCCACTCAGCCATCAGTTAGAGACACATCATCAAAAAGACCATTTTAGACCCTTTTCAACCCTAGTTTTCTCCAACTTTTGCTACGCTTTCTTTGGCCTGAGTCTACAAAGACACTGGGGCTTTCTGGGGCTTTCTGACAGTGCAGCTGCCCAGGAGGCCCTTTATCATGCAGAACACCCCTCTCTGCTGCCAGGCTCTTGCTTTATGGCAAAACCACTGCAACAGATAATCTAACCCCCTGACTAATCACCCTGCACAATTCCTCATACTGCCTCCACTCCTATCCCTCTCCCGCCTCTGCCCTGTCTTGTTTCATCAATTTTTGTCCAGACTAAGGAACGATATCAATAGTTATAGTAGTAGTATCCTCCCACATGTCAGGTACTGCTCTATGTATTTTAGGTCCTCATTAAATCCCCATAATAACCTTCTGAGGTAGACACTACAACTATGTATATTTTAGTTCATTCAGGAGAAGGAGAGGGTGGGAGTTAATATTTCTTCAGGGCCAACGATATGCTAAGCACCTGTTAAGCCTGAGCAATCCTCACGACTCACAAGGTGAGTGAGCTGCCCAGGGTCAGTCACAGAGCTGAGAAGTGCCAGGTCTGTGACCACCAAGCCTGGAGCTTCCCTTCTCATGGGCTGGCATCCTGCAGTGGTCTGAGAGGGGAAAAGAGAGGCTGCACAATGGCTGCTCTCTCTCCTCTTCCCTCCAACACCCTCTGTTAACATCATACCTGTTCTTTTTTACCACTCCCCACAAATGGTGCCAGACTCCTGCCTCATCTGGGTTCCCCTACTCTCTGGGCCTCTCAGTTGGTTTTCATGGAGCACTTTCTTTGTCTACAACAATGTTGTGAACAGAGCCAAATAAGAAATTGGGATCATTTGAGCCAATAAAATACAGTGAGCAGCTGACAGATGTTTCCTGAAACCTAAAATGCTCTCCCAAATCCATGGGGTCTCAAGGTCTGACACGTCCTTAGCAAGGTCCCAGCATAGTTGCTGCTTCTGGGAAGTCTTCTGTCCAGTTTTAAGAGGTGACACCAAAAGCTGAGAACCACCAATGAAATTCAAGAAGTAACTGATGCTCAGTGGAGCTGTGTGAACCATACCTTCAGGGGCTCCTGGGTGGCTTTCTGAGAAAAACAGAGAAGCTTTCCCCTGCAAGGCCAGTGGGTAAGAACCCTTTCTCTGGGTTGTGCCAGGGTGGAACTGTCACTTTATTTCACCTGGCCCACCGGACATGGGCTCCAGGAGGGCAGGGCCCCTGTCTGATTTCTCTCTGAATCCTCAGAGCCAGGGTAAAGTGGGCGCCAGTTAAATGTTTCAAGAATGAACAACTAAACCAGTCATCATTTTAGAGAACAGGCTGTTTGAGAGATTCTACTCAGAACCACTTATTTGATAGAGGAAGAAACAGGACTCAAGGAGAGGGGAAGTGACTTTGCTGAGAGGCAGGCACACTGTGTTTAGTCCAGAACAACATCAAGCCTTGGATGTTTAGTGCAGAGTAACATCCAGCACCCATCACGCAGTGCTAAGTCATTTACATTCACCATTTCCATTCTCAATGGGTAGAACAATCCCATTTTACAGAGGAGAACGTTAAGGTTAAGGAACTTGCTTTCCCCCCAGCTCTCTGCAGGCCAGCCCCACCAACCCTCCTTTCCTCAAGCCACATTCTCTCCCAACAAAATGAGTTTGCTCTGTTGTTCCCCGCCCGGGAATTCTCTAAAGTTTTAGTTCCAGCAGCCTTTGTAGCTGGGGGCCCTGATAAAATCTCTCCAGCACCCTAGAATTTCAATCTTCATAGCTCTGACCACAGTTTTAACGTTCACACTTGTTTGCATAGATATCCATTTGCTGTCGGTCTCCCCCCACTGGACTGTGAGCTGCACGGGGGAGGGCACCACATTTTTTGGCCTGCTACTGTAACCCCAGCACTTAGCCCAGCAGCGGACACTGAGTGGAACACGTTAAGTATTTGTTAGACACTGTGCTTATATTTTTAACCTTTGAGTGCACGAGTGCTAAAGGTGGGATCCGAACCCACGTCTCCGGGACTCTGGTCATAGCCAAAGGGGAGCTGGGGGTTAGGTTGACACGCTGCAGCGAGAACCGCCGGCGCGCAGAGGCAGCGCGGAGCTGTCCCCCCGGTTCGCGCCACCCCGGATGGCTCCGCACTCCGCCGCCACCTGTCGCCCCAGCGGGGACTCCCAGGACTCAGTTAGGGGCCAGGAGTCACGTGGGCCCGGGCATTCAGCCGCGATCCAGGTCCTAGTGGGCTGACGAGGGGCCCACGCTGCGCTTACCTGCTATTTGCAGGGCTCAGCAACGGCGCTCGGCGAGTCTCGGGGGACTGCGGGGGACTAGGGGACCTGCTGGGCCTAGCAGGGGCTGTCGGTCAGCGCGCGGCCCGGCGCCCGAGGTCCGAGAGGGAAACGACGTTTGGTCTCGGGACTCAAGGCTGCCTCCGGCCCGGGCAGCCTCAGGTCTAGATCCCCTAGTACCTGAGCTGGAGGCGGGGCCAAGGCGAACTTGACCTTGCGCTCCCTTAGCGGCCCCGGGCAGATGGAGTCTGAGGGAAACAGATCTGCGCCCCGCCCCTTCGCTGGGGCGGGCCCTAAGGAGACCCGGCCCTGGCCCCGCCCAGGGTCCTAAGCCCCGCCCTCTCCCCTGCCCCCGCCCCCGCCCGCTGGCTCCCAACCGCCAAGGCTCTTTTGTGTTGCGTGCGTGTTTGCTTTTTTATTCTCCTGTTTTGTATTCTGTTTGTTTTGTATTTTTATTTAATTTTCTTTTAAAAAAATACATGAAAGTAACGCCCACTTACTTATTAGAAAATAAAATTATCTAGATTTGCTTATAATGAAAGCAACAGGCCACTTCTCCCTCCCATCACAGCTCTTTTTAACAATTCCTCCGTTAATTTCTTCTAGTGGTCACCCGCTTGTCGCAAAAAAAAAATAAATAAATAAAATAAAAAAATAAAAAAAGAAACTTACATAGCGATTTCTTGATTTATCCATTGACTTTCTGCCATGTTATATGAGGATCTACTCTCTTACTGCGCGGCCCCTGTTTCCTTCTGACAAATTTACACCTCTATTCTCAAGCCCTGCCCTGGTAAACGCCAGACCTCAAAGCAGGGAAGGATTTCTGGGGCCTGAAGCATACACAGTTGTGTGGGGAGAAGGAAGGGAGGGCTGCTTAAGAAAGAGAAGACAGAATTAGGGCTTGCCAGTGAACATTTATTTGGAATGAGAAAATAAATCTTAACAGAATCCTGGGGTCTTAGAGATTGGGGTCCCTATCCCCTAAAACCTTCTTAGGAAATTTAGGTCCCAAATTTGCTTCCCTAACGCAGTCTGGCTTCCTCTGCCCACCCAGAACTCTCCATAAGCCCCCAGGGCTCATGGGAGCCTTGCAGAGAGAGGCCTTGAAGGACAAGATTCACTAGATTCTGCCAATACAGTTTCCTAATGGAGTGAATTGGAGTGTGCGAAAAAGAGAGACATCAAGGATGATGTCAAGGTTTTTTGATTGCTGTACACTTAATTTCCAGCGTTTCCTAGACACAGGAACACAACCTCATCTTAGTATGGAGAGTGTTTTATAAGCCTGTCCACATCACCAGAGCCTCACGGTGCACCCATGAAGTTGGCTGGACGGGTGCACTGTCCACAGTTTTAGGAGGCCCATAAATTTGTCCCTTGTGTATTAGCACCGGGGGCATGCAACTTGCACCCAATAAGTACCCAGGTAAATGGTACTTCCCCACTCAGTCTGAAGACACAGTGTCCGTGCCCTCTCGGATCCCTTTTCTCTTACCTGTGGTGTAAAATGTGGCTCCAGAAGGTGATCTTGGACAAGTCTCTTTACTTCCCAAGCCTCACTTTCCTTTCGTATAATGGGAGGTAACAACCCCTACCGCACTGAGTTTTGGGGAGGATTAAGTGGCTTAACATCTTTGGATATTCTTTAATTGATAAGTCAGCTTATTTCCCAGCAGGGTGGGAGGCTCATGAGAAAGCTTAGGGATTTCTGAGAATCTTGTGTAGCATGTAGTACCACAGGTTGATTAGAGGCCTTCGATTAAAATCGTGGGCTGAAGAGTCATTCTGGGTCAGGGCCCTAGGCCAGGGAGGGAGAAGCTGCACACAGAGAGCAGAGAAGAGGCTGGGCAATGACTTCCTCATGCAAGGGAAGCTTTCTCTGCCTGAGGTAGTGAAGACTAAAGCTTGGTCTAGGAGGAAGCCTGGTTTCCTAGGCAAGAAAAAAGGAATGAATTAATGGCATTCACAGCAACTGGATGAGATTGGAGAGTGTTATTCTAAGTGAAGTAACTCGGGAATGGAAAACCAAACATGGTATATTCTCATAAGTGGGAGCTATGCTATGAGGATGCAAAGACATAAGAATGACACAGTGGACTTTGGGGACTCAGAGGGGAAGAATGGGAAGGGAGTGAGAGATAAAAGACTACAAATTGGGTTCAGTGTATACTGCTCGGGTGATGGGTATACCAAAATCTTACAAATCTCCTCTAAGGAACTTACTCATGTAACCAAATACCACCAGTTCCCTAATAACCTATGGAAATAAAAATATTTTTTTAAAAAAGTAGCGTCCCCTTGTGCTGGAAGGTAAGAACCTCATATAATAGCCAAGCTTTACCTAACCTAAGCGGTGAAGACGCAATGGCTGAGAAATCCATTTTGGAGAGGCAACTACCTCCTAATTTTTTAGAAGGAGGAATACCTAAATGCAAGTCTTGTATTTGCTTAAGCTCACAAAAAGACTACTGGATTATGGGTATAATGGGAATAATATTTTCAGATCTCTCCTTTATTGGTAAGTTTCATTTCTCCTGGATCCTATCTGCCATTATGGCTCAAGGAAGGTGGCCACCTAATGCCACCTCAGGAAGGAGGAAGATTTTACATAGAGGATGTCTCAGCTTGAGTGCCTCAGAACCAGATCCTGAGGTAAGAATTAATGCAAGTAGTTATTTGAGAGGTACATGGAACACCAGCAGAGTAATGAAGAAGCAATACAGGGAAGAAAAGGGGAGCTCAATAAAAGATTAAGCCAGCTACTATAATAGATGTTTAGGGCTTAATCCTAGGGGAAAACCCTAGAAAACTGTGTGAAGAGCATGCCTTGGAATCATCCCACCCAAGGCTGCAGGAGACAGGTCTCTACAGGGAAAAAAGCTGGAACTGACCACTTAGCTCATATTTTTGAACATTTAAAACATTATTTCTAGGCATAAAAATGTCATTACTAAAATGAGATCTGGCTACAGTATAACACTATTCTGCAGTTTCCTTCTATCACTTAACAGTGTGCTGATGAAGTTTCAGGAGGAACTCTTTGGGCAGTAAGCAATGTGCAGATGGCTGAGAGTCACAGTCCTGGGATGGACCTGAGGCCATTCTGGAAAGCTTGCTTGTGGATGGATTGTGATGAGGCCGTAGACTGGGGCAGCCTCTGTATTTGGATGAACCTATTCTAACCTTGACTTCTGACCTGTCGCTGAGGAAAAGCAAGCTTTGAGTGGGTAAAAGTAAAATGTAAAAGGGAGACTGGTGGACTTTTCAAATGACCAAAGAGGGCAAACTTTTCAGTCACTGCAACTACTTCAGCAGATGGGCATTTTCTTTTCTTTTCTTTGAGATGAAATTTCACTTTTGTAGCCCAGGCTGGAGGGCAGTGGCGTGCAACCTCCGCCTCCCAGGTTCAAGTGATTTTCCTGCCTCAGCTTCCCAAGTAGCTGGGATTACAAGCGCTCGCCACCACGCCCAGCTAATGTTTGTATTTTTAGAAGAGACAAGGTTTCACCATGTTGGCCAGGCTGGTCCTGACCTCAGGTGATCCACCCGCCTTGGCCTCCTAAAGTGCTGGGATTACAGGCATGAGCCACCGTGCCCGGCCAGGTGTTTTCTTACAAACAGTGAACAGATAGTGCTCATGCCAGATCTTTCTTATACAAGCATCAAAGCAGGTCCTCACTAGAAAACCTTCACTTTGTCAATTTGGCTTCATGGCTATACTTACTATTGAGCTAAAATTATCCTTTTAAAACGTGAATCAGTTTATAACACTCCTCTGCTCAAAAGTTTCCAGTGGCTTCCACCACAATTAGGGTAAAATCTCAAGTCCTCCCCCTGGTGTGCAAGGCCCTCAAGGATCTGCCCTGACAAGTGCTCCAGCTGTCAGCCATTCTCATCTCTGGTTTCCTTGACTCTGTTGCTGTTCCTTGGACACACTGGGCCTATTTGCACCTAGAACCATGGTGCTGCTGTCCTCATTGACCTAAATAACACACCGCCCACTCTTAGGATAACTTTCCCAATTCATTAGCTTTCTAGTAGACAGCTCCACTTAACAAACAAAAATACTCCCATACAACCCCTTTTGTAGTACTTACTACCTATCATTGGAGGATATTTTGCTCATTATCTGTCTCCCTCGCAGAAGTGTAGGGCCCAAGAGTGGCTGAATCTTTATACATTTTGTTCCCTGATATGTCCTCACACCCACAACAGTGCCTAGCACCTGATATTCAATAAATATCTGTTGAATGAATGAATGCATTGAATTGAGCAAATGAAAAATATATTCAGTACACATACAGATAAAAATATTCTAGAATGCAGACTTTCAACTAATCTTGGTTAGGTTCCTCTCAAACTGAAAAAAATTGTTAGAACACAGAAAAATAAAATGAAATGGCTGAGCTGTATTATGTAATCTGATTTATAATTACAGGTTGAGTATTAGACTGAGAACTTTTGCTTTTTTATATTTCACCCAATGTCTATGTTAAATGTTTAAGCAAAGGTTAGCTTGAGAGGCTACATACTCATTTAAAAGTAGTAAAAAGAAACAAGGTTCTCCTAGTCACTTTAATAATTCAGAATAGTATTCTGTGGCTTCTGTTGGCATTTGAGACCCCAAGATGGCAACTGGTTACCTGAAAATAAAGGCCTTGATCAAATATTTAACATCTCACTTATTTTCATTTTCTGCATATTTTGTATTCCTGATTCTCACTTTTTTTTTACCCATTCTGCAGTCACACAATTCACACACTGAAGTTAATAGAAATGTTCCATGGATTATTAAATGCAGCTAAGCAATGAGTTTTTGCTAGAAAATAAGGCCAAACTGGGGCCACTTTGCTATTCTAACAAAGTAATTTTTCCTTGAAGGTACAGACTATGAATTTACAGAAGCCTCTACCCTTTATTCTGAAGTTTTGTAAGGCAAATACATTGCTGCAGGAGAGAATTTAAAGTGGAAAACAGATTCCCCCTGAAAACATGTTTTATGGTGGCACAATTAAGAAGTCTTATAATCAAGAACAGTTGAAAGCACAGAATTATAAGTGGACCTTTATAATTATGGCAAGAAGACACTAAATAGTGCCTGTTTGCTAATGAAAACATTGCACTCTGGTGCCAAAAGCAGTGGAGTGGGTTTTGGTTGGTGCTTACCTGGGTTAATTGCCCAAGGAGTGCTCCAGTAGCAGCATCCCAGTGCTGTCAGCTGCCGTTCCTAATGGAGCTTTTATATTTTACCCCTATTGCTAAAACCCTAATCCAGGCTTTGATGTCCATTTGGGCCTACTTGGTACAAAGAGGGCCTTCTGGAGGTGGTCAAAGTCATAATGGAAAAGCCTTTAGGAATAACCCATCCTTTTGTGATCAGTAGAGAGTACCCAGAGAGGTTAGAGGATTTTCTCGAGATCACGCCTGACCAGTGGTGGGTTTGGAGTATTAGTCAGGACTTTTTTGTTAGAAGCAATTGAAACAGTCTCTGTGACCCAGTAGATGGGAGTTTATTGGCAGGATTGGGCCTTCAGAACTTACAGAAAGTTTGGAGATCCAGGCTTAGAAACGGATAGGGAGAAAGTAGCTCTGAAAAGCTAGAAAGTGAAAACCCTGGGAATAATCTCTTAGTAGAAATGGTCTGGTCAGGAAGCTGCTGCAGAGATAGATGATTAAACTCTAGACACTTTCTATGCCCTTGTTTCACTTGCACACTAGCCAAAGTCTTGGGAGAGGCCCTCAGATTGGCCAACATTAGTATACACTCTCCTATTTGTCCTGGGAAAGGTGTTGGCAAACTCCTTCAACTGCAGAAGTTGAAAGGAAAGCATCTGAATTTACTCTCCTACTAAGACTCTCATAGTGGAGAGGGGCAATTTCCCAAACGGAAACCCAAAGAATGCTGTTAGGAGGAAGGCAGGGATGCAGAGAAGCTAGAGTACAATGAAGCCCCAATTCAGTTTAGAGCGGTAGACTCCTGTGCAGCTAGAGATGGCCACAAGAAGCAAACAGGAGTCCACCTGGGATTAGTAGGAAGATTTTGCTTTGCAAGCTTTCTGTCCCTCTCCTCCTTTTTCCTTTTGGCTTAGAATGTGGGTATAAGCCCAGAGGCCAAGGAGCCATTATGAATCTTAGAAGTGAACTCCAAGCGTGAACTCCAAAGCCACCTACTAAAGATGGCTGAATGAATGAATAGGAGTCTGACATGTTAAATACACCGTGGAGCTGCTGTACCAGCTCTGAACTGCCTACTTCCAGCCTTCTTATTTTATAAGAAAATTAAAAAACCTATCTGGCCACACCACTGTAGTTATCAGTAACTTTCAGTCTAGCACAGTCTGATAATACAAATTAGTCCTAGGATTCTGGTCTCTCAATCTCCTATGCAGCACCATTCCTGTTCTGCTTACAAAGACATGGTTCCTGCCTTCAAGGAGCTTATGGTTGAATTGAGGTTATATTAGTCTGGGTTCTTCAGGGAAACAGAACCAATAGGATGGATAGATAGATAGATGATAGATAGATAGATAGATAGACGAGGACATTTATTAAGGGAATTAGCTCACATAATTATGGAGGCTAAGAAATCCCACATCTGCCATCTGCAAGCTGGAGAGCCAGGAAAGCCCATGGTGTAATTCAGTCTGAGTCCAAAGACCTGAAAACCAGGGCAGCTGATGGTGTAACTTCAGGTTTGAAGCTGAAGGCCTGAAAACTGGGGCAGGCAGGAGAGATGCTAGTGTAAGTTTCTAAAGGTCCAAGAATCAGAAACTCTGATGTCTGAGGGCAGGAGAAGATGGATGTCCCAGCTCAAGAAGAGAGATAATTTGCCCTTCCTCTGGATTTTTGGTCTGTTCCAGCCCTCAGTAGATTAGAGGATACTCACCCACATTCACGAGGGTGATTTCTTTACTCAGTCTACTGATTCAAATGATAGTCTTTTCCAGAAACACCCTCACATATGCACCCAGAAATAATGTTTTACCAGCTATCTGGGCATCCCTTAGCCCAGTCAAGTTGACACATAAAATTAATCATCATAGAGATTAAAATCATACTCAAGCAACAAGAGAGCAAGAAAGTGTGAGGTATAATATATTCTGAACTGCAAGGAGCACACTACATCAAAGACAGAGTGCAAAGGAGGTCCTTGCCTAGGCCCTAATCGCTTCCTCTGGCCTCTGTGATTTGTCTGTTATTGCCATTCTCTTCTGTATCTTTACGTTCTCCTCTTCTGTGCTCTCTTCTCTTAGCTTATACGAGGGCCAAGTCTCCCCTATCCTCAAAGACTCTTCCCTTTATCTAATGACATCTCTAACAACAAATCTCTTGCCTTCTCTTCTTATTCAGTTCTCTCAAAGGAATGGTCTTCCCGCACTTTCCCTCGTCTTTAATCTTCAACCCAGAGCATCTAGCTTCTGTTTTTACCTCCACACTGAAACCACTTTTTCTGATTGCTAATTCCTATAGGTAAATATTTGTCCTCATTTTACTGGACCTGTTGGTCACATTGGATGATATTGGCTATTGCCTTCATAGAAACCTCTCCTCCCTTATCTCTGTGACCTCACATTCTCCTGGTTCTCTTCTTACCTCTTGGATTGTGCATACTTTCTTGTCAGGACTGTTAATCAAAACATCAGACCCTGCCAAGCTAGTGGGAGAACACTGTATCTCTCCTTAGAAATTGAATCATGAACAAATAAACTCTGACACTAAAAATCGTGGTGTTCATCCATTTTCACAGTGGTGCCCTGGTGGAATTGTTGAAAAAGAGCTCCTGCCACACAGGGCACCAGAGCTTCCAGGCTTCTCTCTGCTCCCCTGCCTGGTTCTTCAGCTCCCCAGTGGCCTTCCTGCAAATCTTCTTTTCTTTTACATTAGCCAGAGTCAGTTTCTGTTGCTATGTCCAAAGAAGTCTTCGTGATACCTTGATGCATGCTCAGCTTTCTAAATACACATGTACTGAGCAGGCTGTGAGTCCTGGTTTGTAACTGTGTACCCCGGGAGCTTGCCCATCAAAGCTCACATCAAATATCACCTGCTCCTCCTTACAGCCTTCCCTACTCTATGTTCCTGTGGCAAAACCATGTTGATCTTTACTGCCTCAGCAAGGCCCTGATCTGCAATGGTCCTCTATGGTCTCACTGGCCCTTTCATATTTGTCTCTAATGCTCACAGCCAGAATTGTGTGGCCACATTCAGTCTGCCCAGCTGGTCTAGTAGGGCCACAGGGCCATATCCTGATCTTTCCTACTAACCTAGTGTCTCTTAACTGGTGCTGTCCTGCCTCAGATGGTAACTTTACAAAGAGAGGACAGGACTTCTTAGGCAAAGTTAGATCCCGTAACTTTGATCTGCCTTCGGAGAAGGAGCTGGCAAGAAACATTACCCATTCTCAAACTTCAGAGCTCCTGGCATGAGAGGAGCCCATTCCTTCTTTCCTTCTTCCCACTTTTCCTCCTGTGTTCCGTGCCTGTTTGTTTCTTCAGGAAGCAGCTGCTGAGATGGAGTTAAAGGTGCAAAGGGTTTACAAGGACAAACACCTGTAAAAGAAAAAGGGCAGAAGCAGGATTGGACAGAAGAGATGTCAGACTATGATGCAGACCCATGAGAGGAGTCCTGTGTTGAGCAGAAATGGCCGGGCTTCTGTGCCTTCCCTTCGCTTCGTCACTAGCTGGCCAAAGAACAGAATGGCCTTGGCTTGAAAACTTGAGGCAGACCCTGGAGAAGCTAACAGCTGAAGACTGTCAGAAAACTGCACTCCTCACACCTGGGAAGCAAGTCCTTTCTGAAGGCAGATTTGAGCAGTACATCTCCCTGTCAGCCATACCTTCTACCAACCAGTAGTTGTTGACAGGAGCCCATGGGGTGCCCTAGGTCCCCTGCACAGGTTTCACAGCTATGTGCCAAACTTTCTAACAAAGTGGGGCAGTTTAGGGTGATATCTATAGTGAGGAACAGGTTTTGTCCATATTCCAGAATCTAAAATAATAGCCAGACATGAAGGCTTCATCACTGAGTTCTTGTTCCTAGTAACAAAGACTGAGCTGCGAACCCTGGCTCTGTCTCCTTCCTCCACCCACCGGGCCCTGCCCTGTGCACTTGCCTGCACTCTGTGTGCTGTGATGTCTGGACCAGTGCTGTGCTCAGGGTACTCACTGGCTGGACGAGTGAGGGAATGGATGAATTATAGAATGAGTGAAGGAAAGAATGAAAGAATGCAAGAATCATGAGAAAAGAACAAATTGAATAAAGACACTTCAGCAACAAAGCAACCAGTTGAGTCATTTAGGGACTAGATGATCATGTCTACCCCCCAGGGATTCCTTGAAAAATCACTTGACTGCTTCATTCAGTGGCAAAAGCACTGCTTTCTTTTTTGCATGTTCCTTAGTGATGATAGCTACTCTTCTAGTCTCATCCTGAAATTTTTTGGTTAAGTTGCCATTCTTCTCTTGAAGGCAGCTTTGCTAATGGCACGGAAAGACCAGATTGTCTGTGAAGGCTGTGTGTCTCTCTGGATCTCAGACCAAAAGGTGGTAATTGGCTGCATTCCCCCCAAGCATTCCTTCTGTCAGTCTTTATTGCTTCATGCTTTGCCCAGATGGCACCTGAGCCTCAAGCCTCCAGTTGTGGCTGAGGTTGGTTAGAACTCAGTGGCCCTTGAGAGGAGAAGAGCAGGCTGAATGCTTCCTTCCATGTGGTCCTGTAATGACTTAGATCCATGCATTAACTGGCCTGCCTTTCCTTGGGCAGCTCCAGAGCCCATGACTGGGACTGATTCTGACAGCCTGCCCCATCAACAGAGCATGCTGCTGAAATACACCCTAGAGGAGGAGATAATTTTCCCAAGATCATTTTCAGAAAGGACAAGTGAAATTTCACACGAATGCTTGGTCAACACTTTCCTATTATTTTTCTTCCAAGAAGAGGAAGTATGAAGTGTATTAGTAACTGCTTATACATTTGAATTTTTACATATATTGAGTCAGTCACCTTAGGTTAAGTTACACTGTGGTAACAAGCAACCTCCACATCTCAATGGCTTAGAAAAATGAAGGTCTATTTCTTGCCAGGCCACATTTCTATCATGGGCCAACTGTTACTTTGCTCACTCCCTATTTATACACTGATCTTCTTGGAGACATTGCCTTATGGCAGAGGGAAGAAAGGGACATGGAAAACTATGGCTTGCTCCTACCACTTTTGTGCAGAAGTGACATGTCGTTTTCCTCTATGTTTTATAAGCAAGTCATATACCACTTTTAGGTTCAATAAGCTAAGCATGTATAGTCCCTCTGCCAACACAGGTCACAGGGCCAAGTCTGATGTCAGTGGGGTGAGAAAGTAGTATCCCCTCCCAGGGAAAGCTAATGTTTTGAATCATAATGTACTGAAGCACTTACATTTACAATGAGGAGTCAGGTGAGGAAATTCAGATGATCTTGTGAGCTTTCATGTATGTGCAAGGCTCTGCACCTGCAGATGAAGTAGAGGACGGGCATCTCCACAAGCAGCATTATTTAGTGGCTCAGGGCCTAAGGTCTAGTTTGATTTCCACCTCTGCTTGTGTGACCTTGAGTAAATTGCCTAACCTTTCTGAACCTCTAAATGGGCATATTAATATCTCCCTATTAGGGCTATTGTGAAGATTAAGTCAGAGATCTAGCAGGTGCATAATACATTGGAGATTTTATTATGATAAAGTAGTCATGCTTGCTGTGGACAATTTGGAAAATTCAGAAAAATAGGAAGAAATAAATAACACTAAACAATTTCTTGCCAACCAAAGACAACCAGTGCTAAAACTTTCACATATTTCCTTCAAAAGATAAAAGTATGCTATTTTTTAAAGCTGCAGCTGTTTCTGCATTTGGGCAGAAGGACAAAGAAAACATTTGTTTGGGAAGACACCTTAATGGGCTTATTAGCTCCCCTCCCTTGCTCTCCTTGGCTAGTCTGGATGGGAAACTTTGAAACAAAAGTTTTCTAAATTGTCTGTATCAAATCACACAGAAGTTTTTTAGTCCTTTGTTGACAGCAGAGAAGGAAAGTTCCATTGTTGGGATCCTAGAAATTGGAAAAGAAAATATGTGAACATGTTGGGAAGCCTAAGAGATTGTCTAAAATAGAGTTACACAAACGGAGAAAGTGAGGGATATAGAGAGAGGGGAGCTGGCAGAGATAAAGACAGAGAGGGATGGAGAGGAAGGGACACAGAGAGGGACACTCCAATGGCAGAGATAAACAGGAATGTGCATATGTGCTCATGTGCATGCATGCACTCACACACAGACACACACACATACACACAACACACACAACACACACACACACACACACACACACACACACACACACACACACACGGCAGAACAGGAAACTCTGAGCACCAGAACTAACCTGCTTCCTTAGGAACGATGTGCCAGGCAAATCTTGCCTGGGCCCATCACGTCCAATCAACTTCAGAGACAGAAGCCGGATTTTTGGTTCCCAGTGTTTTCTTGCCATGTGCTGCAGCCTCCACCTTATTGTCCTCAACATTTTAGGACAAAGGCTGTTTCACAAAACAGCCTCATGTTGTTGCTGCCATGGGGAATGCAGGAGACAGGTCCTTGTCCTGAGAGGGATTAAGTGGCTTAGAGAGAAAAGCAGGGCACAAAAGGTCGGTGCTGAGATCTCTCAAGGGGATTGACAGCTGAGCCAAGAGGAGGGGCTGGAATAAGAGGAGAGAGGCTGCCCCTGGAAAAAGGAAATCTCCTTTTCTCAGGGTGTCCTTGAAATGTCAAGGAGGATGCTTTGGATTTCTGCCTTTCTGTGAGGTTAGGGGTTGAGTTATTATATTGGGATATTAAAGACATCTGTTAATTGATACATATATATTAAATATAAAATGTCATAATATATGTGTGTGTATATATGTATGTGTAACACAGTTGAAATCATACTGTCCACACATTGTATATCTTGCTTTTTCTTCTAAGTATTATATTTCAAACATTCTCCCATGTCATTAAAGACTCTCCATAAACATCAGTTTAGGGCTTTTATCTTTTAACAGCCGTTGAATTTCCCTCCCTCTGCCTCCCCATCCCCAGACCTCCCTGTTCCTGCTGCCCACTTGCATTGTTTTATACATTTTTTTTGGCTGAGCTGAAGGAGGGGCCTCTGACAAGGTCTTCGGTGGGCTCAATTATGGAAAACATGGACTGAGTCATGCGACAAGTGATTGCTGTGTTCCTCCCGTCAGTTAGGAGAGCCATCACGAAGATACGTCCAGAGCGCAGGCACAATTTAGTTATTTGCCATTGTGGTTAATGAAAAGATGAAATTGGAGCCTATGAGCACAACATGTAGGCAGTACCATAATTAGCCCTTTGGAAGGTGAAGGATCCACTTTAAAATAAAAGAAAATAGCTTTATTCCCACAATGAAATGGCTGCAATTTTTCAGCTAATGCAAAACCTGCAGTATTTCTGTAATTATGTCCCCTAGGTCTATAATGCACTGTAATTTCCTCCTTTCTTTTTCTTTTTCCTCTTTCTTTTTTACTCCTAAGTACATTCCCTTTAGTACAAAGAAGGCTAAATAATATTATTTGCAAACAGATGGAAAAATCTCTTACCTACATAATGAATGCATTGTATTCTGGTGAAAAGTAAAACATAAAAGGCCAAATAATTAAGTTATTTGCCTAGTAGAGCTGTGCTGTCTAAAATTTGCCAAACTTGTACAGGTGAGACTTGGCCTTGCCTCCTGATGAAAGAGCAGGTGCTCCGAATAAGGAAGGGCTGTTTTCTGGGAGGTGACTGACTGCTATGGAAAATCACAAGTGGGATGGGCAGCAAAGAATTTGGGACCAAAAAACCTGGGCTCTGCCCCAGACCAGACCTGAGACCATCACCTCACCTCTCTGTGCCTCAGTTTCCTCACCTGTAAAATGCATAAAAATCCCAACTTTGTAGGCCAGTGTCAAGCACATGAAGGTGCCTAGTGCAGTGCCTGAAATGTGGTCAGGGCTCAGCAACAGTAATTATTTCTTTTACCCTGTGACCTTTAATGAATGAACATTTAACATAGGGAGAACCTGAGCCAAGAATGACTCTTTGGCTTCTAAAGACTGATGGCTCCAGAAATCTAGAAGATGGGCAATGTAAGAATATTTTGATTTTTTCGAGGCAGCATGTTGAGAGGTTTTGCAGCAAACAATCTTGCAAGACAGATGCTGTTATTCCTGTTTTACACTTGAGGAAACAGAGGCTCAGCACATTGCCCAAGGCCACATATCTTCTAAGTAGCTGAGCCAAGACTTCAATTTCATTCTATCTCATTTCAGAGCCTACACTCAATTCTCTGCACCTTTGCTCAAATTCTGTCTTGAATTTACCATGTACTAATTTTTCATCTGTGAAATGGGCATATTGCTTGTCAGCCTGGTCAAATGCATGGCCTTTGTCAGCAGGTAGACCTGAATCTATGCTCCAGAACTTTCATCACACATCTTGTGTGACTTTAGGCAAGGAACTTAACATACCATCTGTAAAATAAGAGAAACTATCTCTTAAATTCCATGGACATAAAAGAGGTAGCGTTTGTAAAGCAATTGTGTAAAGTACCTGGCATGTTATAAGCATTCACTAAAAAAACAAGCAAACAAAAAAACTTTTATGATATTACCTCCAGTGTGTCTGTTGTGAGGATTTATTGAGGTCACAAACAGGAAAGTCTTTATAACTTGGGAAGTCTTAGGTCCACATTTGCCCCCAACCAGACTTTGTATCACCAGCTTCCATGCCTCTCCTAGTAGTAGTGGCCATGAGGCCTTGTAACCTGGTGTGAGCAAATTATCCCTACACCTCTTAATGCTTTCAACTCCGAAATGTCCCCCGCACTGAGGGGACAGTTACTATATGAAAATGTTTGCATGAGGCTTCAGCAGCCAGTGCAGAGGCTTAAGCAGCAATCCTCCCTTCCTGATTAGTTCCACTGCAGACCTTAGTCAAACAGAGTCTGTGTTCCATCAGCACACAGTACCAAGACCTGTCAGGGACAAGGGGATGGGGAGTAGATGATCTGTGATTAAAAATTCACTGCAGATCACCAGCCAACAAATTGTGCCCTTCAGGAAGACTAAAAATTGACTGCAGTGTCAATTTACTGCCCCAGCCTGGGAATCTGTGCCCTGATCTGGAGATAGAGAAGTCACTGTCTTTGTCAGATATGAGGGTCAGGTGGTAGTGGTGGGGGAAAGTCAGACTAGCTAGGATAGGAAGGGGAGTGTATGATGTTCCTTGGGGGTCAGGTCTCCCCCTTTCTTTCCTCCTCCTCTCCCTCCCTAACTTCCTCTCTTTCTTTTCTCTTTTCATCCCTCCTTTCTTTCATTTCCACAAATAGTTATTGAGTCCCTGATGAGCTAGGTCCTGGTCTAGGCACTGAGCTAGAGAATGAATCTCACCTGAACTAGTCTCAAGGGGTACAGAGAAGTAAAGGACAATGACACTCACTGATTAGCCATGATAAAGGGAAGCACAGGCACTATGGGAGCTCATGGGAGCTCAGCCTTGGGGGTGGTGGTGGGGTGTCCAGGAAAGTGTTCTAGAAGAAATGGCACCTCAGCTGAGCTTTTAGGAGTGTTGGAGGGGGGGACTTAGAAGAGCCTCGGAAATGGCCCAGTGATACGTGGGGGATGCAAGTCTTTGGCATGAGTGGAGGTGGGGTGGCAGTACAGGAGAGCAAGCATGGGAAAGGTGAGGCTGGAGGGCAGCATTCTAGCCAGGCTGCAGGAGAAGAATTGGGTCAGACAGGCCCATCATGTGTCTGGTGGCCTCAAATCCCAATGCTTCCATTTAGCAGCTGGGTAATGTGAGCAAGTTTCTCATGTAGAGAGACTCGGTTTCCTTATCTATGTCAAATGGTCATTCTAACTCCCACCTCATAGGGTTTAATTACACAATCATGCTACCTAGAGTGTAAGAAGGGGTCCCTCTGAAGAGACAGAGCATGCCCCAACACATCTGGCCAAGGTTACCAACCATTTTCTCTGGGTACAGATGGAAATAGGACATTTAGCAATAGGCAGACTGGTTTCTAACGTAATCTTCCCAGACCCCAAAATCTCCAAGACAGTGTCTGGCTCATCTGGGCACTCAGCAAATAGTACCTGATTCTCCCAGATGTGGGGACTGGAGAGCTGTGGGATGGTACACTAGGCAGGCTCATGACTAGCTGGTAAGCCTTTCCTCTCTGGGAGAATTATCTATTGCCAAACCCTTTGAAGTTCATAATGTAGCTGGAGCCATAGAACCCATAGTGTCCCAGTGGTCTCCAGGTTCTAACCTCTCTGTTGATGTGTGAGGTTTAAGGGGAGCTCTCTGTGTTTGTGCAGCCTGAAGGCAGTCACTACCATCAGCCAATGTGGTGCATGTGGCACATGGTTGAGGCCCTCACCTCAGCCATGAGGCGAGGAAGATTGCTTCAGCCTAGAAGTTCAAGACCAGTCTGGGCAACATGGCAAGACCCTGTCTCTCCAAAATTTTTTAAAAAATTAGCCAGGTGTGGTGCATGAACCTGTGTTCCCAGCTACTAAGAGGCTGAGGTGGGAGAATTGCATGAGCTCAGGAGACTGAGGCTGTGGTGAGCTGTGATTGTGCCACTGCACTCCAGCCTGGGTGACAGGAAGACCCTGTCTTAAAAAAAGAAAAAAAAAAAGAAAGAGAGATGGAAGGGGAAGTTACATCACATTTATTAAACTTTTCTAAATAACTCCTTTAAAAAATTCCCTCAGTAGCTGCCTCTGTTTCTCCTTTCTTTACATCTTCCCTCCTCAGCCTTTCCAGGCATGCTTTTCTCTCCCACCCTAGGGTCACCATGTTGCATAACTCCAGGTAGTGCTATTCACACCACAGTCCATGTGTCTGGTGTCCCTTGTCCTCTGTGAGGTTACACTTGGTGGCCCTGCTACACCTTCTTTAAAAACGTAACATTAGCACAGTATCTCCAGCTGATCACCTATACCAGGACATGTTTGCTGCCCCTGACCTTGGCCATCCATCATCCCACCTCAAGCACTTTCTAATGGTGACCGTTCAGTGTAGGCCTATGTGAACACAACCTTCCTGCAAGGGAGTGGAATGCCTCAAGCCAGAGCTTAATATCTCAGTTTTACACATGGGCAAACTGAGGCTCTGAGAAGCAAGTTAAACTGCCAAGTTGACACAGCTGCCAAGAGGCACAGCTGGCAATCCCTCTACCCCAAGCCTTTGCTCTTCACCATTGCACACTCCTTATCTTTCTATTTGGATTGTGGAAGGAAAGATTGTGCTCCATCTTTATATTTCATTATTCCTTTATGGTTTATCATAATGCTGTGTACATGCTAGAGACTGAATGAAAGAATTAATGGCAAAAAAGGTCAAAACCTTTTACATTATCAATGATTCAACAGCATGTTGCATTTCTACTCTATGCAAAAAAGTAGCATGGTGATTTAGTACATAGACTATGGCACCAGATAGCCTGTGTTCCAAATCCAGCTCTACCACTGGCTGTGTGAATTTGAGCAAGGTACTTAACCTCTTTGTGCATCAGCTTCCATATCTGTAATTTTGAGCTAATTACCTTATATAATATAATTGTGAATAAATCAGTTAATACTTAGAATATACTTAGAACAAAGCCTATACTTTAGTAACTGCTATATAAGTTTAAGTTATTGTTATAGCTAAAACTATTGGCTGTTAATTCTCCAGCTTGACTATTCTGAAGGATAATAAAGTTAAAAACAGCAGCTAGCTCCTGTTCATTCAAGAGGTCTTGAGGCTTGGGCAGTGGTTTTGAGGGTATTTTAACAACTTTGCTGATTGGTGAAAAATAGAATTGATCAGCAGGCCAACCTCTCCAATCTTGGCCCAGGTGCAGATTCGATTATAACTGGAGCTTAAATCACACCCTCTGGCTGCCTCAGAAAGCACAGGCAATCCTCAGCCCCTGCTCCTTGGGCACATGCTAATTTGCATGTCTGCATTCAAGTCAACCAAATGAAACTAGTATGATGATGGCAGAGAAAGTCAGGCATTTTTTTTCTCTCCTGCATCTAACAGAGGAGTATAGTCCTTTAATGGAACACATGAATTTAGTCATTCATTCCTTTAGGACATCCACTAAATCAAAATAATAGATCCCACATCCCCAAGCAATGGAAATTCCATTGACTAACTCAAGGTACAACAAGAAGGTGATCTAGACATCTAACTTTGTAGCTGGAATTTTGAAGTGCGTGGAAATTTTAATGAAACAATATACTAGCTGTCAAATCATATGCCCCAGCTTCTGTAAAAGACCAAAATAGATATTTCTCCTATGACTTCATTACTCCCTTTTCCCCCATTCTGGAATACTACTATTTCATGGCTGGGCAGAGACCCAAGCAACCAGGTTTTCTGCTGGAGGGCCCTTTTCCTCCAGCCAGTACCCGGGATTCCCTGCCAAGGTCCACGCCAAGTCTTCTGTTTCTGATATAAAAATAACCAAGATAATTGCAATGGATAAGAACGGCTTTGGAATAAGTTCTTCCCCACCCCCTTTAAGGTCTGTGGTGCTCATGTCACACCAACCCTGTTCAGCCTCTGAGCTCAGGCACAGAGCTCATCCTTCCCAGGAGAGTGCCCTGCAGGAAGGTGTGCCCAGTTCATCATAAAATTATGCACCATTTGTGCTGTTTGGGGTGCTGCTCAAATTCATAAATCTAAACCCATAAAGGCAAGGTGAAAACTCTTCAGGAGGGAATAGGGATTTTCCTTTTACTACGGAGAAGTCAAGACATATGCATTTGCTAATACCTGCTTCCCCGTCAACACACTTCAGCCTGATTTCCAGCTGGGTAGCTCCATGGCCTTAATAGGCTGTAAGGGTGTTCATTTTTGTTAATTTTGTAGCCTACAATTTCTTTGCTGGTTTAAGTGTCCTGCAGACTGTGATTTGTTAGTTTTCATTAGAAGGGAAAAGGTGTATTCTCGCACTCTCTGACTTTCATAAATCACAGTTTCAGGTGGTTTTAGCATGCTAGAACGTTTCTGAACCCAGGCCTGACATGAATAATCCCAAGGATGTGGATCTGTGTCAGGCAGCCAGCACTTGAAGCACTTCTACGATCCTATCTGTGATTCACTGAACATTCATGCTGAAGCACAGACAAAGGTGAATTAGTTCCAGACAAAAATGCATCAATGCTCTATTGAATAGTCAATTATTAAACACATAATAGAATCTGTCGTTAGCAAGGCATGCTGAAGATGTGCCATGTTTGCACAATTTCTAACAGGAAAGAAAGGTTGGCTTATAATTTTTAAAAATAAAACAATTCAGTGGTATTTAAGGTAAACTTGGAAACACACATATTTTCTTATATGTGGGCATGAGAATCTGTTCATTATTCAGATTCTCTTTCATTTCTTCCCTTAATTAGGCCTTGGGGCCATTAACTCTTAAAATGCAGTAGTCAGCAATTATGGAGGGAATAAATCTAGGTGAATTGTCCAAAGTGGCAGACCATCCAACAATCTTTATATTTTTGATTTGTTTTGGCCTTTATTTAACTTATGTATAAATATGCATGCGCATGTCCTGAAATCACAGGGCTCTAAGCAAAGCAGTGCATCATGCAGCTTGTCTTCCTATCCTGTATTCTCGGTCTCAAAGTCTCAAATGTATGCAAAGCACCAGCTAAGAGATGGTCTTCTTTTTAATGCAGGCTTGACTTCAGATTGCCTCAGACTATCTGGGGACAGAAAAAACTATTCAGTGGTTTGGATTTGAAGCACTACCCTTGCAGGCCCAGTGGGATGATTAAGGACAATGATAGGCACAGGTGCTTCCACTGACCCTGCAGAAGTCAATGGGTGTGAATTGCTCTAAGTTCGGCTACTAGCTATGTGTCTTTGGGTAAACTACCTCTACTCTGGTTACACTAATCTACAAAATGGATGGGTTGAATGGAAAAATAAAATAATTATTAAAAAAATCTTTGGTGGTACATGAACATATTGAAATCAGATGCCAAATTTTGGGTGCATATGTGATTTATTGAATAGTCTTAATTCAGTTGGGTTATAAGCATGAGATGATTTCATTTTCTCTAATCATTGCCTTTAGCTATGTATGTTGACTCTTTTCAGACCTTAGCAACATCTTGGGCAGAATCCATCACTTTTCTGTCACTTTCAGTTATCAGAAATTGAGTCCAGTTCAAAGTTTCAATCCGAAGCTCAATTTGGATCTCCTCTCCTCTCCTCTCCTCCTCCAGTGAAGATTTTACCCATGACTCTAGGAACTTGTAGGAGCAAGGTAGTTATAATTTGTTCCCTTGCCTGGCACCACAGAGTTGGGGGTCTGGGATATGTCTTTCAGACACCTGCTCCCCTTTATCCCTTTGGTCTGGGTCCTTCAAGGTTGAGAGCAAGGAGAAGAAAAAGAGACAGCAGAAGTCTTTCATCACATCTGAGAACTGGTTAGTGGAACGGAGGCAGGGGCTGCTGGCCTCCCTGAGGTTTGGGGCAGTCTTAACTCTGGCTGGTGGCTGATATGGCAATCCCCACATCAATGATGTACGTGGGCTTTGGGGTCGGTGTTCAACTTTCCCTTAACTGGGGACTTACCCATAAAGAGACAGCCAAGACTCTTCATTCTATCCCATAGTCTACATTCATAACTCCTTTTCTGGGGGCCATGACATGGAAGAGGGTCCTTTCTTGCACTAGGTGTGAGTCACACATGTTAGTGATAGTGGTGGGGGCTCTCTACACCATCTTCCTCATGACACTGCTGATGTGGGCTGCTGCCAGTCTCCTACCTTCAGAAATTTCTAGGAGAGAAGCAGGCCTCAGCCTCTGTATAGACATATACCCCAAATAGCAAGGAACACATATCAAACTTTCCCCAAAATGCATTACCAGCCTTCACTCCATCCAGCATCCATATTAGAGGGCCTATGAGTGCTAAGTTTGCCAAGTCACCTATGGGTATGTGATGCCAGCACTCTCCTCTTGCAGGCTCCCTCAATCCCTGTAAGTTCATCTATTGGAGCCTCCTGCACCTGACTCTGGCAGGGGAGTGTGATCCTCTTCTCCACCAACATCCCTTCTCCTTGGGACAGTCCCCTTTACCCTTGTTAAACAGACTGGTAAAGGACAGTGTGGCCCATGGCTGGAGATGGCAGGCCTGGCTCTGCCATTTCATCCAAGCCTTGGGGTGGGGTGTGAATGTCTGGCTCTAACTGCTTTGGGCTCACCATAGAATGTAGGATACATGATGACTCGTTTCTCCCGAGGTTGGGGTTAGTGATAATCCCGGCACTACCAGAAAAAAATCACATTTAATGTTTTGTTAAAGTGTGTATATTTGTGTTTTTCTGATTTCATTGGATCCTCACAGGGTTATGTGACTCAAAAAAGATTAAGATCTACTGAAATATGTGATGTCCAAGGGACTTCTGTTTTTCAAAGCTGTGACTTTAGTCAGGACTGAGGGTCATTTGTGTTTCAACATAAATTAGGCAGGTTGGTAAGACAAGGCCACCCTTTCTGCACCTGTCCCTGTGGCAGAAACTGAACGCTGAGTGGCTGTGCAGTCTTCCAAAAAAAGCCTTGAAAGGAGGAAAGATATGAAAGGGAGACCTCACACCTCTGGGCAGGGGCAGGGTCTCTTTGGTCAGGGAGGCCATGGCTAATGTTGGTTCCCCCTCCCCCAAGAAATGGAGGCAGAAAAGTCCCTCCATGAAGATAGGTTCCATAGTAGGCCTGTGAGATGGCGCTGTGGGACCTGTCACAGGGGGAAGATCAGGGAAACAGAAGATGGCACCCAGTGGCAGCCCCCTGAAGAAGTAATGTCCTTTGAGGTGAATTGCTTCCAATCTTGCCACTTCTTGTTTATTTACTCCAGAATTTTTAATGAAGCCTAATCCAGGGGGCCTGATATAGTTTGAGTATTTTTTCCCCTTCAAATCTTATGTTGAAATTTGATCCCCAGTGTTGAAGGTAGGGCCTGGTAGGGGGTGTTTGGGTTGTGGGGGCAGAAAGCTCATAACCAACTTGGTGCTATTCTCCTCTTGGTAATGTGTGAGTGCTAACTGTATTAGTTCCTGCAAGATCTGATTGTTGAAAAGATCCTGGCAACTCTTCCCCACTCTCTTGTTTCCTCTCTTGCCATGTGACACACCTGGTCCCCTTCCCCTTCTGACATGAGTGGAAGTAGCTCTAGTCCCTAGCTGGGAGCAGATGCTGGTGCCTTGCTTCTTGTGCAGTCTGCAGAACCATGAGCCAAATAAACTTCTTTTTAAAAATACATAAATTACCTAGCCTCAGGTATTCCTTTATAGAAACACAAACAGACTAAGACAGAGATCTTTCTGGTTTCAGCTCCACCTCCAGGCATGAGGGAAGGCCCTTAGCATCCAAGTGATCCTCTCCTTCCCTCATCCCCATATAACTCACCCAGACACTGGTGTGTAGGCAGCAGCCCTTCTTAGTTAGGGCAGGCTGGGCTATATTGTGGTAACAAAACAAGTCTTAAATCCCAGTAGCTTAGCTCAACAGGGGTTTTGTTTTCACTTAAAGAAAGTCTGATATGGTTCAGTAAGGGCCTCTGCTGGTGACTCAGGGACCCAGACTCCCTCCATTTTGAAATGCCAGTATCTTCATACATGTCCTCTGTGATCCCCATGGCAGAGGAAGAGAGGGATGGGGAAGATCTCTTCCTGAGTCAACCTTGGATGTCCTGGGCTTTAATTTCCTTAATGAATGTTACATTTCTTCATAGACACTTCCAAGCATTTGTCATGTCCAGGGATATTTCTATCTCCACAATAGATTATTGTAATGTACTTGCCCAATAATGTTACAATGAGTTAGGGCTGGATTTGTCTGAGCTGCCCTAGGTCTGGTAATGACACTGTACATTTATATAGCCCTTTTATTTTCCAAGAGCTTTCAGATTTATCATCTCATTTCACTCTTTCAAAATCTTTCTGAGGGCTGATGGCCCACTTCCTCCCTGCATTGTCCAGTTAGAGAAGTGAGGGCAGCAGGGTTCAGAACCTCACTTTCACCCTCACAGGTAGATCTTGCAGAGGCCTGTGTGACCAATTTAATGATGTAGTAATAATGCAGTTGGTTCCCATCAAATCCTTGTTGATTGAATCCTAAGTGGATTATCTGGGTTTCTGGTTTTATTGGGGAGGTGGGGGTTTGAGGATGGGAGGGAGTTGAATATATCGGTTCTTGAAATTCCCAGAAGAGAATTTTTTTAAGGCTCTTGAAAATGTGTTAGAACTGTCTAGAAAAAAATGGCATTCTAAATTGTTAAAATCCAATCACAGCTGTTTGGTATGAGACAGCATAAAATTGCATTTTTTTTTAAACAAAAGAAGAAATAAAAATAGAGACTTTGAGTTAAACAGGGCGACTTGCACACATGCATTTATTTCTACTCTCTCCTGATAGATCAATAAAATAGCAGAAAAAAGAAATAAAAATTATGTAAATCTGCAAAGACAAAGAGAATAGGAGCAAATATGACAGTGGGTGATAGATCCATACTTTGGGGAAGGTGGGATGCAGGTTAAGGAGATGGCTGGAATGCATTATCTGAAGCAGGGATGCAGTGAGAACTTAACTGCTTCACGCCCAGAGCCAAAATTCCAGGAGTGGGGAGGCAAGGGTAAGACTCAGACGGACAGATAGAATGCAAGTCTGTACAAGGAGCAGGTAGACTGAAGTCCTCCTCTTCTTTGGCTGGTCGTGGGAGATGACTCCAAAGAAACTCTATCAGTGAGGCCTGAACTGAGGATATTAACCCAGGACAGAGGGGGTTCTGGGGGATGGTGTTGAAAACACAGGGGTCAACTCAAAGTCCACAATTGACTGGGGAGAGCCCAATGCCTCTCCTTTGCTCAGCCCCCACAAGAATGCTGACTACCTGGCTTATCACCCTCATGTAGAATCATTCCAGAACAGAGAATAAAAAAGCAGAAAAAGGAACAAAATGACAAAAAAGAAAGAAAGAAAATAAATTACAGATTGAATCTATGAGGCCTAAACTTAACTAATAGGAGCTTCAGAAAGAGAGAACAGAAGATTGGTGGAAGGAAATTATCAAAGAGATAATAAAAGTATATTTCCCAGAACTGAAGGACTTGAGTTTCAGATAGAAAGAGCCTGCCACATGCTTAGCACATGAAAAATGTGCTACACCAAGGCCAGAGTACCAGAGATAAAGCGAAGATCCAAAAAACTTTCAGAAGAGAGAGAAGAGGGAGAGAGAGAGAATTGTTAAAAATTAGTGGGAATCAAGACTTCTTAAGAGCAACTCAGGATGCTTCTCTCACCTTGCTTCTGTCCTCCAGGTTCAGTCATGCAAGTCTCCCTGACACAAAGAAAACTCACCTTAGCCCTAGCAGCCATCACAGCTATTGGGCCAGTACCCCTGAGAAGTGGAAACTCCTTGTTTCAGTTAGTACCTTAGATGCCCAGTTTCAGATGGCAGAGCTCAGACCAGAACTCAGGGCCAACAATAGTGCTCTGGGAGAGGCTCTGTTCCATCAAAATTCGTAGCCATCTGATGTTTCCTCACTGCCCTCTAAACTGAGTCCTGTTCCCTCTTTGTTCTCTCAAAGTCATCTAAAAAGGCCATCATTCTGTCAAAATAGTTCAGTTGTTTTTGACTATTCAGAATGTTTCAACCACATTCAATAGACACGCACTGGACATTAACTGTCTTGTATGCATTGGGCATTGTGCCAGGCTTAGTGCTTGAGGGACTCCAAAATGAGTATTGGAGGGTCCCCCAAATGAGAAACACCTGGCCCTACCCTTAAAGATTCCATGACCCAGGGCTCAGGCTTGCCCAAGTCTTGACTCAGCTCAGCCTTGAAGCTGCCCTCAACTTCCAATGTTCACTGGATCCTTTCTTTGTGCCAGACTCTTTTTTCAGAGTTGGAGATTTAGGCACAGATAGAAAAGACACACTTTCTGCCTTTTGGAAGGTTACTGTCTTGCTAGGAGCTATGGAAGACAGAAGAGAAATCTAAGTTTTCTCTGCTTCTGAGAAAGTTACAGTCCATCTGTGAATTTAAAGCACACATCTTTAAATCTGGAGCTGGGTGGAATGGAATTCACGGCAGGTGAAGGAAGTTATTATAATTGAGGAATTTCTTGTAGATAGGGGTTTCGTCTTTTTTCTTTGCCTGAGATTTATTAAATAGACAAACAAATACAGAAAAAATCAAGAGCATAGCTGTTCTGTTATTATAAATGCTGTGGATCAAAAAAACTTGAACTTACAGTCACTGCGGTTTTTCTCCTTCCGGGGGTGTGTACATACACTATGTCTTGAGCCAAGGATTCTTAAATAACTTCTATTAAACAATTAAGGGCCAGCCTGGGGTCCCTCTTCCAGGAAGCTTTCTAGGACATCCAGGCTGGGTAAGGCCCTCCCTCTGTGCCCCAAACCCCCTTCACGTCCCTCTATCAAAGTATGTCGCATGGGATGGAAACTGCCTATTTTCCCACTAGACCATGATTAACTAATGTTATGGAATGGTTTGTGAATGCCGTAGTGCCTGGTATAGAACCCGGCACATAGACAAGTAGATGCTCAGAGGATGCTTCTTACAATGAATGAGGCACCTACTCTTACTTACATAGTTGATCCTCGTCAGGCTGGCTGGGTTAGTGTATGTACTGGGGAGTTGAGGGAACAAACAGGTGAGTAGATGGGAAACTAGGAGGAGGGCACAGAAGATCCCCCCAGGTGTGAAAAATTCCCAAATCCGTTGCCTCTAGGCCAGATGAGCCTCCGATTCCAGAGGTGGATGCTACTTTTCTTTGCACTCAGGCTGGTTCCCACTCTGCTTGCGTAGTTGTAAGAAGGACAACCACCACTGATCACCTCACGTGTCCAGTGTAGGCTTGTCTGTCAAGAACTCTGTTCAAATTCTGTTCAAAACTCTGGTTTGAAAGACGGCATGCCTAAACTTGTATTTCTAGCCGTTCATGTTTATACCCACGGCTTTCTGATGATCGGTTTTCTCCATCTAACTTGAGAATAATGTGAAAAATGTGATGCAATTTGGGCAATGGAGCCAATAAACATTCTTAAACGAGTATTTTTAGATGTAAATGGATTAAAATATTCATAAATCCTAACGTAATTGAAAGTCAATCTATTTCATAAACAAAGGGTTAAAATCCAAGCAGGTGAATAACACAATTTAAAAATGGGCGAAGAATCTGAATAGACAGCTTTCCTCTAAAAGATATACAAATGGCCAAAGGTACATAAAAAGATGCTCAATGTAATTAGCCATTAAGAAAATGAAAATCAAGCCTACAATGAGATACCACTTCACACCCACTAGATGGTTGTAATCGAAAAGACAAATACGTATTGGCAAGAATATGGAGACGTTGGAGTCCTCATACGCTACTGCTGGGAATGTAAAATGGTACAGCCACTTAGGAAAATAGTCTAGCAGTTACTCAAAATGTTAAACATAGAGTTACATATGACCCAGAAATTCTACTTTTAGGTGTATACCTCAGAGAAATGAAAACATATGATCACATAAAGACTTGCAATCAAATTTTCATATCAGCATTATTCATAATAACCAAAAGGTAGAAACAACCCAAATGTTTATCAACTGATGAATGAGTAAACAAAATGTGGTATACTCATGCAATGGGATAGTATTTGGTCATGAAACGGAATGAAGTACAGATGATGCTACAACATAAATGAACCTTGAAACATTGCGCTAAGTGAAAGAAACCAGTCACAAAGGATCGTATCATCACATTGTATGATACTATTTGTGTGAAATGTTCAGTAGACAAATTTGTAGAGACAGAAAGTAGATTAGTGGTTGCCTAGGGCTGGGGGAGGGAGAATGAGGAATGACTGCTAATGGGTACACTTTCTTTCTGAGATGATAAAAATATTACAAAATTGATTGTGGTAATGGTTGCCTAACTCTGAGAGTATGCCTCCAAACCATTAAACTGTACACTATAAGTGGGTGAATTGTATGGTATATAAGTTATATCTCAATAAAGATGTCATAAAAATGTGAGCCGAAAATCTGCTAGTCTCTCCCACCCAGGTTGTGAGCTCTTTCAAGGTAAATGTGACAACTTCTGCCTCTTTGATTCTCCCATGGAAGTAAGCACAGTGCTGAGTACAGGAAGTTTGCTTGTTGATTGGTTGAATAATTGATAAATATCTCTTAAAATGCAAAGGAGCAATAAAGAAACAATCCCCTTCACTACCTGCCATTATCAATAGGTGTGTGTGTTGCAGGGGAGTGAGAGGAAGAAAGAGTTTTGGTGGGGATCATTCATACCTCTCCAGTCCTTCTATTGCTGACAGGCAGGTGGGTAAGGTGGGGGAGGAGGGCAGTGAGGAATGGAGGGACTAGCACTTGAATTCCAGCTCAGCTGATACCTGGCCTGCAGCTTGGGTTCTGGGAATCAGCTGCCTGCTTATGAGAGAAGGGGCTGGAGGTTAAGTCTCAAAGGCACCTTGTTGAATGGACACCACGTGGTTGAGTCTAGGGGAAAGATCCTGATTGGAGTCTGGAACACTAGAACTCCCATGAGCTTGGAAGGATTTAAATCTCCTTCTGCCCCAGGGATATCATTTTCCTGCATGTACTAAGTTGGGTTGGGCTCTGGGGTGTCTCTATTATCTTCCAGCTTTGTCTTCCAGATGGGAGCACACTTAGATTGGAATCTTGACCCTAGCTGTGCTGGTGGCCACACTGACTGGAATCAAGGATGTTCAGAGGTGGCTCCTTTCCCTTCTATTTCCCAGTCCCACTTGATTTTTCACTTTCTTTCTGGCCAAAAGAAGAAAAGGCAGAGCAGTGTGATTAGAGCAGAAAGAAGAGAAGGAAGAGGAGGAATAGGAGAAGGAATAGAGGCAAATGAGGGAGAGAGAAGGCAGGGAGAAGGAGAAAGTGGGGGAATAGAGGGAGTATGGAGAGGAATCCCCAGTGGCCAGGATGAAGAGGGGTAAGGCAGGGGTTCCGGAATTAGCAGCAACATCTGATGAAATGTTTGAGGAGTGATGGGCCAGTGGCAGGCATAGAGTTGTGGGCATCAGTTAGCTGCCCTTAGAGCCACTTTGGGTGGGTGCCATGACAGCAGCTACTTTGGGATCCTGGCTGGCAGCAGGTTCCTGTCTTCCTCTCCAGAATGAAGCACCTACTATCCTGCCTAAGGTGATCTTTGTGTGCAGACTTATCCTGCCTCTACAGGGTATTTAGGTGATGTAATAATAGTGATCATTCCTGCATTTGCAATAGTAAGTATTATAATTCCTTACCATATCCCTATAAAGCAATTATTATTATCCTCACTTTACAGATGGGAACCCAGAGTACACAGAGAGAAAGATACAAGCTCCACAGAGCCCAGGCATGTCTACCTGTGAAGACCCAGATCCTTCTACCCCACAATGCTGCTCTTCAGTGACAGTCTGGCATTTCCCTCTCCACACAATCCCTCCTTCCAGCCAAGCCCATCACTTATGTATGAAAGCACTCAGCCAATATTCACTGACATTTTAGGTTTGATCTTGACTTCATCTTGCAGAGACAAGGCTCTAAAAAAGACCCACCCTGGGATATGTCCCTAAGAGGGGCTCATTTAATGCACCCAGCAGGGCAGTGGGCATTGTGGAATGAACAGCCTCTCAGTTGGCTAATCCTACCTCACACAGGGAATGAGTGTCAGCTGAAGGAAGGGAGACATTTAGAGCTTTAGCATCAAACCAACACCATATTCCAAAATGGTCACCTTGAGCCAGTGTCCCCACTGCCATTGGACATATCCCTCAGGAGAGGGCCACTGGCCATATGTCTGGGGCCAGGTCAGATTTCATACATGCTGACTCCACGGCTACATCTCTCTGTATCCATAATGGAGTCTCTGTCAAAATGCTTGTTAAGACTATTTTTAAAAAGTCTTATTTAGCATGGAATTGATGCCAGAAATGCACTCTATAAAGAAAGACGACAAATGATCACTTCCTCTTCCAATTCTGTCCAAGGCCTGAAGCTGGAAGACTTACTGAGGAGTCTATTCTTGGACATTGAAGACAGAAGTTTTTTTAAAATATCATTTTAAAAAATGCCAATCAAAATGCAATGTTATCAGCACTCTTTGGGAGTCTATGTATAGTGTGTGAGCCAATGAGATAGAGTACTTCCAACAGAAGAATTGTCATTATGGCGATCAAGGCAGAGGGTTATGATGATACATATGTATCTATATAGATGAAAGTCACCATTTTCTTGAATACTACCTTCCAGCAGTGTTTATGGGGCAGCTCTAATGTGCTGGAAATGACCCACAGGCATGGATATACAAAGGCCCCAGAAAATAATAGCAAACACTTCTGTAGCACCAACACTGTGCCAGACACGTAATTATATCATTTAATTCTTGTAGTCACTCTAGTGGTCAGTACTATTATTATCTCCATTTTACATGTTAGAAAACTGAGGCTCAGAGACGTTAAGATATTAACCCAAGGCCACACAGCTAGTATGTGATAAAGCTGAGATTAAAAACTCAGGCAGCCAGGCCTCCAAATATGGACTCTTAACCCCTGCACAGACTGCCTGCTTGAGGAGGCCATGCTGGCAGGGTCAGGGGAGGCTGCCTAGAGGTGGTGGAAAGAGGCCTCTTGCCCCTCCTCTGGCCATTCCCCGATGTGTGCCCCAATAGTGCCATGAGTTCTCTCTTACTGTTTTAATGACTACATCATGTTTCCAGTTCTTTTACCTTTTCTCTCACCCTCACTAGCTCCATCAGAGCAGAAGCTCTGTCTTCACCATCTGACTCCCAACCCATGGTCTGGCCCAGAGAAGGAGGTCAGTAAATTTAGGGTGAATGAAGTTGTTAAGGAAAGGCAGGAAGGAATGGCAAGGGCATCTCAGGTTGGACAGACATAGGAACCAAAGTATGGCAGTGGGAATAAATGAGAGGTCTGCTGAGGTCCTGGAGGGTCCATGGGGAGTCCAGGTCAGAAAGGCAAAATTGTAAAGGACCTTGAATGCAAGAGAGAAATAAAATTCAAAAAAAGTAGAGTCATTCTCTGGCCAATAGGCTTTAGGCATGAACAGTTTTGGAAATTTAAATGGACTTTGAGACCACAGGGAGTGTAGGAGGTCTCTAAGCTATGGGCCAACAAACGCAGACAAGAGTTTTGGGAAGATTTCTGATATCTGTGAGGGGAAGGCTGAGAGAGGACGCAGACAAGAGTTTTGGGAAGATTTCTGACATCTGTGAGGGGAAGGCTTAGAGAGGATGCAGACAGGAGGCTCACAGAAAAAATCAGAGAATCCGCAAAATCAGAAAAAACTAAATCAATTAAAAACAAAAACTGATGGGAACTTACCACGCTGTGAGACAAGTGGCAACTCCCAAGGGTGTTGGGGAATGCTTAGTCCTTCCTCCCTTCCCTAGGTTGCTCCCATGGAGAGACGTCCAGGGGCTCCGTTCAAAGTCTCCAGCCGACCATATCCTGTTGGATACCATCAGCCTCACATGTTCCTCATTACAGTTACCATCTTTTATAACACCAATACTAGGGCTGAACCTGCAAGACTTCATCTTTCCCCCAAGACTGCAGTTTCAAACATATTTTTCTCTCGTTCAAGGAACCAAACTCTTTTATCCTGCCCCATCATGTTGGAGTAGGAAAAAGGAATTGCTCACCCTCAGCAAAATTGATGCAAATGCCAACTCTTACTTGGAAACAGCCCTATCATTGGGAAGCTGAGTTTTTCTCTTAGAAGCTCCTTCTGAGTCCCCAAGGGAAGTAGAATCATCATTTGTAAGAACTGTAAAATCATTTTCTTGGTTTGACAGCATCTGCTTTCTAGCATGGTTGGCTATGAAGCAAGTGCTCACATTTGGGGCTCTGTTTTGCTAACAGACACCTGTGAAATGTGGCAAAATCACTGGGGCCTTTCAGCACTAGAAGCCCACTGCACAATCCTAGCTAGTAGCTTAGAGGCAGAAGCAGGGCAAGTCCGAAGTAGGGGCTCTGTGTGGACTTTACACACGCTACTCTCTCATCTTTCTCTCTTTGCCAGAATGTTCTCACCCAACCGGAATGAACCCTCTCTCTCCTCAAATTCTCTTTCGTCTTCCAAGCTGTGATGGTTAATTTTATGTGCCAACTTGACTGGGCTAATGGATGCCCATATAGTTGATAAAACATTATTTCTGGGTATGTCTGTAAGGATTTTTCTGGAAGAGACTAGCATTTGAATTGGTAGACTGAATAAAGAAAATCCACCCTCACCGTGGGTGGGTGTCATCCAAAGTGTTGAGGGCTGGAACGGAACAAAAGGCAGAGGAAGGGCAAAATCTTTCCCTTCTTCTTGTGCTGGGAAATCCATCTTCTCCTGCCTGTGGACATTGGAACTCCTGGTTCTCAGGGCTTCAGGCTCTGGAACTTACCCCAGCGGCCCCTCTGGTTCTGGTTCTTAGGCAAACAGACTTGGATTAAATTATACCACTGGCTTTCCTGGTTCTCTAGCTTGCAGATGGCAGATTGTGGGGCTTCCCAGCCTCCATAATGACATAAGCCAATTTCCATAATCTCTTTCTATATATATCTATATAAATATATATCTATATATATGTACATATACATATATATATATACACACACACATACATATACATACACACACATATCCTATTGCTTCTGTTTCTCTGGAGAACTTTGATTAATATACAGGCCTGGGATAAGTGCCATCTATTTGGTGAGAATGTCCCCAGATTTCTATCTGCTGATGTTCTGTATGAGCTACAGTCTGAACCACTTGAATTAGCCCTGGTGGAGTCTTCGATGCTGCCCTTTGATTCGGATGTGTGTTTTGTTTCCTCCCACCCAGGCTGTGGCTGGGTATCCCAGGGCAGAAGAAGGCCATGCAGTGGGGTGTTAATAGCCAGCTGGACTTGGCTCTGCCATTTACTGCCTTATATAAGTCACTTAATCTCTCTGAGCCTTAGTTTCTGTATCTGTAAAATGGGAATTACAATGGCAACTTCACAGGGTTGCTCAGAGTATTAAAAAGTAACTTATATAAAGTCCTTGTCATAGTGTCTGTCACATACATAGCTCTCAATTAATGGTATAATGTGCTCCTCCTCCTCATTATCATCATTCTGTATATCTTCAAAGCATCTAATGGTCTGGAGCATATATCAGATGCTCAATACAGGGCTGACTTAGCCACTGGGCCCGGTAGGCACCAAGCTTAGGGCCTATGATAATTTCAGGGGCCCATGAAATATCTTATTTTTTTTTAATCAGAAAAAAAACATGGATATAATAGTAAGTATATAATAATGAATCCAGCCTATATTATAGTCATCTTTATACCAATGTGGTCACAAAATATAATTTTTAATTTTTTTATGGAGGGAGTGGCCCATGAAGGCTGAAGTGCCTAAAGCTTGCCTGTGGATGTCATAATGAGATTCTGGTTCAGTAGATGTTAGTTAGGATGCCCATCTTTGGGGTTGCTGGTAACAGAACAACTATCTCCAGGACAGAAACTTGCTAGAGCCTCACAGCCTAGTGCAGGGCTGGGCTCAGGAAATGTGGGCTACTCTTCAGAGACAGAGAAATCGTTCTGTCTTCTCCAGAAATTCAATGTATGCCATGTGACTGAAAGTTTCCTAAAATCTTACCACCTCCAGAAACTTAAACTTCCATTAGAAATCTGGAAGAATAAAATCCAACAAAAATGAAGAGTCACCACTTGGCAAATATGACTTAGGAAGAAATAGTCTGGGAAATTTAAAACATTGTTTCCTTGGGCAAGGGTGAATAGCTTTACTATGGTCAGAGCTAGAATTCTCCAGAGCCTTTGGCACAGGACTGCCTTAGAAACACATGGCTGTTTAACTCCTGGAGTTCTTTCTGGCTATTTAATTTCATAAAGGGAGGCCACCTATCAACCCTTTCCCCTGAAATTGCCTTTCATTTCCACAGGGAGAACATGGTGCAAGCTGTAGGGAGAAGGCATACAAATCTGTATCCATCCACTGAGTCCCTTTCCTGGGATGAAAACCCCAGAGATTCAGGAGTCCCGCAACTCTCATGGCTTCACGGAGGTGATGTCATGGATTTGGGGGTGGACTCCCCTATGGGGCTGTGCCTAGGTTTTTTGGGAAGAATTTACCATCACACAAGGACTTTTTGGAAAGGGTTTTGATATGGAATCCTCTTTCCATTTGGAGATGCCTGGCTGGGATTTCCGCCACCCCTGGCAACAATGTTAGGAACTAATATTTACAAAGTGCTTCCTATGTGCTAAAGGCGTTCTTTACAGATTTAATCCCCATAAACACTTTGTGGGGACGCTATTTTTATCTGCTAGTAGAACTAAATGATCCATGTGATGGCCAATTAAAACACCCCATGTCTGTTCTCATTGTCATGTCACTTTAGTTCTTTCAAAGTACACATTACTATAAAACACAGAATGGATATAGAAACAATCATGGCTAATGTTCACTGAGCGCCTACTGCTAGTCAGGTGTTTTGCATGAATACTATTTAAGCTTCAAAAGATCCTTTGATATAGGTACTATTAACATTTCTGCTTTACAGCCGAGTAAACTGAAACCAAGTCCAGTGAAGTCACTTGCTCAAGGTCAGATCTATTAAGTGGTAGAGCCAGGATTAGAAAGAAGCCAACCAGTTTGCTCCTAAGCCATTGCTGGCTCTCTGGTTCTTTTGCTGGGGTGCCTTCCCTCCTTTGTTCTTTCCTCTCCTCTTCCTCTTTTAGCACCTCGCCATTACCATCTATTTACACGGGGCCACTCTCTCCAGGTCTGTCTGTTTGTTTACTACTTATCTATTTATTCGCCCCCGCCATCTCTGATCACCATACCCATTCCCCCACCCTTCATAGGCTCCTGCTCTAATGAGTTTTGTGTAAAAATTTAAATAGGTGTGTCTTCTTATAAAATCTCTGGAGTTGTTTTGTGCATGCCTGGGTTTTAATTTACATAAAAACCGTTGTCCCATAAAACCTATTCTGGCTCTGACTTTTCCCATTTCAATCCATGCTTTTAAGTCTATCTTTGTTGAATTTATGTGTATCTCGTCCACAGCTTCTAACTGCTGCCTGGTGTTTTATTCTACAGCACATTTTACTTAACTACCCCTCCAATGATGGACCCCCAAGCTTAACTTCCTGCTATTAAAACTTATAACACTGTTGATAAACATCTCATACTGGTTCCCTTATTAGATCTGTGAAAAATCTCTGGGATGTATAAATGGGAGTGGAATAGTCAGATTATAGACACAAATCCCCATAGTTTTAACAAATCCTACTAAATTGCTTTCCAAGAAAGCTGTACTAACTTAAAATCCCAGCAAGCAATGCACAGTGTTTCCAAATCCTCACATCTTCACCTCAACTATAAATTACCTACTTTTCTAATTTCTGCTACCTGGGTGGGTATAAAGCACTGTCTCATTTATAATTTAATTTGCATATATTGATTACTACAGAGTAAGGGTATTAACTCATTATTCATTTGGCTTCCTATTTTGTGAGTTCCCTATTCATATTCCCACCACTTCAAAATATTGAGTTTCCCACCTTTTTCTTGGTAATTTAAAGTTCCCAACAGAGTTTAGCCTAGATATTAATCAACTATTAGTGTTACATATTGCAGTATCTCCTTCCAGTCTGTCATTGATTTGTTAACTTTGTCTATGGTACACCTCGTTAAATCTCATGACTACCAAATTGTGATGTCTATCCATTTTCATGTGTTTTTTTTTGCTTTATGATTTGTGCTTTTGAGTATTTGATTGTAGATAGTAAATTACATTTTCTTCTATGAGGTTTATAGTTTTACTTTTCCTATTACACATTTATTCCATTTGGAATCTTTCAGCACAAAATAACTTGTCCAGCTTATGGCAAGCCAATTTCCCCACACCACTCACTAAGCAATCTTCTTTCCTATTGCTCTGTGTACTACTTTGACTGTATGTAAGTATCCGTATATAGATGGTACTATTGGTATATTGGGTGCCATCCGTCTATTTCATTCCTATGCCTATCCTATACTGTTGTTATTACTACAGCTTTGTAGAAGGTTTTACTCTCTTCTTGGACTTAGCTATTTATGACACCGTATTCTTCCTTTAAAGTCTTGGAATGGGGTCTTAAAAAATTGAGCTGCATTTTGATTGGAATTGCATTGAATTTTTTCTATTTATTTGGAAGGCTTAACATATGCACCATATTAAACTGTCACTGAACATGGTGTATCCCTTCGATTACTCATATGTTATGTATATCTTCTTACAGAGAAAAAAATATTCTATGCAGGTTTTGTTAAATTTGTGGATACTTTTTTGTTTTTGTTCTTATTGTGTGTGCTATCCTACTTTTGATTATGTTTTTAGGTGATTTTTGACAGTGTGATGAAATACTATTGATTTTTTGTGTTATTATCTTATCTATAACTGCCTATCCAAATTCTCTTAAAGTTGTAGTGCTGGTTATAAATTTTTTGTTACTTCTGTAGGGGGCACATTATTTTTTAAAAATGATAGCTGTGTATTTTATTATTTATTTAGTTTTTCACCTCTTTTTTTTTTCTGGTCTTATAGCACAGACAAGGACCTTCCATGTCTGGTTAAATGGTGCTGTAAACAGCGGAGCCTACATTCTTTGCCCCTGTGCAGTAAGTCTTAATGGCATTGACCCTCATGCCTCTTTCAGAGTCTGCAGATGAAAGCTTACAGGACCACAAGTTGTTTCTTTCTCCCTTCATATTTACTTGTTTTTTTCTTATGGAAGCTTACCATTTCATTGGGAAAATGAACATCATTTACATTTTACTTTTAAAACACTGACCTCTAAGCAGCACAGTGTGTTTGCCAAGAAGCCAAGAGGAGGAAAGGATGAAGGAAGTATAAGGAAGAGCAAAGGACAAGAGACAATTTTCTTGTCTCTAGAGAGCTATGTTTCCATATTCACTAGACCATAAACTTTGTCCAAGTCTCTGTTTTTTTCTTTTTAGGGTAAAGCGGAATTCTGAGATTAAAAATATCTTTGGGTGAATTTGAATGATTAAACATCATTCATTCATTCAACACTTATATATTGAGTGCCAAGTAGCCAACACTGCGCTGAGCAAGGAATTTGATTTATTTCAAGTTTTCATTAGTCACTTGTTCCCATAAGAAAAATGGGCACCTACAACCTTGAAATCTTAAATAATGCAAATATGGCTTTGTGAAAATGAGCCATGGGAAGCAGAAGAACTTTCAAAGAAGGCAGACCATACAGCAAACGTGCTGCCCAATGGCACCAATTTGATATGGGGTAGAAGTGATGAAAGTTTTTAATACTTTGGCTTCTTTCTTCAGAGCTCACTCTACTTAGGGGTGGGGGAGACACATAACAACAGAGCATGATCGATACCCAGCTAGAGATATGAGCGAGACATGGTGGACACATGGAGGAGAAGAGGGTTAGCTCTGACCAGAGAGAGGTAGGGATAGCCTTGCTGGGGAGTTGAGTCAAGTTAGGCCTTGAAGGGTGATAGGAGGCTTGGAGAACACTTGTGTGTATGGAATTATGGGATTTCATTTTATCTTATTATTTTTGAGACAAGGTCTTACTTTGTCACCAAGTCTGGAGTGCAGTGGCACGATCATGGCTCACTGCAGCCTCAACCTCCTGGGCTCAAGCAATCCTCCTGCCTCAGCCTCCAGAGTAGCTGGGACTACAGGCACATGCCACCCTACTTGGCTAATTAAAAAAAATTTTTTTTTAATTTTTTAATTAAATTTTTTTTTTTTTTGTTAAGATGGAATCTCCCTGTGTTGCCCAGGCTGGTCTCAAACTTTTCATTATATGCCTACACACAAAAACACACACTCACACACCTACTCCCTACCCACATATGCACATGTGACATGTATACAGGAAATAGGGTCAACTTAGAGTTCAGATGGGTGACTTTATGAACAAGTGACTGGAAGATACAGCTAGCACGACTTGGCAAGGACCTAATTGTGTTTTGGAAAATGAAGGCTGGGAAACATGGCCTTGGTACCAAAATCTCACAAATCACCACTAAAGAACTTACTCATGTAACCAAATACTATCTGTTCCCCAAAAACCTATGGAAATAAAAAAATTAAAAAACAAACAAACAAAACAAACTAGATGCTTGCCTCTTGATTCCCAACTTGAGGGGCTAGGAGCAGAGAGTGTGGTGGCAAGATTTGAACCTACGTCTTGTCCTACTTCTCACTTCTGCTGTAGGAAGAATGACTGTCTTCTGGAGAAGTCAGGAGTCACTATAAGGTGTCTGGGGTATTCTGAGAACTTCTGACAAGCAGGAGCTGCCTTGTGGCAGAGGGAGCCCCTCCTGATGCAGACTGGCATTTCTGTGTCCTGTTCAAGCGGTTCCAGAGAGATCCAGACATTGGTGGGTGCCTTGCTTGAAAAGAATTGTTTTCAGATGGGGTTGCTGACCTCCAGACTGCTATAAAACTTATCAGGATGCTGGTAGAAACCCCAAAGCACCTCAGTCTCTGGCTCAAACCTAGCTTCAGAGGACCAATCTTATTAAGTATACGAGGATGTGTAGAGCCAGGCTTTCATCACAATGGTCTGAGTTTGAAGCCCAATTGTCCCACCTATAGATGGATGACTATGAGCAAATAACTTAACTTTTCGGAACCTGTTTTCTCATCTGTAAAAAGGGCTAAGAGTATCTATGTCATAGAGCTGTCAAGAGGATCAAATGAAGTAGCTTGCATATTTCCTGAAACATGGCAAATGCTTAATAAATGATAGCTAGCTGGATGTCAAAAGAAAAAGCTGCAGAGTAAAGGTGGTGCTTGAAAGATGAATAGATGTTTGCTAGGCAGCTATGCTGGCAGGGCTTCCGAGTGGGAGGGAGCAGTTGAACAAAGGCCCCGAGGCGTGAAATAGCCTGACATTTCAGGAAGCTATAAGTGGTTTGGTTTGGCTGGAGCATAATGTAGGGGAGAAGAAGGACATGCATTGTTTGTGGCACACATATAGATAGTTAATTATAGATAGACTTAAGTGGTTCGCTAATTGCCTCACCTATGTGTCTGGTCATCTGGAGAAGATAGCTATTTCCCTGTTGCTGGAGGCTCCTGTCTCGTGGTCAGCTTGGTGGCTAGACCAGGCCAGGTGTCCTTGAGAAGGACTGTCTCTTCACGTTCTGGGTTTAGCCATCAGCACAGTAAGCCATGGCTGAAAGGAGGTTTATTTTGGGGTAGTCCACCTGTATCCCTGTCCCTGAGGCACTCCAACCCACTCCCAGCCAGAGCCCTCTACTGCCTCTTTGCAAGCTGGAGGCAGGTTGCATTTGGGGCATCACTTGACCTCACTACTTTTTCAGCCACTGCCCACCATCTAGTCCCAAGGCCAATATAACTAGTTTTGATTTTCTTTTACAGCAGCAGTCCAATCCTAGTACCACTTCTGTATTTGGGTTCAGTCAGATAGGTGGAGCCACTGTGTATGTCACGGGAAAAGGGATTTACTATAAGAATTAGACTTTACACAATTGCGAAAAAAAATTTGGGAAGTGAAGATTCATGTTATGGGCTGAATTGTGGTCCCTCCTTGAATTCATATGTTGAAGTTCTAACCCCAGTACCTCAGAATCTGACTGTATTTGGAGACAGGGTCTTTAAAGAGGTAATTAAGGTAAAATAAATCACTAAGATGGGCCCTAATCTGACTGGTGTCTTTATAAGAAGAAATTAGGACACAGACACACACAGAGGAAAGACCACGTAAAGACAAAGAGAATACAGCCATCTAGAAGCCAAGATAAGAGGCCTCTGAAGAAACTAATGCTACTGATACTTTGATCATGAACTTCTAGGCTCCAGATCATGAGAAAATCAATTTCTTCTGTTTAAGCTAACTGATCTGTGGTACTTTGTGGTGTAAGCCCTAGCAAACTAATGCAGTTTAAAGGGGAATTTGGAGAATCATAGTCACCATCCATCCTCCTCAAGCCCTGACATGGATGGGCAAGTTGGAACTTGCAGGGAGAATCTGAGAAGTCAGGCAGGTCCAAATGTTGAAGTGGAAATGTGAGGTGGGATTCATGGAAAGGTATGTGGGAAGCTGTTGAATCTCTGCAGCTGCTATTTCTGTGGTAACCAGGCATCTGGTAGTGGGTGTGGAACCACTGTTGGTGATTAGAGCTAGAAACGGGATGAGAACAAGTTGAAACCCATCAGGCACCTCTCTGTCTTTCTGTTACATTTCTGACTTCAAAGACGTTTAGGGAGAAACAGTTACTGCTTCACTTCCACTTCCCAAGTCTTGTGAAAGTTCTGCTTTTAGCCAACTTGAACTTGGAGCCATAGAGAAAAGGAGATTCTGAGCTTTCAACTTGACCCAGTTGACAATAGAATGGTGCAGCTCATTAACCCTTTGAGATGCTCTGGAAGAGACAGAGAGAGAGAGAGAGAGAGAGAGAGAGAGAGACTGTAAGATCTAACAGGTTGCATACATACCCAAAACTATAATCCTCATCATTTACACATTAAAGGCTCTTAGAAGTCTGGCTGAAAGGAACCCATATAATTTTGATCAAGCTTTTCCCAAACGTTTTTGACTACTCAGCCTTCTTTCTCCTGAGCATAGCCATATTAACAACCTGAAAGCTTCAGAATGGATGTTGGCAACTGCTCCTTGATGGCAGCCCTGTCAATCAGTTATTCTCTATGCTGTTCAACCCCCTTTATGTCCATGCCCCACCTCTTAGGTAGCAGTTCCTCCCTCAGAGGGATCTTCTACCCAAGGGTTCTCTTTTTGCCTCCTCTTGCTAGCTAGCTCCTGTCCTACCTGAAGGCTGTACAACCTCAACCCTGAGCCTAAAGCCCACCCTATTCTCCCAGCAACCCACAGCATGTTGCATGAGACAGGGCAGAGCAGTGATGGGCAGGTCAGGTGTGGTGATGTGTGTGGTGGAGGTACTCTGGAAGAACATGGCCAATGAGTTCCTAGCTGCCTGCTCTTCAACACAATTTGTTTCTAAAAATTGTTATTTGTGTGAGAGATTCACTTTCTGAACAAATTGGGGTAACTTTCTTGTTATCCCCATAATAGTGTCATGCTTATCCCTTGCATGGAGAGATGGTTTCTTGAGATTTAGAGGGTTGCATGGAGTGGAGACAGGAAGGGAATCTCAGATAGTTGGGAAAGGCCACTGGGAATGTGGCACACAGGTGACTCTCATCCATCATGTGGGTCCAAAGTTCATACAATATGAAGCCCGATTGTTTTAGACAAATGATAGGGATTACTATTTGGATCATACTTTAAACAATAGGCCAGATGTTTCAAATCTGTTGTCTCAGGGTCCAGGCTATTGTGATGTTTACACTCTGTCCTACCAAGTCCTGCGGATCTGAACAAATACATTCTCCACTACTGAAGTTGCCAGAAGTACTGGCTGTCAGCCCAGACAGCAACCGGAACAGAGGTGGGCTTTGCACTATATATTGATGCTTGTGTTTTCTTTGTCAATCCAAACATTTGTTGAGGAATTTAAAGCTAAATTTGACCCAAATTCAACCAGGTCTTGGAATTGTAAAACAAAAATTAAAAGACAAACTTTTTCTTTTTCTTTTCTTTTCTTTTGAGACAGAGTCTTGCTGTTGCTGTTGCCCAGGCTGCAGTGCAGTGGTGCAATCTCAGCTCACTGCAACCTCCACCTCCTGGGTTCAAGCAATTCTCCCACCTCAACCTCCTGAGTAGTTTGGACGACGGACATGTGACACCATGCCCAGCTAATTTTTGCATTTTTAATAGAGACGGGGTTTCACCGTGTTGGCCAGGCTGTTCTCGATCTCCTGACTTCAAGTGATCTGCCCGCTTTGGCCTCTCAAAGTGCTGGGATTATAGGTGTGAGCCACCATGCCCAGCCAAAAGACAAACATATTTCTAACAAGATTGCAGCCATTGGTTAGCTTGACAGTGCTTTAAATAGCTGTTATTGGGAAAGCACTGAGAAGTCTAAAAAGAGTGCATTCCGTTTCTTGCCTTCTGCACCCCCACTCCTAGGGGTCAGTTGGCAGAGGAGCTATAATTACACCTCAAATGGTTTTAATGACATAGGAGAGAATTCTGACGCCTTAGGTTGGAACAAAAGCAGGCGCCTATCTTCAGTTGGGCATAGTTCACAAATCTCTCAGCTTTCTCCAGATAAAAACAGTCTTGAGAATTCCTGAGAGACAAGATCCCCTAGAGGGGGCCAAGAAATGGAAATAGATGCATTTATTTTAAGCAGCTCATAACTCTGGTCTTCAAGGCCACCTCTTCTCTACCATTTAACTCTGTGTAAATTAGGGCTTTGAAGAACTGGAGGTATTTTAGATCACTTTCCATAATCCCGGGGAAAACTGCTCTGTGGATGAACATTTTCAGTTTATTCCCGAGGAGCCAGTTTTCTCAGAAATTCTGTGTGTGTGTGTGTAGGGGTGTGTGTGTGTGTGTGTGCGCGCACACACGCGTGTTTTTGGAGGGGAGGGTGTCTAAGTGGTCACCCTGGCTCAAAATGGTCACCCTCGCTCAAAATCACACCTCCAGCTTTCTCATTCTCCTGGCTCTCCTGCTGTGGGGATGATCAGGAAAGCCAGTCACCTTGGGGACTCCAATGAAGAGGTGGAAGAGGAGAACATTGTGAAGCTAGGTTTCTAGCCTCTGATTCCCTCCCTGAGGCCAGTTCCGTCTGGAGCACAAACACCGGCCAAGTGGATGCATTTTCCCAAGAACCAGCAGAGGGAGCTTGGAATGGAAGCCAAGAGCCTCCAAGGGCCTCAGATGGGAGCATTAGCAATTCTGGTTTCCATCTGTTTCTCTCTGTTTATGACACCAAACAAATAACAAAGGACCCCTCCTTGAAGTTGTAGGTGGATTTGTGCTCTTCAGTTGATCAGAGGCACCTGTTCCCCACTTTGGGCAGCCGGCTTCCCACAGAGAACCACAGCCTTAGTGAGGGGCAATCTGCTACCTTACCTCCTTGCTGTGAGACTCCCCTGCCCAAACCCCATGTGTAGAAAGCCTTGGGGGAGTGGGAGCAGCTGCTCCCACAGTGAAGACAACTAGTGTGCTGTCAAGACCAGACAACTGGGGAATAAGATGACCTCTCAAGAAGTCTGTTCTGGTAGAAATATTTTCCAGGACCAATTGAATAGAGCCAGGTGAGAAAGGCTCAAACCCTCATGGGAAGGGATGACAACTTAGCTAACAGGATGGGCTTTCTGGCCTTTGAGGTTAGATCAATACACAGGGAGAAGTTCAATAAAACTTTTGGGACAGAGCTTTATTATTACTTATTTCATTTTTATTTGAGGTATAATGCATACCATAAAAGGTATACAATGCACAAATCTTGAGCTACAGCTTGATGACTACAGTCATGCATCATTAATGACAGGAATATGTTCTAAGAAATGCATTGATAGGCAAATTTGTTGTTGCATGAACATCATAGAGTGTCCTTACACAAACCTAGATGGTGGAGCCTACTACACACCTAAGCTGTATAATATAGCCTGTTGCTCCTAGGCTACATACCTGTACAGCATGTTACTGTATTGAATACTGTAGGCAACTGTAACACAATGGTAAGTATCTGTGTATCTATGTATATCTAAACATAGAAAAGGTAACGTATTACACTATGACATTACAATGGTACTACATCAGTAGGCGAAAGAAAATTATCAATTTCATTACAATCCTATGAGATCGCTGCTGTATATGTGATCAGTTGTTGACCAAAATGTCATTCCGTGATGTGTGTCTGTATTTACCTATGTAGACACCCATGTGACACCATGCAGATCAAAATATTGGGCATTTCCAGCACTCTAGAAGTTTTCTTTATGCCACTTCCTGGTGAGCACCAACTCTTCCAAGATAATCACCATTTTAACTTCTTTCATTTCACCATTGATAAGTTTTGCCAGTTGTTGGACTCGTATATTATGTTCATTTTTTGTGCCTGGTTTCCTTTACCCCAATATGATGTCTGTGTGATTTCTCCATGTTGTGTTGGACACTAGTAGTTAATTCTTTCTTAATGGTGGCTAGTATTCCATTCCATGAATATACCACAGTTTGTTTATCCATTCTCCTAATGATGGACATTTTGATTGTTAACAATTTTTGGCTATTATAAATAAAGCTCTATGAATATACATTCTTTTTTTAAAATTATACTTTAAGTTCTGGGATACATGTGCAGAATGTGCAGACTTGTTACATAGGTATATATGTGCCATGGTGATTCACTGCATCCATCAACATGTCATCTACATTAGGCATTTCTCTCAATGCTATTCCTCCCCTGCCCCCCAACCCCTGAACATACATTCTTGTACAAGTATTTGTGAGCACATATGCACTCATTTCTGTTGGGTATATATTGAGAAATGGAAACACTGGTTACAGGGTACATTTATGTTTAGCTTTAGTCAATACTGCCTAACAGTTTTGTAAAGTGTTGAGCCAATTTATACTCTTGCCAGCAATGAGGGGAGTCATACTGGAGAGCTTTTAAACCAAAATAGTTGCAGCCACACCTCTAGCCTGACGCCATACTGTTTTTCTGGTTCTTCTATAGGATCCATCTGGGACAACACCCTGCTTTGGCCATGTCTAGGGTCATGAATAGGGTGCTATCTGAGCAGGACTTTTAGTCTGAATTTAAGGTTGGGGTCAGTCCTTTGTCAGTGATAGGAATCAGTCTGTGGTTAAGGAAAGAACAAGACCACCTTCTCATCCTTTTTGCAATGGTTAGTGCTCTTCACTTGTGATGTTGATTATGACGGTGGCAGTGGATACCACTTACTGAGCTCTTAGCATGGGCCACTGTCTCCTTCAGTCCTCACAACAATCAGATATGGTAGATAACATTATTATTACTTAGAAATTGAAAAAACCAAGGCTCAGCAAGGTTAGACAGCACATCTAGGCATGCAGCTGGTAGGTGGAAGGGCTGAGATTCATATCCTCAGCTAAAAAACTCTTGCTTTTCTTTCCTTTAGTAATGTTACTTATTCTTTGAAAACAGATACTGGGCACAAATTCAAAAGGATACAAATAGGAAACACAAAGAAGAGCAAGCTATTCTTCCAGCTCCTCCTCTACCCATTTCTTCTTCCCAGAGTCAACCACCATTAATAGCCTCATGTGTGTGCTTCCAGAGACGGTCTGTGCATTTACAAACATAGACAGAGATTTAGAATGGTATTTTTCCCCTATTCACTGTCCTGAAACTTGCTTTCTTCATTTAACAAAATATGCCAGATAGCTTTTCATTTTGGTATACAAAAATGACCTCTTTTTCACAGCTGTACTAATTTATTTAAGCGTTCCCCTTTTGATGAACATTTAGGTTGTTTCTGATTCTTTGTTATTATGAACGCTGCTGCCACAAATATCTTTGTATGTATGCCACATTTCACATGTCAAGTATATTTGTTTGATGAGTATTTAGAAGTAGAATTGCTGAGTCAAAGAGTGTGTGTATCTCATCTTCCATAAATATTGTCAACCTGCCCTCCAAATGGCAAAACCAGTGGATTAGGCTCAGAAAGTCCAGGAGATATCAGATCTCAGCAAATTTAAATACTCATCATCACCCTGTTGAGAGGCCTGGCACCCCATGTTTTCTGAATGTGTGAATGAAAGAACCCTTCCTCTCAGCAAACACCGCAGGCCTCCCTGCATGCTTTTTGCATCACAGCTATTCCTTAACTTCTCTGTGATGGCTTTACCCTTGTAATGTTTTCTCCCAGGTTAGATAGAATGATCTGAGGACAGGAACTTATTTTCCACCTTTGTCCATTACATTTCAGCTTGACAGTGTGAGGCTGAGGTTTCTAGGCAAGTGTGTGACTGTTACTGAATTATTACTATGTAAAAAGATGTTTATCAGGCGTTCATAAGAATGCAAAAGTTTCTGGTGCTTTTTCTACTCACCACTCAAACTTCTTAAATTCTCCCAAACCAGGGATAGGGTTAGTCTCAAAGGCAATGTTAGGAGTGAACCCTGAGGGAGGAACCATCTGTGGATAAGAATAAATTGAGCCACTCATAGTGGGATTTCAGGCACTGTATTGAGTACACGTCAGAGGCACATGAGGCATGGGGGCCTCTCAAACCTCACCTACAGAGGTTTTCTATATGCATGCTTTCATTTCATCCCCTTTTCCATCCTGAGCCCCTAAATAAAGCAGGCTGTAGGTGGAAGAGATGCCTCCTTTTCCAGGACAAAAGGCTCCTGCCAACCGCAGTCCTCATTTACATTTTGTTGACTTATTAAAGTGAGATCCAAATGTTTCGTTGCTCTCAATTACATTTATTAATGGAAGCTAAAAGCCTCTGAGGGTGAAGCTTATTGGAACATATGGTCATCTCTGAGAGCCTCCATCTCTCAGAGAGCTCCATCTCTGAGAGCCTGGGGCTGAAAAGCACAGAGAGGCAATGCACTGGGATTTTAATAACCATTTGGTTTCCCCTCCCCCAAATAATTAAATAAAAAGAGCTTTTCTTCTAAACTTATGAGGGAGAATTTGCCAGTAAATCAGAAAAAAAATCAAGGGAAATCTAGAAGATATATTCATATTAATAATGTCTGCAGACATAAACTTCGGAGATTTAAAGTTTGCTTTGTTTTCAAACTGTCTTCCTTCAACTTTGCTGTATTTCTCAGTAGTTTTGATACTTGTTTAGAGAAGAGTTGTGGATATTGAGATCCATAAAAGGCTCCATCATTGCCTGGTTCACAGATGAGGAAACTGAGTGTAAGACACAGAAGGAACATGCCCAGGGTCCCTATGACAAGAAGGTAAAGGGAGAGTGAGGCTGATGGATTAGGGTAGCCAGGACCTTTTTGGGAGGAGGTGAGTTTGGGCTTTGATTTGAAGAATAGATAGAATTTGGCTGTGTGAAGAGTAGGGGGAAGTTGCTGAAGTAGGAGACACTGATGTGAAAAGGTTTGAAAAGATGTGGGCTTGTGTCAGGATATTTGTGTTGAGGATAGAAGAAAGAACATACAAGGATTTTGAATGAAGAAGCTAGATGCCAAGAGAAATGATGGCATTCTGATGATGAGGTGGAGAACAGCCAACATTCATTGACTCCTTCATAATAACCTCATGAGCAGAATTTCTCAACCTTGGCACTCGTGATGGTTGGGGCTGGATAATTCTTTGTTGTGGGAGTTGTCCTGTGCATGGTAGGATGTTAGCAGCATCCCTGGGCCTCTATCTAGTAGCCAATGCCATTCTCTTCCTAATCTTGGCAACGAAAAATGTCTCCAGACAATGCCAAATTTCCCCAGCTGGGAACTATTACCCCATGAAGTAGGTGTATTATAATCCCCTCCCTACAAGTAAGGGAACTGAGTCTCAGGAAAGGTAAGGAACTTCCCCAGGGTCCCTTAGCTAAAAAATGCTGCAACTAGGTTTTGAACCAGAGCAGTCTGTAGAACCTGCATTCTTCACCAGGGTGAGACTGGATAAATAGGTAATAGAGAATTAATTACAGTTAGGAAGTGAGGAATAAAGGCTGCTGAAGCCAGTCCCCCATCAGTGCTCATGGAATGGGCTGGGTAGAAGGGCTGGCAGAGCCCAGCACAATAGGAAGTGGAAACTGGTTAACTACAATTCTCTGAGGCCAATGACTCTCTGAATATTAAAATGTCAAAGATGGAAAACATTTATCTTGCCATAAAGCTAGGCTCCCAGGCTCCAGGTGATTAGTTATGGATATGTTGCAATATTTCAGAAGTGATTACCCAGCCTGCTTTGGATTAAAATGCATTTTGTGGGTAAAAAGTTGATAGGCTAAAAAAAAAATTCTAAATCTAGAGTTGATGTTTGCTTCTCCCCAAATCTAATTCCTGCCTCACACTGCCACTATAAGATCTATTGATCTGTTAGTTTGTCTCACATTGGAATAATGCAAAGTAAATTTATAAACTCAAACACCAGGTGAATCATCAGTTAAAAAACATGTTGCTTCTCAAGACATCTTCCCCGCCTCTTCCATCTGATTTCATGTTGCTGGTTACCATTCATTTATTTATTTAACAATTATGATATTGTGAATTGAATAATATTAAATTTGGCCCTGGGGATATACAGTTGAGATACAGATTCTTCCCTTTGAGAACTCACAGTCTTCTGATCTGTCTAGGGCAAGCACAGGCATCATAGGACAGTTTCAAGAGGAGATAATAGGACTAAGGCATAGGAAGAGTGTGAGGCACTCCGGGTGGTGGACAGAGTATATGAAAAGGCCTGGAGGCATGGCATCTTGGAGTTTTGGAGGAATTGCACGCCATTTAACACGGCTTCAAGGGAGAGTGTAGGTAAGGACACAGCTTGATTGTAGCCAAGTTGCATCCCACAGGGCCCTCTTTTCTTTCCCTTCTGGCCTTTGTTTCTGTTTTGTGGATCCCCAGTTCACCACCTAGCACTTTGCCACTTTTCAAGTGTCAATTTACCTCTCCAGAAAGCCTTTCTTAAGTACCGCCTGTTCCCTGCTCCCACTTTGACTCCTCATGACTCTCAGGATTCATACCCTTATTTTGGTAATCATCAATTTTTATCAATAGTTGAGGTTCTTTGAAGGCAGGAATTGTGTCTTATAGTTCTGTGGCTTCCTAGCAGAACTTTAAGAAAGGACTGGTACTCAACAAATATTCCATTGCTCATTTCTTTTGAAATATCAGATCATCACACCGAAGACCTGGTGGTGTTCATTGCGGGCAAATTTGACTGAATTTCTACCTCTGTCTCTGCATGGCATCACTTACCACTCTTTCCTGGGTTTACTCCCACTTTGTTGTTTGGTCCCTCTTGGTATCTTGTGAGACTTCCTCTGCATCTGTGAGCTCTGGTGTTCACTAGGTTCTGGTTTGGTATCCGGTATCTTTACAATCTACACACTGCCTGGCCAATGTTTTTGTTTAACGTTTTTAATTATCATCAACTTGCAGACAACTCTTAGTCCAGCCAAGAAATATTCCTGTATCCCAGACCTATTTCCACCAGGACTGCCCCTACTCTGGGGCCTACAGTAGAATTCCTCATTCTTACCATCTCCTCTCTTAAGCCTACTCTTCCTCATTCTGTATTCTATGGCCTGGTGAATGGCACCAATGTTATTTCAGATGCCAATCCAGAAATCTAGGCAACCTTCAAGAGTTCTTTATTTCTGTCCAACCAGACACCAAGCCCAGTAGAATCTCCCATTAAATTACTTCTAGAATCTGTGCCTCCTTCTCCAACTGTCTTTACTATTGGTTTAGAATTTATTTTATTTTTATTTTTTTGAGACTGAGTCTTGTTCTGTTGACCAGGTTGGAGTGCAGTGGCATGATCTCGGGTCACCGCAACCTCCACCTGCCAGGTTCCAGTGACTCTCTTGCCTCAGTCTCCTGATTAGCTGGGATTACAGGCATGCACCACCATGCCTGGCTAATTTTTATATTTTTAGTAGAGATGGGGTTTCCCCACGTTGACGAGGCTGGTCTTGAACTCCTGACCTCAGGTGATCCACCCACCTTGGCTTCCCAAAGTGCTGGGATTACAGGCGTGAGCCACCGCACCAGCCAGAATTTATTCTTTCTTGCTGAGACTATCTGTCCTTAGCTGCTCTTCCTGTCTCAAAGAGAGTCCCACTACCTTTCTAAAAACCAAGATTGATATTACCATTCTTTCATTTAAATTCTTTAGGAAAAATTTAGGGATAATATTTAAAATCCTCAGGTGAAATCTCAAGATGCTCCATAAACTCACTTCCACAACTTTTTCCAAAAAATTACTTTATGACAGAGACCATGGAATACAGGGACTCCACAGAGTTTGGTAAATGATTAAGTGTTTTGACTATCTGAATGTGGTGTGAGTGTGGTTTTAGCTTGGGGTTGGATAATGTAACCTCACACTCAACATAATCTCTGGGGCCTGTTGTTCAGATTAACAGGGTCTGACCTGAGACCTCTCTGCATGTTCTGGCACCTCATTTTCTGGTCCAGAGAAGGTAAATTCCCTGTCCTGTCATTAGGCCATTGTCAAATGTCCTGCCTTATCAATCAAGATATGCCAGAAATGAGTGTTCTTCAAAGGAGAGCTGGTATCCTTTTTACTAACAGGCTTTGCTAATTCCATAAAAAGATGACTTAGAGCTCTAATCTAGTATATTTGTGAGGAAATCAGAACCTAAGATATTTTTATTTGGTAGGAGTAAATCTGTCCAATCTTTCTGCATTACTTTTTACTTTATTAGCAGTAACAATGTCCTATGTATTAATGCTTTCCTGATATAGACTGCTTTCTTGTGTAGTATCTCATTTTTATTTTTGAACTATACGAAGTTAGAATGGCAGATATTGCTATCTGAGAAGCAAAAGTGGGATTTGGACTAGAGTTTAGTGGACTCCCAGCTCAGTGCTCATTAGACGATGGCCACAGTCTTTGTCTTTGTCTTTGGAAAAGAACCCATCTCTGAAACACTGTAGTTTCTGAAGTGGTCTCATGTATTTTTTTCTAGTTTATTTTATTTAAGGAAAATATTTCCCATTCTGTTTTTATCTCTTTGATTTCTGTCTTACTTTCAACAGTAGTGAGATAATTGCAGAAGATAGTAGTAAGATTTTCTCTCTGTTCTAGCATTTCCTGAGGACCAACCAGAGAAACTGCTACTCTGGGCATTGGTATTTTATTACCTTGGATAGTACCCTAATCCAAGGTACACCACTTGGGACTCAACTCTTTGTCTTTGAATTCTTAGCTGGGTTTCAGTCATGCAAAATGAAAAAGTTTTAGAGACATGCTGTACAATAATGTGCATATTGTTAACAATACTGTACTGTACACTTAAAAGTTTGTTAAGAGGGTACACTTCGTGTTATGTATTTTTTACCAGACTAAAAAGATTCTTGCCTGAGTACTTAAAGGTATTTCTGCTGTGTTTTGGGGCCAAAAATTCATTGCAGCCCAGAGAACAAGAACAGGGAACTCCACTACTGAAGAAGACAGTCTCGCACTTTCACATGACAAAAGCGAGTTCTCTTGGAGGGCTTGCAAAGCAAGATAGGGACTACTCTGATGGTGGACACATCTGGCCACATGGGACCTGAGTTCCTAGGGCTTTGACATGCAGGCATCACCACACAATGGTGAGGAATGCAGTGCTTGTTGTACATAGTCATGGACAACGCCAGTCATTGCTCCTTTACTCAGGGGACTCAGTCCACCTGGAACACTTTCTCTTCAGCTCTGCTTACTGAATCTGTACTCTTCAGAACTCAGTTGTGATGTCACTTTCTCTGGGAAATCTTTTATTTTTCAACTCAGAGTGAATTATTCATGCCTAGGGGATTCCATAGCACTCTGTACCATTTTGGTTATGTCTCTTAGAAAGAGGCAGTGTAGCATAGGGTCAAAAACCCCGATGCCGCAACTATACTGCTGGGTTTGAATCCTTACTCTACCACTCACTAGCTGCATGACCTTGGGTAAGTTAGTTCATCTCCCTACTTCTTTACGACATGAGAATGAGGATGATGGTGATAATGATGACAATGATAGTACCTATCACACAGAGTTGTTGCAATGAACCATATATGGTGAGTGCCCTGGGATGGCCATTACTATGGTTAGCCCAGTTTGGCCATGGTTGGACGTACTTATTTGAATCCTACTGCACTGAGTGTTATTATCAGTTTTAGTAGGTATTTGTTGAGTTCCAGACTTTACATAATAGGTGCTCAATAGACATTTGTTGAATTGCTTATTGAATTGAAATTAATCAAGATGTACATAGGAAAAACAGCATTGAATCAGACAACCAATCAATGAGAATTTTGTTAAGTGCTGACCAAGAAACTAGCCTGTGCAAAGATTTAGGCCTTAGTATAGTACGAAACGTAGCAGTCTCCATTATATAATATTGTTGTTTGTTGTAATTATAATTGCTAAATTCCTTTAAGCAAGTACCAAATTCAACAGTCCAGCACAGAGCAGGATACTTAGTGGACAATTTAACAAATGTCTAGTGAATCAAATTTTCTTCCTGAGTTTAAATGACAAGGATCAGTTTACAAAAAACATAAATCACCCAAACTCTTTCAGGAATTGGTTCGCTATGGCAGGTGATGACAGCTCATCACATCATGTGCCATTCACTGAGCAGCCAAGGATACTCTTCAAAACCCGGTGTCTCCCTTTGAATTTATTTTAACATTTTATTTTGAAATAATTATTTTGAAATAGGTTCATAGGAACATGCAAAGGCAGGACAGAGAAGTCCTGTGTCCCCTTTCCTCGATTCTTTCAATGGTTACATCTTATGTAACTGTAGTAAAATATAGAACCAAGAAATTGACGTTAGGACAATGTATGTGTGTAGTTTGCCCTTTGAATTTTCATTTCGCATTTCTGTGAGAAAGCAGGGAAAATGGCTTCAGAAAAGATAGTTCAAAGGCCACTCCCCAGAGAGGCATTGACCTGAGATCCACTGGAGTCGGGGTATCTCAGCCCCTCACAGCCACAAAAGGCCCCTGCAGAGATGCGCAAGGGGGCTTGAAGATTGTCCAGGCCCTCCACCACCAGGCAAGCGGAAATCAAGTGTAGAGGAAGAAGGGCATTTTGGACCTTCAGATTTATGTGCAGGTTTCACAAACCCCGACTCTGTTTGCTTTTCTTCTCACTCGGAGATTACTCATGCTTCAGGACATAATTCTTCAATGAATCCCCAATCTGAGGCTGAGCTTGGTGCCTTCTGCTAGGCTCACATAACTGTATTCCAAGGGTCCAATCCACATTTATGAGAAGGAACAAAGGTAGAGACAAGTGCAGCTAAGACACCCACCACATAGCTCTGTTTATGAAGCTGCAAATAACCCACTTACTGAGGTGTCGGCAATGGTATTTTATAGGGGTTTAGAACACCTCATAAAGGCCTTTTATTCAGCATGCTTAATTTTAAATAGGTCCTTAAATTGTAGGGTATCTAAATGCCAGTGTTCTTTGAATATTTATGTCCTTTCTTCAAGGAGAAAAATAACAGAAATGGCCAAGACAAGGTGAAAGACTAGGCCACCATTTCCAGCTGCTTCAAAGGGAATGGTTTAGGAATAATGGGAGGGAGGTTTCTCTCTTATTAGCAGGGCTGGGAGAGGGATGTGGCAATTAAGAATTCTCTGGCATCTGTGTGCTGAGATTTGGATGGACAAACCTCATCCTGCAATTAGCATGGTAGCTAGTGTGCGAGCAGGCCACCCCACGGAACAGGTATATGGGTTACCACCAAAGAGCCAGCATGTACTGAGGGCCTGCTATCTGCCAGACTCCTTTCAGAACTTAATTTGATCCTCACTGCAACCAAATTGGACAAATACTTTGTCACTCCAGAGAGGACAAAAGTGAGGATCAATAAGGTAAGCAACAGGTTCAAAGACTTAGGACTAGTAAGCAGTGGAACCAGAATTTAATTTCTGTTTGCCCTTGGGGATTTGCTTCCCAAGCTTCTCCATTGTAAAATGAAGATGAATAGTAAAGCAACAACCTGGGTGACAACCAAATGAGATCATCACCATAAATATAGCCCAGTGCCAAATATATAGTGCTTGATCAATGCTAACGTCCATCATTGTATTTTTATTAAAAAGCACTTGTAGAGTACTTACTATATGCTAGACTCTCTTCCAACCACTCGGCAAGTCTTAACACATTTGATCATCAGAACAACCCCAAGAGGTGGGATCTTTATCATCTTACAGATGGGGAGTGGAGGTACAGAGAGATTAACTGAATCATCCAAGGTCACAGTGAGGCAGTGGCACAGCTGGGGCTCAATCCCAGGCAGTCTGCCTACACAGCCTCTGCTGTGAACCACTATTCTGCATTGCCTCTGTTAGGTTTCCTCCCTGTGGGATCACTGTGAGTATTGGTGGTCTACAAACACTGCTGGGTCTAGACCAGGGGTTTTCACAGATGAGTATGTATTGGTATCATCTGGAGGGTTGTTATCATATAGATTGCTGGGCCCCACCCTAGAGGCCCTGGTTTGGTGGGTCTAGGGTGAGCTGAGAATGTGAATGTCTAGCAACTTTCCCAGTGCTGCTGGTGCTGCTTGTCTGGGACCACACTTGGAGAGCTATAGGTACAAAGCACAGGCCAGGCTTGCCCTCTCCTACATCCAGCCAGGATGGGCTGTAATAGTCTCTCTCAGCTGTCTGCCCATTCATGCTTTTCCAGGACTCATACTGAAGTCGGGTTCCACTTCCTCCTTAGTGTTTGTCTGATAAATTCTGTTTTCCCTTTCTTCTTGATTCTATAGTCAGTGCTGTGGTTTGGATATGGTTTGGCCCCATCAAAATTCATGAGAGATTTAATTGTCAGTGTAACAGTATTGGGAGGTGGTGGTTTTAAGAGGTGATTAGATGGTCAAAATGAATTCATCTCTTTCTCAGAGGCTGGGATAGGTCCCATGGGAATGGATTGGTTCTTGTGGGAGTGGGTTGTTGTCATGAGTTTGCCTCTTGAGTTTGGTCTCTCTCTCCTGCACTCTCCTGGCCTTCCCCTTTTCCATCATGTTGTGATGTGGCACAAGGCTCTCACCAAAAGCTCACCAGAGGCCGGGGCCATGCTTCTTGGACTTTTAGGCCTCCAGAATTGTGAGCCAAATAAACCTCTTTTTAAAATAAATTACCCAGTCCAAGTATTCTGTTATAACAACACAAAACAGATCAAGATAGTTAGTGACACTCTAGCCCAGGGCCAGCTCTGTGGGCACAAAACAAGGCACACAGGCCCTGTGTTCTGAAGGGTGGTTGAATGCTCCTGGATTTAGTCTTAAAATTTGTGATAACTTATCTCTGAATTTGTGTTTTATAAGTGAAGCCTGATAGGACAATGGAACATGCTGCCAAGGCTGAGCTTTGGCTCACACATGGTCCCGCCTCCTGCTATCTTTAGGTTTTGCCAGGATGGGTTCTCAGCTGCCTGCTCCCACTCCCAAGCATCCTGGGCCTTGCCTAGCCTTCTCCTTCCCCTCCCTGCCCTATGCTGCTAAGGGTGGTGACCAGGTTGCATTGCTTGGAGGAGGCCTATGGTCTTCTGTCACCCTCTTCCCCTAGCTGTGCCGAGGTGCGGGTATAGGGAAGGTCAGGATCGAGTGGGTGCCCCATGACATCTCAGGGTGGGACAATGTGGAAGCTACTCTCACTCTGGCCAGCAGTGCCACAGCACACTCAGTGGAGGCTTGCAAAGGCCTGCCATTCACCTTCAGTCCTGGTGGGGACATGCAGCAGCTTGGAGCTGGCCTGACCACTGTGAGTTGAGGCAGCAGGTCTGTGGGAAGAGGTGATTGACTTTCTCATCCCCGGCCAGAGCCCCACATTTTCATTTTGTTCTGGACCCTAAAAACTATGCAGCTTCCCCAGTCCAGCCTTTAGCTGGGCTGTCCAGCACTGTAGCCGTGGGCCCTGTACTTCTGCAGTGTTCAGAAATAGGTGTGGCATCTTCCACCTTCTGGACTCTTTCACAAAAGTCACTCCATAGGAGTTAATATTTAAATATGGTGTTCGTTATAGTAAAGTGTGCTCAGCTTGGAAAGGTGCACATCACAGCCATATGACGCTCAGTCACATGGCCACCTCTAACTGCATCTCCAGTAGTGTGCTGGCACACAGTAGGTGATCTGTTTGTTGGTGCTTGGAGTTTGATCTGTTTAATCTGAGATACTTGAGGTGTGGTCGTGAAGGTGGGAGATGGCTCGTCTGGACTCTATGATTGTTTCTCCTGTTATGTGCTTTTTATTTACAGTATAGGAATAAGAACATAAATAAGTCACAGTGAAGTTCCCAACTGTAGATCACTTGGGATAGAATTCAGTGAGGGATCCTCACTTTGGCCCATGTCCTTATTCATACATTCATTTATTTAGCCCACTTTTACTGAAGGGTGATGAGGTTTAAGGACAGGGCATATGGAGAAAGTAGGGCAAAATCCCTCCTTCCAGAAGTTCTTACAACAATGAGGAGGGGGCCTGTAATCCCAGCACTTTGAGAGGCTGAAGCAGGTGGATCCCTTCAGGTCAGGAGTTTGAGATCAGCCTGGCCAACATGGTAAAACCCCTTCTCTACTAAAAATACAAAAATTAGCAGGGCATGGTGGTGGGCGCCTGTAATCCCCGCTACTCGGGAGGCTGAGGCAGGAGAATTGCTGGAACCCAGGAGGCGGAGGTTGCAGTGAGCCGAGAATTTGCCATTGCACTCCAGCCTGGGCGACAAGAGTGAAACTCCATCTCAAAAACAAAACAAAACAAAACAAAACAAAACAAAAAAACAAAAACAAAACCAATGGGGAGGGAGATGAGAACACAAACACAGACAATTAGAGTGTAGTATTGCTAACTGCTCTAATAAGGATGAGGAGAGCAGGGAGATGGCTTGACTCATTCAGCCACATATCCACCATTCTTCTCTTTTTCTCTCTGTAAAAATGACACATCTTACCAGGGGAATCGCTGTGTGCAAATTATCTTAAGAGAAAATGAGAAAGTGCTTCCCTGGATCAGGTACACTTTGTCACCAGGGTTTTCATAGCATCAGTGGTCTCATCCAACTCTTGAGTTATTCCATAGTTTCTCTTTTTCCCATGAAAGATGAAGGACAAGAAAGAACATCATTAGAAACTTGTTTTCCTGTATGTTAAGGAGAGTAACAAGCATGTCCTTTCCCTTGAATTAAAGAAAATGGCACCAGTAGAAGACCGTGAAGGCATTTTTGCCTCCAGGTAAAGGAGACAGAGAGAAGGGTTACAGATCTCCTTTTCATGGGAAGGTAAAGCCTCATTCAGGTAGGCATTTGTGAGGAAGCCAGGGAACTCCACCCTGGATTCTTTCATAAAAGTCACTTCATATGAGTCAATATTTAAGTACATGTTTGTTACAGTAAAGTGTGCTCCATTTGGAAAGGTGGATATCACGGCCACATGACACTCAGTCACATGGCTACCCCTCACTGCAAAAGAGAGCAAGATACATGGTCTAGTTGTGTGCCCAGAAGCAATCATCAGCCAGACTCTGCTGCAGGTATCATATGTCATATGAGGTTTGCACATATGTTGTGCAGGAAAACTGTCCAAGAGAAAATTGGGAGCCTCTTGAGTGTAAATCCTGGAAACTCAAAAAGCATGCCAGGTATTGAGATGATGAAAGAAGGATGTGTCACTCTGGGAAGGATGAGTTTTAACTCCCATCACCCTTTGCATTTACTAAGACTTAGGCTATCTTTGTCACCCATTAATTAGCTCATTTAAAAACATTGTACTGGGTGCCTGCAAGTTTGTCAGAGCTTCCTATAAGTGCCACAAATGAGTCCTCCCCTGACTTGGGGCATGCCTGATCCAGTGGGGAGATAGAGAGTAAGTGCTAGAATGGTAAGTCCACCATTTCAGGTGCTCTGCCGGAATTCTGCCTGGAGGATGTGTAGGGAGAGACAGAGAGAGAAGCTTTTGGCAGGGTATAGGGGGATCAGGAGAGACCTTGGAGAAGAGGGGAAGTATGAACTGAATCCTGAGAAATGAGAATACAACATAGAAGCATGAAGTGTTTAAGAGCATTGAGTTTGTCATGAAAGAGATCTCAGGTCAAAATCCCAACTAGCCACTAACTAACTGTGTCACCATGGATGTTACTCAACTTTTCTAACTTGCAGTTTCTTCATCTGTAGAATGGGTACAACAAACCAGTCTTTGCAGTAATATAATAACCTGGTATTGAACGTGATAATACTTTGTGCGGGGCAGATCAGGAAAGGCATTCCAGGTGCAGGGAGTGGCAAAAGCACAGGTGAGCAGTGGTGAAATGGCTGGGGCATGGTAAACTGGTTGGAGAGTTGGGTGCAGAGACAAGCACGAGGGCAGAGGTAGAAGGCAATGAAGGGGGAGGGAGGGTGCTCTTGACAGACCCTGCAGAACGAGGGGGTCTTTAAAAGATTTCGAGCAAAGGAGTAGCAGAGCCACATGAAGCAATGCCACCTGTGTGTGCTGAAAAGCCCCTAAAACCACACCCCTTTTGGGACCCCATCTCCTGACAACTGGAGTTGCAGAGAGTCTGAGGTAAGGGGAAGTGTTGAAACTTTTCCTCTCTGCTGTTGACTTTTCATGTCCCACTCTCTGGGAGGCGCATGGCAATCCCATCGGCACATCCCTGGAAGGGCAAATGGCACCACAGCATTTACATATATGCCAGGGAAACCCCTTAGTGAAACCATCTAGTTAGAAGTGTGCCAAGAGCTGGCACAGAGAGAGAAGTCAGGCCCGGTTCACTAATTATACTAACTTCAAAACAAACAGAGGATATGGGCTCAGCAAATGGCATGGGGAAATATCAACACGCATAAACAGGAAGGCATAGGAGCCATATGTTGGCTGCTCTCCACCCACACAGCTTCTCCACATACGTCCCTTCATCCTGCACTTCTGAGGATGACTGGTAGAGAAGTGAATGCTCATGATCAGACATGAGCAGATAATCAGCTGCACAGTGATAGCCATCCGAGTAGCTTCATCTCACACATGACCCTACTGACCCTCACGGGCTCCTCTCTTGAGAATCTTAGGGCCTTGAGAGTACTGAACCAGAGATCAGAAGTTTTGTATTTAAGAGTTAGTTCTGCCCTTGCTTGCAGGGTAACCTTGACAGTTAATTCGTTTGGCTGTAAAGTGGAGATGATAATAACTACTCCACAAACAAGTAGGAATCATTCATTCTTTCAGCAAATATCTCCTAAGCCCTTACTCTGGTCCAGACTATGTGCTGGGCCCAGGAAACAGGGAGATAAATAAGATGGGGCCTCAGGGAACTCCCAGTCTAGCTGGAAAGTCATCTCCATAAAAAGGTGTTCAGACCTAGGGCACATGGCAGCCAGCAGTGGTGTCTAACTTGAGAAGAAAGCTTCCTGGAGGGTCTCCGTTTCTATGTGAAGCAGGAGACAAGGTCATGCACTGAGAGCAACGGGCATGAGGAGGTGGTAGAAATGTCAAGAACATGGTAAGGGTGTGAAATGGTTGATGAGGGGAATATGAGAAGCAATTGAACAGGGATTGCCAAATGGTGGCTAAGAGGCTCCTTGTGACAACTGAAGGAAACTGTGTGTATAAAAGCAAGTGATAAATTGCTTAGGGCAATAGTGTTGTCAGGTTTTGCTAACAGTTTTATTGGTACTTACTAATACTTCTCTGGATGGAACCTACACCTGGCACACTTGTTGGCTAATGCAGCCTCTCTACTGTGTTTCCTCACTCATCCATGTGTATTCCTGCCCTGTCCACAGCTCACATGCCCCTGCTCCTTCCTCTTCATTCAAATAAACCTGCCTTATTTGCTAAGGCTCTGCTCCAGGCCTACTTGATTGGGAAGCTCCCAGAATGCTACGGTCACTGTATCTGCTGCATGAGTGCTCTCCCTTTCATCTAGGGTCTGGCACCCCTTGCTATCGGGGCCTCTCACTTGACTGTGTCCATAGTCCCTCGGTTCTTTCTCAAGTGTGCCCTTGGTCTCCCACTAGCCTTCTGTCTCCAGAGGTGTGCTCACAGCCCCCACTTGAGGAGAACCGATGGGAGGGCCTGCCTTCAGAAAGCCGAGTGCTGGGGTGGGAGACAGACCATCTCAACAGCGGTCATGTCTGGGCAGTGAGGATGCTCTAGGACATGTGGTTCCCATGGGATCAGGGAGTGCTTCTTGTCCATCTCTAGATCCCAGGTCCTGTCACACAGTAGGGACTCTATTGCCTCTTTCCTTCCTTCCCTGTCTTTTCCTTTTGTTTTCCTAAGCCTTTGCTGAGGACAAACACTGTGCAAGGACCAGGAGATATAGAGTCGAAAAAACGGGATTCTCAAAAAACCCAGTCTTAGCTCTTTCAGTTCTTGCCCTATCTTAGCTACACCCCAAATATTTGTTAATCTGAACTGAAGTTTCTACTGAAGGTAAACTTCTGACCCTCTGAGGAGGACTTTCCCACCCTTCTTCATTTCAACCAGTTCTCGTTTCACAGGAACCATTGAGCTTCTACCCCGTGTTTGGCATCTCCTCCCCTCAGGATTGAGTGACCTGTGAGGGGACAGGGTCAGGACATCAGAACCTCAGAGTGTCAAGCTATGCAAAGTTTCCCCCAAACACAGAATGTTGGAGTAGCCTCCACCAGGACAACCTTTTTCACTCCTCATCAAGGAGGCATTAGCTTGCTCTAATCTGCAGGCTCTAAGACTACTGGTGAGCTAGAGGACCCTGTGGGTAGCTGAATGTCTTCATGCCATTCAAAGAGACAGAAGGGAGAAGGTTTAGAGCCAGGGTGAGTGACAAAGAGCAGCAGAGACCTCAGCCCCTCTACAGCAGTGTGCATGAAAGGACCTGTCTTTCTATGAGAAGGGTAGACCCAAACTCCCTCAAAGGCAAGGGGACTTGGGTGGGAGGGGTATCTTGGCCAATAATGATGCAATAACCAGTGCTTAGGAGGCACTGGCAGTAGGCCAGAAGTGCCCTTATTGATTAGTTTGCTGTTCTTTGATGGAGGTACCCATATTGCCAGAAAGAAGATAAAGCTTGGAGAATTGAGAGGACTAGGGAGTGATGGAGCTAGGATTTAAGTCTGTGTCTGCCTCAGTCTCTCTCCCATGTTCTTAAAAATTAATCCATCAGGGAACCAAATCCTGATTATTATGTATTTGCTACTTATATGTCCAGACCTGGGCATAGCTGGGGGACAGGTGGGGTGGGGAGCAGGTCAGAAGGAGGGGAAGATATAGTCTTTACCCTCCATTTAAGTCAACAACCCATCCAGAGCACCACTGCAAGCCCAGCCACATCGAAGGAGGCCTGTAGGCCATGCTGAGAAGAACAGACCCTATCCTGAAGGCAGTAAGGCTGTTGAAGGGCTTGCAGAAGGGGCAGGCAGCTAACCTGACAATTTTGGGGGGACCACTGGGACAGTAGTGTAGAGAACAGATGAGAGAGGCAGCAAGGTTAGAGGCTGTGAGATCAGTGAGGATGTGTCAGTGGACTCTATTCTATGGAAAGTTCTGTGCCTGGTGTAGTGGGGAAACAGACATTTGGGATGTCTTGGACCTGCCCTCACGGAGCTGGGGACCAAATCTATGCAAATCCCTAGCAGATATTCTCATGTTGTATGTGAGATAGGCCAGGTGTCAGAAGAGACCTGAAGGATCAGAGGAGAAAGTGTATATGAGCAGGGAGGTTTCCTGAAAACAGGGGTGGGTGTTCACTCTGAGTGCTGAAGGAAGGAGAGGGCTTTGATAGGTCAATACAGGTAAGGTGAAGGAGGCCAGTACAAGGACACATGAACAGGCATGGCCTGGGACATCAGATAAGGAAAAAATTGGTGAGGCTTCCTCTTCGGCCATAGGAGAGCAGGAGGAAATGAAGTTGGAGAGGGGTTTGGGGTCTGCCAAGGAGTCTGGGCATTGTATGAGAACCAAGAAACTCAGAAGGGCTCTCAACTCAGGAAGATGTTGAGGGGGGATGGGCTGGCAGAGGAGGGCAGGGCATTAGATCAGACAAGGCCCAGCAGAGAAAAGAAAGTGCAGAACACCTAGCTCAGTGGAGCAAATTTAATCTGGAAATTAGCAGCCCCAGGAATCCCTAGGCACTGGTGAAGAGGGGGCTGTGGAGACAAAGGGAAGAAGTTTGCCAGAGCCTATGATGGGGGCCACAGCCATAAAGATGATCAGCTGTGGCTGGAGACGCCATGTGAAGCAGAGAGAGCAGGGGATGAATACCCTGGCTTCTCTCTTTCTCCTGCCATCCTCGTTGGTTGAGCCAGCCAGAAGCCTGCTGACCTAGGAGCTTGGCAAATATAGACTTAAGAAGGTCAGCCCCTCTGTCCTGCAGGGCAGAGTAGGGGAAAAGCAAGTAATGGACATAAGGGAAAGCAGTCCCAGGGCCAGCAGGACTTGGCATTCAACCCCCTACTGCCCGGTCCACAGCTGTTCATATGATATGAGAGACCTTTGTGGAAATGTGCCCATTGACTGATGGATGGTCTGACTTTCATGCTCTGGGCTTTCTGTGCCCTGTTGGGAGATCATGGAATCCTGGGCTGCAGGCTCAGCAGCCTGTGGTAACAGAGGACACAGGGGATGACTTCTGGGGACAGGACTGTCAATGAGGGCCTGCCCGTGGGCTCCAAGCCTCACCTCTCCACCACCTCTGGCTCTTTGCTGCCCATACCTCTCACTGCCTTTTTGCCCAGTCGGCATTTCCCTGCTTCTTCACAGTAATCGCCATTGACGGCTATTGACTGATGGTGACAGGACTGAAAGCTAAAAGCGAGGGAGTGAAGGATTTCCACAAGTTCTGGCTGTGCTGCCCAAACTCAGCAAGGGGAGCTTGTGATATTTAATACTGAGTGTCAACTTGTTTGGATTGAAGGATGCAAAGTATTGATCCTGGGTGTGTCTATGAGGGTGTTGCCAAAGGAGATTAAATTTGAGTCAGTGTGCTGGGGAGGGCAGACCCACCCTAAATCTGGTGGGCACAATCTAATTAGCTGCCAGCGAATATAAAGGAGGCAGAAAAACGTAAAAAGGCGAGACTGGCCTAGCCTCCCAGTCTACATGTTTCTCCCATGCTGGATGCTTCATGCCCTCATTGAACTCCAAGTTCTTCAGTTTTGAGACTGGCTCTTCTTGCTCCTCAAGCTTGCAGACAGCCTATTGTGGGATCTTGTGATCGCGTAAGTTAATACTTAATAAAAATATATGTGTGTGTGTGTGTGTGTGTGTGTGTGTGTGTGTGTGTCTGTGTGTGTATCCTATTAGTTCTGTCCCTCTAGGGAACCCTGGCTTATACAGAGATACTCATCTTTTGTTCAAATTCTTAAGCCTAGTACTCCCTTACTCCTCATTTCTCCTCCTTCTAAAGAGGACCTCTTTGGGCTCCAGTTGAGAATCGTCTCCTCCAGAAAGGCTTCCCTGATTGCTCCAGTCTGCAGTCTGACAGCAGGTATGATTGGTATCGAAGCCTCTTAAAGCAGAGATTCCCAAACTTGAGTGTGCATCAGCAACACCTGGAGGGCTTGTTGAATCACACATCGCTGGCTCCCACCCCAGCATTTCTAATTCAGTAGGTCTGGAATGGGGCTGGAAAATTTGCTTTTCTAACAAGTTCCCAGATGTGGCTGATGCTGCTGGTCTAAAGTGATTATTACTACTTAGTGGGCCTATGTCCTGTTTCCTTAATAACCCAACAAGATCTTTTGAGTCAGAGGGAAGGTAGCCTCTTTATCAAGAGCCATACCTAATGTTTTGGTAAAAGCTACTGCTTAATAAGTCATTGCTCATATATTAACTAAAAAAGATTTTTTTTTCTTTGTGGGCGTAGAGAAAAGGAAGGGAAGAGAGAAGAGTTTAAGGTTATTGGACTAAATTTTATGATACTATAAAATTTTGAAATTTACCAATAAAGTGGCTCTTTCTCCAGCTGGTAAGTAAGTTAGTATGCAAAGCATTTAGAATGATGCCTGTAACATGTTAAATGCTGTATAAATGATGATGATGATTATTATTAGAGGGTACTAGAATTCTGCTGAGTTCCTTGATGTGCACAATCTCTGTACCAAGACATTTGAAGAGACAGAAAGGACCACTTTGGGTCTTGGACTACCCAAGATTTTCCATTTTCTAAGGTTAAATGCACCCAAATGTCAATAGCACCTACATTTTGAAGGGTAGATTATGGATGAGTTTTATTTTCTTCTTTATACCTCTCTGCACTTTCCTCATTTTCCACTACAAACATGCATTATTACCATAATCAGCAGAAAAATGTTTTTGACAAAGCCCTGGGCATCTCCAACACAATAGTACACAAGGCACAAATTCAGTGCTATGGACTGAACAATCACTTTACCACCAGGAGATACTAATCATTCATTCTTTCTTCCATTTATTCATTTGTTTATTTGCTTAAAATACTGATTGGGCATTTACATTTGTTACCCCTGTACTAGGATTTAATGATACAAAGGCAATGTAGCCAGCAGTTAAGGGCATGGTTTTGGCATCAGCAAGACCAGGAGTCTAACTATCTCACTACCTGAAGGCTGGGTGATTGAACAATTTACTCTTCCTCCGTGTGTATCAAGGTACTCGTCGGCAAATGGAAATCATAATCCTACCTTTGTTCCATGGTCTCTGTGAGGATGAAATGTGGGAAGCCCATGCCCAGCACATGGCCAGCATTTGCTGAATGCAGGCTGTTACGGCTGCGGTCATTGTTCTGAGAGCTAGTTCTTATCAAAGTTTCTTAACAACACCAGTGATTCCAGGACTCCCACATGATGGCTCTCTCAGCTGTCACCACCTGAGATTTGGTGGGGATTATCATCCTCATTTTTGAGATGGGGACTGTGAAGTTTAGAGGACTAAGGAACTGACTCAGAGAACCACACAAAAGTCCAGGCTCCTGCCCTGATGGGACCTCTGGTCACATCACTGGGCATATAGGGTGACAGAGTATGGCCAACCTTCTCAGCTAATGCTTTGCTTCCTGCTTTGCACCAAGAAGCTGAGTTCAATTTTGTTGCCTTTGGTGTCAATTATCCAGCTCCAATGTCTACTAAAATTAGGGAGATGTCATTTTCTAAGAAGTAAAGGCCAAAACAGGAATCCTAACTTAGTTCACATGGGTGGCAACTCACACCTTGCCATGGTAAAGATGAGGCTCCATGACACTGCATTAAGTGAGTTGAGCTGCAAAAAGACCCTTTAGGAACTGAAAGCTTCTGCCTTAAAATAAATATTTTTAACCAGGGAGCACAACAAAGCCTAAAACACTAGTGAAACCATTTTTCAACATCAGTTATATGATTGAAATAAATGAGACAGTGATGGCACACTGAATGAAATGGCGGGTACCTTGGGAATGTGAGAATCAGTGGATTGTGAGGGGTTTGCTTGCTTCATGCATGATGTGCCCTTTTGGAGATTGTAGTGCCACTTCTCCAAGGGAGAGACCCAGTGTGTTCACCGAAGGTCATGATGTCCTTTGCAAAGAGGAGCCAACATGGACAGGTAGAAACCCAACCTCGCTGGAGACAGGTGGGAAATCCAGCTTTTGGTCCCAGCGTCAGCACTGTGTGGCCTTGAATAAGTCATTTAACACCTCTGAGATTCAGAATTCTCATCTGTAAGACTAATAATGGCATCTCCACAGTGATATTGGGAACATTAAATTAGAAGGTGGGTAAAGAAGTTTCTTGAGAGCTAGGGAATGCTATGTAAATGGCATTTTTACAATAAACATAAAAAGTAGTGAAGCTTTATTTGTGGTGGTATTAGAGGCTAACGTCTTCCACAAATGGAGATTTTCAGATAGGTGGGGCTTATGTGGGTTTTGTAGTTCTTCCTTTTTTTTTTTAGAGGAAGAACCTGTACATTCTGTTACATGTGTCTGACTTCTTAGACACTGCCTATTGCTTGCTACCTTTTGTTATTGTTGTTGTTCGCTACTTTAGCCTTTATAAGGCTGTCAGCTGCTATTTTTTCTTTTCTTTTTTATCATGGAAAACTGCAAACATATACAAAAGTAGAGTGTGTACTATAATGAACCCCCATTTATCCGTCATCCAGCTTCAATAATTACTAAGTCACAGCTAGTCTTTTTTTCTCTATATTCTCTTCCTACTTTCTTCCCACCCCATTCCTGATTATTTCAGGAATAATTCCAGCTATTCTATCACTTCACTTCTAAATATTTTAGGTTATGCCTTTATATGAGAAGAACTCTTCAAAAATCATAGCCACAATACCATTTTCATATAGAGAAAATTAGCAATAATTCCTTAATTTCATCAAATAACAAATATGTGCTTAAATTTTCCTGAATATTTTATACATTTTTTTACAGTTTGTTTGAATAAGAATATAAATAACATTTAAACATTGTGATAGATCAATATCTTTCTTTAGTCTGTTTTAATCTATACATTTGCTCTTTATTCTTTTCTTTTGAAATTTATTTGTTGGAGAACCTGGTCTCGGTCACTTGTCCTGGAAAGTTTGTCACACTTTGAATTTTGCTGATTGTATTTATGTGGTATAGTTTAACAAGTTCCTCTGTTGCCTGTATTTTTAGTCGTATTTAGAGGCTTGACTGTATTCAGGTTCACTTTTTTTTTGGTGGGGGGGCAAGACTACTTCATAGGCGGTGCGGTGCACTTGCCTCAGGAGGCATGCAGTGTCTGGTTGTCTCTTTGTCACGTTTAAACACACTGATGCTCATTGCCTAGACCCATTAATTCACTGGGGTTGGCAAAATGTTGATAAGCTAATTCTCTCATGCCACCCTTGTTTATTAGCTGAATACATCTATAAATAGATATTTCTTTTCATCAACTCTGCAGTTACCCTGAGGGATAGTTCATTTAGAAAAAGCAAGATAGATGCTTGATTATGCCCCCTCTCTTAACCAATTTTTAAGATAATTAGTTGGTTCATTTGCATCTTCCAATGATGACTAAATAGTTTATTTTTGATTTTTATAAACTGATGAATTTAGTCATATTTGATGTCCTTTAATCTATTATAGTTATCATTATTGAAGCTCAAGTGGCTTCCCTTTGGCCAGTGGGAGCATCTTCAGGTTTTCTCCTGAGTCCTTTGACATGACCCTAAAAGTCTTTCATAGTTCCTTTGCTTTTTAATGTCCCAGACTCAACTTGTGGAATTCCTGCCACAGACTAGTCATTAAACATTTCTCCGAGGATTCTTGCTTTCTTTTAGGAAAAGCGGACATTAGCAGCGCTCGTTGTCACTGGTTTAGCCTTTGTTTCTAGGCTTTTAAAATGAACAGAGATGGAAATGAGTGGATATATATTTAAGATGAAATATATTCTGAGTTAATACTGTTGCTACAATTTAGGTTAGGATTATGGAATTTTACTTCACTTTATTGATCTTATGTCTATATGCCTTTTCTCCCTTACTGGAAATATTATTTCTCAATGTCACCAGATAATTACTCATGTGCTTCACTAACAATACACATGCAATGGTCTAAGAATAACAGTACAAACGCCACCATGGACATTATGATTTAAGCATTGCATATCAATTTAAATATTTTTTACAGTTATTTTTATCCTTAGGATATATTTCACTAGGGATGGATGTAGAGTCAAATTACTGTGTTTTTAAATTGTTTGGAATAATTCTGCTCTGTGTGGTTATACTACTCACTGAATACAGAGTTAGGTTCACTTATTTCATTTTGCTTTTGATTTTAATGAATTACTTTTCTAAAATTTAATTTGTCTTTTACTTATGTAGAACATTTATGGGGTTCCAAAATTAACTTTATAAAGCAAAGTATATTTAAAGAAGTCTAGCTCTGACCTACAGTACTTTTAATATAAGCAAATATATTTTATATATTTATAATCCTTTTTGATAGATAATTGATAGCAAACTATGTATTTTTTCTACCTTGCGTTTTGCACTTCATATATCCCTGAATTCTTTCATAATGGTATATATGTTCCTCCTTCCTTTTTATACCTGATATCATTTCTTGTCAGTATCACTATGCCGTCTCTAGCCATCTATTTTCTAACTTGAAGTGTTGAGTCTTTGTGTCTTGGAGAGTAGATCTTCCAGCTTATAAGGACTGTTAACACAGGTTCCGAGTGAGGACCCAAAGAGCTCTACGGTAAGGAGTGGGTCTGGTCTTCCTGGTGGGTATCCTGACTGCTGCATCTTGTTGCTCAATAAAAATTAGTTGAATCAAACTGCTTCAATATGTTTTAGACATCCTCACAATTATTAGAACGGTCACTGCAACAATAGGAACCACTACTTTCACACCAAATATATCTATAACATTTGATCCCTTTGGCTGACAAAGATAGTTGTGTCTGAAAATTACTATGCCGTTGGAATTTCTTCTGGGAAACCTGTAATTTCTGGGGATCATGCAGGCTTAAGAATAAAAACATTATTGGCAGGATTCATCTTAATGGAAAGTTGTTCTGTAAGCCAGGAAGGGGCTTATCATTTCTCTCCCATAGCATTATTTTACTGGCTGATCAATTCATTTATTCATGTGTTCACTTAATTTATAAAATGCAGCTTTTTGAGCTTTGACCACATCTAGACATCACGCTGGAATGGAAACTGAGGGTGTTTTCCTTTTTCCTTTGAGTCCATTGGCATCTTTTCTGGTCTTCTGGGAACATTTCTATATGACCTGTGCATTCTTAGCCCCAGAATGCCAAATTCTCCTTCCAGAAAGTGATGTTTAAACCTGGGCAGGTGTTAAGAATTGGGCCAATGTTTGCAAACACTTGTTTGAATAGAAGGAGAACAGTGCTTCTGTTTATGCTTTCAATTTATGTCCTCAGTTCATTCTGCTGAAAGTGTGTCTTTATTTTTGATAGTTAAGTCTGGAATAGACTCAGGCCAAATATATTTAGGTCTTTATAAAGTACTTATACATTTCTTAAAACAAAAGCTTTTATTGACTAAGCATTAATAAGATTATGTTTGTGACAAGAAATAATTGGCACCTTTTCTAAATATAAACTCTTCTCTGTTTTCTCACAGCTGACAGGCTTTTCAGTTCTGGGGCACAGTTTGCCTTCTCCTCTGCAGAACCTGCTCTTTTTTTCAAGATAATATGAATGGGTTAGTACTGCTTTGCAATGCTGTAGTCTTCTGCTTAAAACAATTTGCTTTTAAAGGCTGTTACAAATTGATCTACATACACTTTCAGGCTGCGTTATTAAACTACGGCTTGGGGTTACTTTGTGCAAAGGAAATAATATGAAGAGAGAGCTTCTGAAGGAGTATACCAGCAGGGGGCAAAGCACATGTATGAGGGGGCAAAAGGCAGGACACCTAAAAAATGATACACATGTGCATGCACCTGTATACACATTCACTGATGCACACACATATACACATGCACATACCCTCACATGTACACATACATATGCACTTAACAAGCACATACACATACTTGTAGAAACACATGCACACACCTTCACACAAACTTGCACATACACACACCTGTATGTTCATATACACATTCATAAACCTACTGATACATGTAGGTATATATACAGACATACACACTCTCACACATCCACCCACTCACATCCATACTCTCACACACTCATGCACACTTATGCATAAACACTCATAAAACACACACTCATAAACACATGCACACACTTGCACACAGGTCCCAATAAACACATACACTTATGCCTTCCTTTGTCATGGAGGTTTGAAATAGTCATTTAAGATGGAAGCTATTTTATTCACCCAATGCTGCTCTTTTCACTGTGTTCAGAAACCAGACATCTGGATGGAAATTCACCTATTGCCATTCATTTTTGTCCTGGGTGTCCTGCTAGGCAGTAGGCTCTCTATGGTTCCAGTGCAAAGGACTGGTTTTTGTAGTAAAATTTGGCCCCAGAACCAACATCTAAAAATCCAGGGGTCAAGTATAATCTTTGCTCCCCAGCTGGGAGAAATAAAGCAGAAAGAGGGCCCGGGATGTGCCCAAGGACTTCCAAGGAGGTCACAAGTAGCTGAGCACAGCCCAGAAACCAGCCCCTCTGAAACCTTGGCCCCTCAGGCTTTGAGCTGAGGTGACTTGGCTTGACAGTCCCAGGTAAAGATGCTTGTTTTTAGTTCTAAACATTTTCTACTGTTAATGAATTCTTTAATTGAACTCATTAGTCGTGTTTTTCATTACACAAAATGACCCCTAAGATAAGACCCCCTTACATTGTTCAGAGGAAGTAGCAGTATATTTTGCACCTCATTTATCAAACTTGTTTGAAGTAGCAATTATGTGCATGCTTCATGAGCCAGGCACGCTCTGAAATTGCTGGGAATGTAATTTTTCGGAGCACTATTTCATTGCTGCCTGTCCAAGTGACAGAAAACAAAGCTGATCGTACAAGTAAGACTCTGCCTTCAGAGAAGAAATGACTACTTGCCTAATGAAGGGCCTTTCCATAGAAGACCAGATTTACACTGAGGTTTTTCTCTGGACAAAAAGGGGCCTACCATTTAGACTCTCACACTCAGTCAGCCCTGCGTCAAGGTCACACCACATAGGGCCATGAGTCATGGCCAAATCAGGCCTGCCCTGCCTCCTGACAATCCCTCACTCAGAGCTCTCACTCAACCTCTTCTCGTGAGCTTTGAAGGAGCCAGAGATATGAGGCTTCTTTTTAGCAAGCATCCTTTTGTGACTTCTGGTTTCCAGTCTCTCATGTAAGAAGCTGGGAAGTCACCATTCTATCCTAACGACAAGTAAAAAGCTATTGAATAAACTGAAAAATTCATAACTCTTTTTAAATCTGTAAGATAATTAATTCACAAAACAGACATCTGACCCCCAAACTGGAAAGACCAACAAGGGAATACAGAGAGTTACAGCTTACTGGAGCAGAAGCTTCAGAAAGAGCAAGTGTCAGGATAGAACACCCTGAACTATAGTTTATGAGTTGGTGGAGGCTCCATGTGAACAGGTGTGAGAGAGAAAAACTCCAAGAGGACACGGCCATAGAGGGGCCCTCACACTTTTGTGAGTTTTAGCTGCTGGAGTTTTACCAGGTTCTCACTGTGAATATTGGGAAAAAAAATCCCCTCATGTTTCCAGCAGGAGAAAAGGAAAAGAAGCATTTTGAAATATGCCAGAGCAATCTATTCTTAAGAAGGCCTGCCCTCAGGGGAAACTACTTAACCAGAGCCTACCCTGCTGGGCTTTTATCAGAGCCTAACTGACATAGGGGATGGGAAATACCAAACCCCAGGCCCCTCTAATCTTCCAAGTGGAAGAAGGTAAATACTCAATTATGGCCTACTCTAGCTATCATGTCCCACTAAAAGGGGTGGGAGTGGAGGGAGGTGGTACTGAGAAACAAATGTGAAGCTCACAGTCCAGAGCCACAAACTAACTAAAAGATTGAGACCTAATTTAATTACAGGACTATAAAATACTTCCCTTCCCCCCACACCTTCCTACCACATTACTAAAGGCCCATTTATAGTAGTTCCTTTTACCCACCTCATTGGTCTGGCTATCAAGAAAAAATTACAAGACATACTACCACAGCTTGAAGACAGAGGGCAAACACTAAAACCAGACTCAGATATGGCAGGGATATTGGAATTATCAGATAGGAATTTATAACAGCCATGATTAATATGCTAAGGGCTCTAACGGAAAAGTAGACATCATGCAGATGGGCAATGTAAACAGAGAGACAGAACATCTAGGAAGGAACCAGAAAGAAATGTTAGAGATGAAATAACTGTAACAGAAATGGTGAATTCCTTTAATGGGCTTATTAGTAGAATAAAGATGTCTGAGGAAAGAAGCTCTGAGCTTGAGGATATCTCAAGAAAAACTTCCAAAACTGAAAGGCAAAGAAAAAAAAAGATTTAAAAAAGAAACAGAATAGAATATCCAAGAACTATGAGACACTTACAAAAGATGTAACATACGCATAATGAGAATACCAGAAGGAGAAGAGAAAGAAACAGAGGAAATATTGATACAATAATGACTGAGAATTTCCCCAGACACCAAATCAGATCAAGGAGGCTTAGAGAACACCAAGCCACCTAAACGCCAGAAAAACTATGCCTAGGCATATCACTTTCAAACTACAGAAAATCAAAGATAAAGAAAAAATCTTGAAAGAATCCAGAGGAAAAAGCACCTTATTTATGGATCAGCAAAGACAAGAATTACATCTGACTCTGTCTTATCCTCAGAAACCACGTAGCCTGAGTACATAGAAACAGAGAATAAAATGCTGATTGTCAGGGAGAGGATGGGGAAATGTAGTCAAAGGGTAAAAAGTTGAGCTATGTAGGATGAATAAGGCTAGAGAATGTACAACATGAGGACTATAATAATAATGTTGTATTATATACTGAAAATTTGCTGAGAGTAGATTTTTAGGACTCTTACCACAAAAAAATGGGTAAGCATTAATTTGCTTAACTATAGTAAACATTTCACTAAGTATATGAAAAATCATGTTGTACAGCTTAAATACATTACAATAAAAAGAAAAAGAAAAAAGAAGCCATGTGAGCAAGAAAAGAGTGAAGTAAAGTATTTAAAGTGTTGAGAGAAAAAAATCCACCAACCTAGAATTCTGTACCCTGTGAAATTATCCTTCAAAAATAAAGGAGAAATAAAGATTTTCTCAGACAAACAAAAATCGAAGGAATTTCCTTACACATCATTGATCTGTTCAGAGTTTCTGTTTTTTTTTAATTCAGTTTTTATATGTTGTATGTTTCTAGGAATTTATCCAGTTTTTCTAGGTTATCCAGTTTATTGTCATACAATTGCTCATAGCAGTTTTTATGATCTTGTTTATTTATAATGTCTCTTCTTCAATTTCTGATTTTATTTATTTGAGTCTTCTCTTTTTTTTCTAAGCTAGGTACAGCTAAAGGTTTGTCAATTTTATTTATCTTCTTAAAAATCAAAGTTTTAGTTTCATTCATTTCTTCTATTGTTTCTCTCATTTTTAGTTCACTTACTTCTGTTCTAATCATTGTTATTTCCTTCCTTCTGCTATTTTAGGTGTTAGTTTGTTCTTTTTCTGGTTCGTTAAGATCTAGGCAGGGGTGTCCAATCTTTTGGCTTACCTGGGCCACATTGTAAGAAAAAGAATTGTCTTGGGTCACACATAAAATACACTAACACTAATGATAGCTGCTGAGGTACAAAAAAATCACAAAAAAATCTCATCATGTTTTAAGAAAGTTTATGAATTTGTGTTGGGCCACATTCAAATCCATCCTGGTCTGCATGTGGCCCATGAACCATGGGTTGGACAAGCTTGGTAGAGTTAGGTTATTTGAGATTTTTTTCTTTTTAAGTGTATTTATTGCTATAAACTTCCCTCTTAGTACTTCTTTTGCTGCATCCCATAAGTTTTGGTATATTATATATTTTTGTGTTTATCTCAAGATATTTTATGATTTACCTTTTGATTTCTTCTTTGACCCATTGGTTATTCAGTAGTATGTTGTTTAATTTTCACATATTTGTGACTTTTTCCATTTTCCTTCATTTATTGATTTCTAGTTTTAGTCCATTGTGATTGAAAAATATATTTAGTATGACTTCAGTCTTTTTAAATTGTTTAAGACTTGTTTTGTGACCTAACATGTACTATATCTTGGAGAATGTACATGTGCACTTGAGAGGAATACATATTCTGCTGCATTTGGGTAAAATGTTTTGTATGTTAGTTTGTCCATTTGGTCCATAGTGTCATTCAAATCTGGATTTTCTGTCCATTACTCAAACTGGGGTAATTAAGTTTCCTACTGTTATTACATTACTCTCTTTATCTCCCTTCAGTTTTGTCAATATTTCCTGTATATATTTAGGTGCTCTGATGTTACATGCATATGTATTTATAATTGCTATATCTTCATGATAAATTGATCCTTTTATAATTATGTGATGCCCTTCTTTGTCTCTTGTGACAGTTTTGACTTGACATCTCTTTTGTCTACTATTAAATATAGCCACCCCTGCTATCTGTTGTTTACTATTTGCATGGAATATCTTTTTCCAACCCTTTACCTTCAATTTATGTGTGTCAAATCTAAAGTGAGTCTCTTGTAGACAGCATACAGTTGGTTCTTTTTTTTTCCCAGTCGTTCAGTCACTCTTTTGATTGGGGAGTTTAATCCATTTCCATTTAAAGATATTATTGATAAGGAAGCACTTGCTTTTTTATTTTGTTAATTGTTTTCTGTTCATGTTACAATGTTTTTGTTTCTCTTTTTCCCTCTTGTTACCTTCCTTTGTGTTTCATTGATTTTTTTTTTGTAATAATATGTTTGGGTTTTTTTTCTTTTGTGTACTTTTTATAGATATTTTATCTTTGTGCTGACCATAAGGCTTTCATTAAACACCCTATATTTATAACATTCTATTTTAAGCTGAAAACAACATAACTTCAGTCAAATAAAAAAGCTCATACTTAATGCTTCCCACATTTAATGTTATTTATGTCACAATTCATATCTTTTTATATTGTATACCCATTAACAAATGTTTGTAGTTATAGTTATTTTTAGTACTTTTGTCTTTTAGCTTTTATACTTTTGTTTTATGAAACTAAAATTGATTTACATATCACCATTACATTATATTATTATGTATATCTGTATATACATTATAATAATCTGTATATCTGTATATAATATACAGAATATTATAGTATTCTGTATTTGTCTATATATTTATCTTTACCAGTGACTTTTATACTTTAATATGCTTTAATGTTGCTATTTAGTATCTTTTCTTTTCAACTTGGAAAACCCCTTCTTGTCAGGTAGGTCTAGTGGCAATGAACTCCCTCAACTTTTATTTGTCTAGGCAAGTATTTTTCTCTCCTTTATTTGTTTAAGGATACTTTTTCTGGGTATAATATTCTTGGTTGTCAGGGTTTTTTTTCTTTTTTCTTTCAGGACTTTGAATATATCATTCCATTTCCTTCTAACCTGCAAAGTTTCTGCGGAGAAATTTGCTTAGATTCCTATAGAGGCTCCTGTACACATAATGAGTTCCTTCTTTCTTACTGCTTTCAAAATTTTATTTGTATGAAGTGCAAATTCTGCCAAACATTTAAAAAAAATTAACACCAATCTTTTTCAAACTATTCCAGAAAATTGAAAACAAGGAAACACTTTCAAACTCATTTTATGAAGCCAACATTATGCTGATAACAAAGCCAGTCAGCAACTACAAGAAAAGAGGAGCCAGGTGCAGTACTCATGCCTGTAATTATAGCACTTTGGGAGGCCAAGGCAGGAGGCTCACTTAAGGCCAGGAGTTTGAGACCAGCCTGGGCAACATAGCAAGATCTCATCTCTATAAAAATTTTAAAATGTAGCCAGCCATGGTGGCATTCACGTATAGTCTTACATGTAGGTTTATCATATATGGCCCTTATTGTGTTGAGGTAAATTCCTTCTTTGCCTGTTTGGTTGAGAGTTTTTATCATGAAAGAATGTTTGAACTTTGTCAAATTCTTTCTCTACATCTATTGAGATGATCGTATGATTTGTATCCTTCATTCTACTAATGCAGTGTATCACATTAATTGATTTGTGAATGCTGAGCCATCCTGACCTTCCAGGAAAAAAATCCAACTTAATTATGGCATATATTACATACACCATACATTAAAATACCCATAAAAGATACATAAAAGAAGAAAACTCCCAAAATATATTACTACAAAGAGTCAATGAAACACAAAGAAAGATAACAAGAGAAAAAAAGAGGAACAAAAAGCATTATAATACAAACAGGAAAAACAAAAAAAGCAACCTCAGGAGGTTGAGGCAGGAGAATCAATTAAGCCCTGAAGTTTGAGGTTACTGTCAGCTGTGATCATGTCACTGCACTCCAGCCTGAGTGACAGAGTGGTACCCTGTATCAAAAAAAAAAAAAAAAAAAAAAAGAAAAGAAAGAAAGAAAACCACAGGCTAATATCCCTGATGAGTATTGTTGAAAAAATCCTCAACAAAATACCATTAAGTTGGTGCAAGAGTAATTGTGTGTTTTTTGCCATTAAATGTAATAGCAAACACAATAGCAACGTAATAGCAAACATCGCAACATAATAGCAAACTAAATTCAATAGCACATAAAAATTTTCACTGAATTATGAAACATATGCTATAATCAAGTGGGACTTTTTTCCTGGAAGGTCAGGATGGCTCAATATACACAAATCAATTAATGTGATAATCACATTAGTAGAATGAAGGATACAAACCATGTGATATCTCAATAGCTGCAGAGAAGGCATTTGACAAAGTTCAGTACCCTTTCATGATAAAAACTCTCAACAAAGAGGTACAGAAGGAATTTATCTCAACATGATAAGGGCCATATAGGGCAAGCCCACAGCCAACATGATATTCGATGGTAAAAAAAAACCAAAACAAAACTGAAAGGTTTTCTTCTAAGAGCAGAAGCAAGACAGGGATGCTCACTCTTGCCACTTCTTTTTCTTTCTTTCTTTTTAACATGTGACAGTTTCAGTTACTCAAATCCTCGCCAACTCTTGGTATTTTAAACTCTGATAACATGTCTATTCTGGTGGGTGTAGGACAGAGAAACTGTAGTGGTTTTGGCTTTTTATATAATTCTTGTACATATATTTGAGGTATATGTGATATTTTAATACCTGTATACAATGTATAATAATCAAATCAGGGCAATTGAGATATTTATAATCTCAAACATCTATCTTTTCTTTTTGGTGGGAACATTGCAATTCTCTTCTAGCTATTTTGAAATATACAAAAAAATTATTGTTAACTATAATTGTCACTTCTATTCAACATAGTACTGAAAGTCCTTGCTAGAGCAATTAGGCAAGAAAAAGGAATAAAACTCATTCAAATTGGAAATGAAAGAGTAAAATTGTATCCTTTTACATAAGATAACATAATTTTATATGAATCCCTAAAAACTTCACACACAAAGCCCCATTAGTACTAATAAATGAATTCAATAAAGTTGCAAAATACAAAGTCAACATACAAAATAGGCTGCATTTTTACACACTAACTACAAACTGTTTGAAAACGAAGTTAAGAAAATAATTCCATTTACAATAACATCAAAAGGAATAAAATACTCAAAAATAAAAAATCAGGAGTTTGTAACCACCTTGGGCAACATGGTGAAACCCAGTCTTTACTAAAATACAAAAAATTAGCTGGGTGTGGTGGCACATACCTATAATCCCAGCTACTCGGGAGGCTGAGGTGGGAGAATCATTTGAGCCCAGGAGGCAGAGGTTGCAGTGAGCCAAGAACGTGCCATTACATTCCAGCCTGGGCAACAGAGTGAGACTCCGTCTCAAAACCAAAACAACAACAACAAAAAACCAACCAAACAAACAAAAAAACTGTAAAAATGCCCATACTACCCAAAGTGGTATACAGATTAATAATATCTCATCAAAACCTCAATAGCATGTTTTTTTAACCAAAATAGAAAAACAAAATAGAAAAGTCACTGTACCCTTCGTTTCTTAATTAAAACATTTATATGAAACTGTAAAAGGCCCCTAAATAGCCAAAGTAATATTGAGAAAGAAGAACAAAGCTAGAGGCCTCTCAATTCCTGATTTGAAAATATATTAAAAAGCAGCCAGGCATGGTGGCTTACGCCTGTAATTCCAGCACCTTGGGAGGCCAAGGCAGGCAGATCACTTGAGGTCAGGAGTTGGAGACCAGCCTGGTCAACATGACAAACCCCATCTCTACTAAAAGTATTTTAAAAATTAGCCAGGAATGGTGGCACGTGCTTGTAGTTCCAGCTACTGGGTAGGCTGAGGCAGGAGAATTGCTTGAACCTGGGAGGCAGAGGTTGTAGTGAGCCGAAATTGCACCACTGCACTTCATCCTTGGTGACAGAGTGAGACTCTGTCTCAAAATAAACAAATAAATAAAGGAAAGTAAAGAAAATATATTAAAAAGTGACAGTAATTAAAATAGTATGATACTGGCATTAGGACAGACATATAGATCGATGGACCAAAATAAAGAACCCAGTAATAAACCAAAAAATATATGCTTGAATGATCTTAAGGGTGCCAAGTTTATAGAATGGGGAAAGAATAGTCTTTTTGGCATTTCAAGTTTGTACATACAAAAGTATAAAACGGAACGCTTAGCTTACGCCTACACGAAATCAACTCAAAACGAATTAGAGGCTTAAGACCTGAAAATGTAAAACTCCTAGAAGGAAACATAGGGGAAACCTTCTTGACATCAATCTTAGCAATGATTTCTTGAATATAACACCAAAAGCACAGGCATTGATGCTGACACCCACACTGCTACTTCACTTCCCCAAGCTCTAGACCTCTTATTATAGATATGAGGATAATAAAGACCCCCTTTTACATCTGTTGCGAGGATGAGGATGAGGCTTGAGTATATCTATGGGGCACCTGGCACCCAGTGCTTCCTCCACACCTATGTGCCATCCCCTTGCTCTTACACTGTGCCTAAGAAGCTAATCTTCATCAAGATATTGTTCTCACCCAACTGTACATTAGAATCACCTAGGGAGTTAAAAAATACTCAAGCCTGAGCCCTTGCCCCAGAGATTCTAATGTAATTGGTCTGGTGTGGCCTGGGTCCTGGATTTTTAAAATATCCCTAGGTGTTTTTACTGTACAGACAATCGAAGATCATTGGTTTACCAGAATATAATGACTTCCCCTGGTGTACTCCAAGATAATGTCTGAATGAAGACCCTTGGAGCCTTAGCCCAAAGGAGGGTGTAAGGGCAGTTTTGGGCTCTGATACAGGCCAGAGAGACAGGTGTTTGGTAAGAGGGGGCCTTCCCATTGCACCTCCTCCTCCAATCCCAAAGGCAGTCACCTCCTCTTCTTTCCCAGAAGGCCAGCCTTTGCTGAGGCATCTGAGGCTAGTCTGATGCCCAAGTCCCTGCCCACTCTCATATTCCTCAGCTGCCATGGGTTTATCTTCCTGGCAGCCTCAGCAGCCAGCTTTTTTCACAGGGCACTCTCCCTCGTGGGTGGGAGGTACTCACACACCTATGTCCACCAGCATTCCTGTAGTCTTTCCAAGTCTCCTCTTCCCAGCTTTCCATCCTCACCCCTTCTTGGGGAGAGGGGTACTGTACCCTTTGTTTCTTAATTTCATACTTAGCAAGGATGCTTCATTTATGGTTCTAGAAGAAATGAGCTTACCTATATTAGATAGTCAAAAGCTATAAAGTGATATGAGAAAGGACAATGATTTATACACTTCCTGATAGTAAAATTACTTGGATTGCACGAGTACTGTGTGATACCACAAGTGGCTTGTGGATGGTCATGGTCTAGGGCAGCTTAAAATTAAAATAAGCCATTGTCAAGCAGGAAGAATTCTTAGAAATGTTTTTGTCACTTGGCATTTGATATGTCACAGGTGTTTAAGCAAGTTCTAGTCCAAGCCTGATGTAGAGAGACAACATTTTACCAACCTATTAGGAGCCAAACTTGCTGGTTCTGTCCCAATTTTACCAACATCCTAGCACAATCACAGATCTGCCTAAACCATCCTTTCGTGATGACAAATGGGGTGGAGGAGGGAACATCCTTAGGGGGGTCTAGATATATTACCTTGCCTTAGAATGAAAGTTCCTCCCCATTCCTAGGTGAGAGTATATTTCAACATTTGAAATTTCCAACAGGTCATGTTAAAAGGCCTTGGTGTCTACAGGCCAAATATCTACAGTCCGATATGTGGTAGAAGGAGTATGGCAGATGTCTAATCCATCCTCATATACTCAGAACCTAGTCCCGGCCCTGGCACACACCACAGTAGATACTCAATAAATATTGTAGGAATGGTATGCCACTTGCAAGAACAATGGCACAATGGCAAGACCACTTGGCCAAACAATTATTATTGGGTGCCTGCCTGGTGCCAGGTACAGGGCTAAAACTGTGAGTAAAAACAAACTGTCCATACTTCTAGGCAGTTTACAGCTCAGAGGAGGCAGGCAGTAGGAAAATCATCATACATATCATCACCCAAGTGTGTTTTTTCATGGTGGGGCCTAGTCTGGTATGGGGAGGAGGTATCATGGAAGGCCCCTGAAAGGAGATATGAAGTAGGAATGAACTGGGTTGAGAGTGGGGTCAGAGTTTTCCCTGCAGAGGAAACAGCTTCTGTGAGGGCCTTGATGTGGAAGTTAGTGAGGCTCTCTTAAGTTCCTTGTGATGGGAGCACAGACAGCGAAGGAGAGAGTGGGGTAAAGATGTAGGGGGGTGGCCTTGAAGGTCATGGGTTAGGAGTTTGGCCTTGACTGTAGGAACCACTGGCAGCCAGTTCTGTTGTTGAGGCATTCCTTGGGACTAGACTGTTTTCACTACAGCCCTCACTCTCCTTGTGCATGAGTCTTAATGGTCTATTTCTTTCTTTTTTTTTTTTTTCGAGATGGAGTCTCGCTCTGTCACCCAGGCTGGAGTGCAGTGGTGCGATCTCGGCTCACTGCAAGCTCCACCTCCCGGGTTCACGCCATTCTCCTGCCTCAGCCTCGGGAGTAGCTGGGACTACAGGCACCCACCACCGCGCCCGGCTAATTTTTTGTATTTTTTAGTGGAGACAGGGTTTCACCTGCTAGCCAGGATGGTCTCGATCTCCTGACCTCGTGATCCACCTGCCTAGGCCTCCCAAAGTGCTGGGATTACAGGCGTCAGCCACTGCGCTGGGCTAATGGTCTATTTCTAAAAAAGTCTCCTCTCCTCTCCCCCTAGGCTATCTTGTGCACTCTCAAGTTTTAGAGCCATTGACTTAATAAATATGAAGTTGCAAAATTAACCTGATTGAGCCTAGTTAATTTTTCTTAGGCTCCATCCAGGGAACTTCCAAATGAATACTGCACTCACACCCATCTCCCAGTGAGCAGATGAGAGGATGAGGGTGACCTCCTGGGCAGGGATGAGGGCAACTTGCTGAAGAAAGGGGCAGCGGGAGCCACTTGCAGCCAACACTCAGCAGCTTTCACATGGGAGCTCCTCCCACCTCCTGGAGCTAATTTGAACCCCATTTTACAGAGCCAGACAAAGTTGTTTTGTGCTGGTGCCCTTCGTACTCAATATCCTGATCTCCTCAGAATGGAAGGACCCCTTCCTCTTTGGGATCACACTCCCCACTCAGGACAGTGCTGGGATAAGAGCTGTCACCCCTCAAGAAGGCTCCTTCTTCAATCCTGAGAACTGCCCTGGGACTTCTCAGCATCTGGGTTTCTGTTAAGGAAGAGTTCTAGCAGCCACTGCAGCCACATGAAAGGAGATTCTCCAAGGGGCATCTGGGGTTTCCAACACATAATACACACTGGAGAGGCCCACTGCCTCTGCCCAATATCAGAAAAGGCCTCAGAATTCGGAGGCACGAGCCTTGAGCTCTAGTCTTGGCTTGCTTGTTAACCTCCTGGGTGAGACCTTGGTTGCTTGAGTTGCTGTGCCTGTTTCTTCTATGGTTGAAGGCCTAGTGATAGCATTTTCATTTTGTGTAACATTTCTGATTGTTTGGCTCTGCCTTTTTGAAACTGCATTTCTTGGCTTAGCTGAAAATAACTCCATGGCCTATTAATGGTGCCTACCATGGTTAAGAAAGGAGGTTCATGTCTAATGATTATATTCTTGGCTGGATGGTCTTGAAAGTCTCTTCCAGCCAAGGCGTATGGAGAACTCTTCATGGAAATTTCCCTGACTTTGCCAAAACTCATTCTTCTTCCCTTTCTTTCAGTTTATGAAGATTTTTCTCCTCCATTCAGGCCCATTGGTAGGTACAAAATACTGCCTAATGGTAGTTCTGTTTTTATTTTGATGTGTAGGTATTATTGGACTTTTCTATTTTTATGTAATTTTAAAATTTAACCACTTGACTTCTTAAGTAGGTCATAAGTTCTTCGAGGGCAAGTTCTCTGGCCACCCTGCATCACCTGGAGTGGCTTCCTGCACAGACTGTAGTTAATACATGCCAGTTTAAGAGGATGAGGAAAGGCCTCTGGTTTTAGTTTTATCTGTCTATGGGTAATTGTGAAGTTCTTGGCACTCAATTGGTTCTTGTCTGCAAACATTTTTATCATTGTTATTAATTATATTATTATTAATATTTAATTAATATCATTATAACTATATTATTAATATTTAATATATTATTAATATCTAATTATTAATTGTATTATTAATAATTAATAATAATAGGTAGGGGAATGTGAAGGGAATGTGCAGGGAATGCAAGGAATGCCAGCAATGTAACCCCCAGAGCACTGGGCCATGTGGACTGAACAGGCTTCAGAGATAGCCAAACAAGCACCATTATCTGTAAGTTAGGCCTTACCTTCCAAGCTGTGATGGAGTGAACCATGTAATTAATAATTATTATTAATAATAAGTAATATTAATAATAATTATTATTAATAATAAGTAATATTAATAATAATTATTATTAATAATTAATAATAATAATTATTAATAAACACTTTTAATGGATGCTCTTGGTACTCTGCCAAGATACCCCTGTCTACTCATATAAGGGCCTTTTCAGCACATCTTGTACCATAGTCTTTCTTGATTCTTGAGATGACCCAGGAAGTTCAATATTTCTGCATCTTCCAACTTGAACTTCCCAGGAAGCCTTCTCTATGTAGAACTAGCTCCCAAATTGTTGGTCATAACTTAGATTACCATAGTTATTTCCCCAAATACGGTCACGGTTGTACATTTTCTGAGTGACAGATTAGGACTCATGGCAAACCTGGGGCAGAGTATTTTAAATTAAGACTTCAGAGAAATCCAAGGTGTACGGTCATGATGAGATCTGCTCCAGGGCGTGGATAAGCCAATGATCAGGCAGGTTCCACTGGGGGTTCCCTAAAGAAGTGATGAGTGGCTGGGTGTGGTGGCTCACATCTGTAATTCCAGCACTTTAGGAGGCCGAGGCGGGTGGATCACCTGAGGTCAGGAGTTCGAGACCAGCCTGGCAAACATGGTGGAACCCTGTCTCTATTAAAAATACAAAAAATTAGTCGGCTGTGGTGGCACGTACCTATAATCCCAGCTACTCAGGAGGCTGAGGTAGGAGAATTCCTTGAACCCAGGAGGTGGAGGTTGCAGTGAGCCAAGATTGGGCCACTGCACTCCAGCCTGGGCAGCAGAGTGAGATTCGATCTAAACAAAAAAAAAGAAGAAGTGATGGGTCTCTAGCTGTGGTCAGGCACCTGGGATTAATTTCTGGGTGAGGAGGGGTTTTCTGAGTCCCTCAGGAAGCTTTCCTAGCTGGTTTTGTCTACAGTCACACCCCTCTGTGCTTGCCCCATCACACTGCTGACAAAGCCCTTGATTCTGAGTGATGGCACTCCACGGTTCCCTCCATCACAGGTTGGAAGATAAGGCCTGACTTATAGATAATGGCACTTGTTTTGCTCTCTCTGAAGCCTGTTCAGTCCACATGGCCCAGTGCTCTGGGGGTTACATTGCTGGCAGTCCTTGCATTCCCTGCACATTCCCCTACAGTGGACTCAGGAGTAAGAATGGCACATGGAATGCAGGCAGACACTTGGTCCTATTCTCCCGCCTGAGTTTGCAGCAGCTGCTCTCTAATTAAGCATCCTGGTTCAGACAAGGCCACTGACCCTCAGTTCACCTAAGGAAATCCACTTCTTGAGGAATGCTGGGGATTTCACACAAGACCTCATGTGGCTTCCCAGGGGCATTTCACGTTTTAGAAACTTTTTATGATCACACACCGGTAGCATTGAGTATTGAAGGCAGCTATACCTGCTGAACCCCAAAGCAGGGAGGGAAAATGACTGTTTACCCATCATTTGCACTGTGGCAGGCTTCAGGAAATGCTTTCTTGTCCAAGGGTGGGTCACTGGACTCCCCTTGGGGGGTTGTCATGACTTCCCCTATCACAACTTACTTCTTCAGACTCAGTCCCCAGGGGCCCTTCCTCCCCAGTCTGAGATGCCCTACAACAAGGGTCAGCAAACTATGGTCCCTGAGCCAAATGTGACCCGCAGTCTGTTTTTGTGGATAAAGTTTTACTAGAACACAGCCATGCCCATTTGAGTATTATCTATGGCTACTTTCAAGCTGGAATAGCAGAGGTGAATAGTTGCAACAGATACTGTATGGCCTGCCAAACCTAAAATATTTGTTATTTGGCTCTTTACAAGACAAAGTTTGTTGACCTCTGCCCTATATTATCTAAGCAGACTCAGTCCCAGAGCCTGCGCTAGGACTTGGATAGAAAGAGAATTGATTCAGGGAGAGACTAGGCCAGAGCTTTCTTTCCTACTAGAGGTGTATGATGTTTCTCCTGGGAAATATCATACATATATGGTGGAGGGAAATGTGAGACATAATGTAGGGTTCCCAAGTCATGCTCTCTTGAACCCTAGTTCTGTATGAGGTAACCAGTAAAGAGTTCAGAAGTCAAAGATGTTTGTGAAACATATGTCTCAAACTTTTCTTGAAGATTCACAACATATATCAGTATATTAAAGACTCTGAGAAGTCTCGTGGGTAACAAACCTATTAACTTTGTTTTACAAAGTTCTTCTAATGCAAATTGATCCCAAAGTTTTATTTTTTACATATGCATGCCAATCATAGCCCACAAAATCTAGAAATAAATTTGAGAAACAATAGTCTAAGATAAAAAGTTAATTTCGTGGATTTTAGAAATTACTTATTTGTTAATTCCAGAGCACTCTCACTTAGTTCTAGAAGAGGGTGGCAAGACCACTGATGCAGCCTTTCCCTACACAAAGCCACCTTTGTGAGTGTTGCAGAACCTGGGGTGACAAGAGTTCTCTTTCCTTTCTCTTAATGACTCCTGGGCCAGCAAGTTAGGGAGAAACCGAAACATCAGCATTATGGGTGTTAAGGTTGGAGAGCAGAGAGAAAAGGCCTGCATCTGAGGTCATTTGGGGCCTTTCTGCTCCTCATCCTCTCTGAACTGTGCTGACGTTGGCACAAGCCATGGGAGAGAGGCCTGCCTTGATAGGATCACCTTGTAGTCTTAGGCATGGAGAAGGACAGGCATCTTGAGGTCAGGCAGTCTCACTTGACAGAGTCCCGGAGACTAGCTTGACTTGTGCACACGCCCAGCTCCTTCCTGCCAGTCTCTCCTATCTCACACACTGTCATGAGTGACTGGGAAATGGAGGAAAGGATGTATGCTCCTAACTGGTACTTCTAGGGGGAGTTTGGGACTGAAGATTCCTATTGTGGGCCAAGGCTTGTTAACACAGAGAAAGGTAGGGAATAGTGTCCCCTACACTGAGAGCTAATGGATACAGAGAGCCTCTCAAGAAGCTTTCTGTTTAATGGGTGGGAAGGCTCATAAGCCATCGCAATTCACTGTCTTGGCTGCCAGGTCCTGCTGTGTGATGTGGCCCTGGAGGCCTTTAAAGATCCTGAGTCGGTGAGGAAAGAGCCAGGCACATCACAAGACAGACTGGGTGAGGTTGGAAAGTGATGGGACCCTTCTGAGACATCTGAACAGGGGCCAGAGAAGGCATTTTGGTGCAGTCCACCACTGTGGGTTCAGGCCTTGTCTCTCAGGAGATTAGATAGATGTACAGGTGGATGCAATGGAAGACACAGGCAGATCTGTGAAGCAGAATTAAGCCCATCATGGAAATGAGCAGAATACCTAACAAGTAATTTAAAAAATCTGAATGAAGCAGCAGTCAGAACCTATTTTATCTGAATCAGAATAATAAGACTTTAAAAAAGGATAATAGTCAAATGATGGAAAGACCATAGGAGGTTGGCCTAGCCCACATTGCTGATGGGAATGAACATTGCTGCGACATTTCTGTATGCCACAAGAGCCTTCAAAATGCTGCTACCCTTTGACAAGACGGTTTCATTTCTAGAAATCTAAGTGAATGATCAGAGATGGGGAAGAAAAAAGCTTTATGAAGAAAGATGTTTGTGAAATACAATTTATAATATCAAAATATTGGAAGACTTCTAAATGTTCAACAATAGGGGAAGGATTAAATGGATTGGCACTTGGATACAATGGGATATTTTACAGACTAAAAATCATGCTCATAAACATATTTTTAATGACCTTAAATTTTTTGATATAGCATTAAATAAAAAAGAAAAATGCAAACTGTAGAAAATTATCTTAACCATTTATATATATATATAACATGATAGATAACAAAATGTGAAAAATATTTATGAATGATGGAATTATGAATAATTTATGTTGTTTTCTTTTATGTATTTTCTAAATTTTCCACAATGATCATGTAGTATGTTTATAACCAGAATATTTGAGCAAATTCTTTAGAAGTTCAGAGACGGGACCGGGCACAGTGGCTCACCCCTGTAATCTCAACACTTCGGGAGCAGAGGCAGATGGATCATGAGGTCAAGAGATCAAGACTATCCCGGGCAACATGGTGAAACCCCATCTCTACTAAAAATACAAAAATTAGCTGGGTGTGGTGGCATGTGCCTGTCGTCCCAGCTACTTGGGAGGATGAGGCTGGAGAATCGCTTGAACCTGGGAGGTGGAGGTTGCAGTGAGCCAAGGTCACGCTACTGCACTCCAGCCTGGCGACAGAGTGAGACTTCATCTCAAAGAAAAGAAAAGTTCAGAGATAGGAGAAAACACTGTCCAGAAATAATAATAAAATGCTTCTTGGAAGAGCTCAGAGTTGAGAAAGACCCTATTTGAAACGGCCAGTGCTGCTGCATGAGGTAGACCTGTTAAGTCTTACTATTTCTACTTGACAGCTGGGGAGCCTGACATTTCTAGGGAAATTCCTTGCTCAAGGTTATGCAGCCTGAGTTAGTAGTCAGGAGGAGAACTCACCTTCCGATTCCAGGCACGTGGGCTTTCCATTAGGCCCAGCTGTCTGGTGACCAAAGGAGCTCGTGGGCATCTGCTCGTTATCTCAGTCCTCGTCCTCTGATTTTTTCTCTGGTGTGACTCGGCAGAGGCAGGCATGGGATGCCTGCCCCCGGTCAGGCTGCCTTGCTCCCATCTGCTTGCTATGTCTCAGCAGCAAATGCTCGAAATCACTGGGGCTGCTGCTTGGAGCTGGCAGCGCTTGGGAGCCTAATACTCCCAAGTCACTGAGACTAAATCCCCACCAATGCCTTGAGCATGGACACAAGTATTGTTTGCTCCCACTTGGCAGTGCCTCATACTGGGAGCAACTCTGCAGGTCATGAAGCGCCTTCCAAACGCTGCTACTAGTTTGAGCAACATTTGATCAGAGTGTGCATTCTGGGCTCTTTGCAGGTTTCCTGGAGGGGATGAGGGGGGATGCAGCATCAGGGCCTGTTGCCAGGAAGCTGAATGTGTACCAAAACAGGCCACAGAAAAATAGTGGGTTGCTTGGTGCGAAGAATAGGAGCTTTGATGTCAGACAGATTTGAAATTGAATCCTGCTACAGCAACCTCCCAGCCGAGGTTACTTAGTCAAGTCACTGGATTTTTCTGAGCCTTCATTTTCCTCATCTCTCATATGGGTATGATGACACCAACCTCACAGGGACAGGTAAACAATAAGATGAAGATGGTCCATAAATCTACTACTATGACCAATAAAACGATGACTTTATTTTAAAAAACTTCACTACTTATCATTAAATATAATTAGGTTATATTGTATTTAATCCTAAATGTGTTCTAACTGAGTGGTGCAATAGGGGACATGAAGGAGAACTTTGGAACAACTAGAGCTGTTTGTCTGAGAGACTACAAGAAGGATGAGCACATTATAGTGGCTTTTGGGAGGATGGCGTTCCTAAGTGGAAGGCAATGTAAGTTTAAAGCAGACTGTTGCAGACTCCAAAACTTTGCCAACATTGAAAGAACTGCAAAGAAGTCAAAGTTTGGCTTGGATTGTGTCCTTGCTGTAAGAAGGAGGCAAACAACCTCACCCAGGCTATGGGCCACTCTCACTCCCATCTTTGTGCCTCTGCTCACTTCATTCCCTAGCCTGGAATGGCTTTTTGGTGTCTCTGAGTCCCATTGTCCCTCCAGATATGCTCAAATCTTCCCTTTCCACTACCCCTCCTGCCCCTCCATCCAGGAATCACCAAGTTGCTGAACACTGTTTCCTCCTCTTCTTTCACTTTCACCTGTACCTCTGCCCGAGAGGCTGTGCAGAGTAGTGAGGGGACAGAGGTACAGACAGAACCAGCCAGTCTCTGCCACATAGCAGTTATGTGGCCAAGGATAAGTTATGCAACTGCTCTGAGCATCAGTTTCATTGTATGAAAATATGAAACATAATTATAGTTATTAACTTTTGAGCATGTATGTGCCAGGAATTATGCAGAGAGCTATAAAGACATTATTTCCCTTAGTTTCTATGTGTATGAGGTAGATATTAGTGTGCTGATAAATGTTTAACAACTAGCTCTCTCTCTAAAAAAAAGCAAGCCTTGATTTGTGGTTTGCCAATTTCTGAGATGTAAACATTTTCAACATGGCTAATTTCAACCCACCACTTGACATCGCTAAACACAGAGTTGGAAAGACAAGTGCACAATCAACTCCCACAAGCACAAGATGGGTATCTGGTGTACCTCTGGCAGGAGGAAAGTGATATCATCCTTATTCTATGGGTGAAGAATCTGAGCCTTGGAGGTTTAAATGGCTGCCTATGCTCACCCAGCTAAAGATGGAGCAGCACTCCGACTCAGCCTGTCTACCCCCACCGCCTGTGTCCTTCCTGCTTCACTCGCCTGTGGGACTGTTACAAAGTTCATGCATAACCAGGGTACTTTTGATGTGGCGTGATGCCTGGCATACAGTGAGTTCTCAAAAACAATGACTGGTGCTGAAATTATTGCCAGTGATAATGTCCCCAGCTGGCTTTCCAGGCCCTCATCCTCTCAGGCAGGGCATAAGCAATGCTGGAAAAACTGGGATGGAGGACTCCAAGGTTGCGCCTTCCATCTCTGTCTCCTTCCTGTGTGCACTCCAGATTTTAACCTACTTCCCTGGTGAGAAATTTGAAAAATGCCTTCTCTGTTTAATAGTGACCTCTGCAACTGCCAGACGGCAGTTTGTTATTTTACACTATCTAGTACAAAGTTTCAGAAATAGAATCAGATGGTCCATGTCCAAAAGACAAGGAATGGTCAGTAATCCTGAGCTGGCCACTGTGGGGGGCAGGGAGTGAAGAACAGAGCTCACGCTTCCTTGGTGGTTGTCTGCTAGTGACAAACATTTCCAGCAAATATGTACCATCATCCCTTGGTCATTTAAAGGAAACCTCTCCCTCAACACAAGTACATGTGCACACACACACACACACACTTAAACCACAACTCCCAAACACTGCAGTATTCAGAGTGCTGACTGTGGTATAAAGAAGAGGATTATGGATATAGAGTGGGTTCCTCTGGGTGTCACCAAGGGAAATATTGAGAAAACCATATGCTTCTTCTTATGGAGGCATAGTTGAAGGGACACAGCTTCCTTTAGGTTGCTGGGCTGGAGGTGGGATTCTCCTCCATGGGCAGGGCCAGCACTTCCTCTGACATCTGCCCAGTGGGATCAGCTTCATCATGGAGATCAATCTTAGGGTAAATGGTCTGAGTCAGGGAGCCCAAGCCATGATGACCACAACAAAAACAAACGCTCCTCACACTTACCCATGAATCATCTACTTGAATCCTTCCAGCCACGTTATGACAGAGTGGCTAAGTTATATCCCTACTTCATGGTTGAGCAGACTAAGGCTCAAGGCCAGGCAATGTGCTAAGAGTTTCACAAGCACAATATGTCATTTGATTCACGCAGCCCCTCCATGCAGTTGGTATTATTGGTTTTTCATTTACTAGAAATGGGGGCTCAGAGAGGTTAAATAAACTATTCAGAGTCACAGAACTAATAGTGGTGGAGTGAATGAGAACTTAGATACCCTTGACTTTGGAGTCCGTGCTCATAACGACTACCCCATAGGCCTCCCTGGAAAACCTGAGATTATTGACCTTGTCCAAGTCCGGCCTGCCATCAGGGAACTGCTCTGGTGCTGCTGCCCAGCATTCAGCCTATGGACATTGAGAGAAATGTGTTCTTATTTCAATGTTAAAAGCAATGAGGCTTCTCATTGCTCACATGTGCTGCACAGGTTCCTTCTTTCTCTCTTCCAAAGCATGCCAGGTGGGCAAGAACCATCCCTTATTGAATGGGAGTATTGTTCCAGCTGGCTAGTGGAAGGCCATGCATTTCTTTGGCTTCTGGTCCCCTTCACTCAGTCTACCATGATTTACTACACCTACAACAATAAACTTTCTGAAACTGTGGCCCCTGTTTTTAACTGGCAGGTGCCCATGACTTTGGGGAGCTAGAAAAGTGGGTGATGCTTTCCCAGTGAGGGGGTGGTCCCTCTGTCCTCTTTGCTACTGCCCTGGTTCAAACCGTTATTATCTCTGGCCTGATTCAGGCCCTTGTATCTCTCATCCAGGAATGGCTGCGTGATTTGCAGGGCCCATTGCAAAATGAAAATGTAGGGCCCCTTGCTCAACAGTTATTAAGAATTTCAAGACAGTGACAGGACAGCATTAAACCAAGGGGAGGCCCTTCTGAGTGTGGGGCTTTGTGTGACTGCACAAGTCATATTACGCCCATGAGCCAGCCCTGATCTCACCTGGAGTATGGCATTTGCTTCCTAAG